>NC_000004.12:48408651-48718075 GCF_000001405.40 Homo sapiens | reverse complement strand
AATTGAAGCTCAGAACTTGTTGCTTGTCTACGGTTTTAGGATTGCCAGTAATCTGGTTTTATCACTGAATTCAATGCTTTTCTCATTATATGGAGTTATAAGGTGATGTAGAATAATATGTCAGATATTGGTTAGTAGTTAGGAAGTTATAGACTGTAGTTTTTAAAAAGTAGCAGCTTTATTGAGATATAATTCACATGCCGTGCAAGTCACCAATTGAAAATGTACAACTTAAGGCCATGCGTGATAGCTCATGCCTGAAATCCCAGTACTTTGGAATGTGAGGGAGGAGGAACACTTGAGGCCAGGAAATAGAGACTGGTCTGGGCAACACAACAAGACCCCATCTCTACAAAAAATTAAAAAAATTAGTCAGACATGGTGGCATGCTCCTGCACTTCTAGGTACCCTGGAGGCTGAGGCAGGAGGATTGCTTGAACACAGGAGTTTGAGGCTGCAGTGAGCTATAATTGCGTCATTGCACTCCAGCCTAGGTGACAGAGTCAAACCCCTTTTCAAATAAATAAAGTGTACAATTAGAGCCTTTTTTATATTCACAGAATTGCAAAACCATTACTATAATAGATTTTGAGAACATTTTCATCACCCTCTGAAAGAAACCCTGTACCCATTAATAGTCACCACCTATCTTTTGTCTCCTGGCCCTAGGCAACCACTTACGTGGTTTCTCTTTGTTAGATTTGTCTATTATGGACATTTCATATAAATGGAATCATATACTACGTGGCCTTTTGTGAGTGGCTTCTTTCAGTTAGCATAATGTTTTTTTGTTTTTTTTTATTATTATACTTTAAGTTTTAGGGTACATGTGCACAATGTGCAGGTTAGTTACATATGTATACATGTGCCATGCTGGTGCACTGCACCCACTAACTCGTCATCTACCATTAGGTATATCTTCCAGTGCTATCCCTCCCCCCTCCCCCCACCCCACAACAGTCCCCAGAGTGTGATGTTCCCCTTCCTGTGTCCATATGTTCTCGTTGTTCAATTCCCACCTAAGAGTGAGAATATGTGGTGTTTGGTTTTTTGTTCTTGCGATAGTTTACTGAGAATGATGATTTCCAATTTCATCCATGTCCCTACAAAGGACATGAACTCATCCTTTTTTATGGCTGCATAGTATTCCATGGTGTATATGTGCCACATTTTCTTAATCCAGTCTATCATTGTTGGACATTTGGGTTGGTTCCAAGTCTTTGCTATTGTGAATAGTGCCACAATAAACATACATGTGCATGTGTCTTCATAGCAGCTTGATTTATAGTCCTTTGGGTATATACCCAGTAATGGTATGGCCAGGTCAAATGGTATTTCTAGTTCTAGACCCCTGAGAAATCGCCACACTGACTTCCACAATGGTTGAACAAGTTTACAGACCCACCAACAGTGTAAAAGTGTTCCGATTTCTCCACATCCTCTCCAGCACCTGTTGTTTCCTGACTTTTTAATGATTGCCATTCTAACTGGTGTGAGATGATATCTCATTGTGGTTTTTGCATTTCTCTGATGGCCAGTGATGGTGAGCATTTTTTCGTGTGTTTTTTGGCTGCATAAATGTCCTCTTTTGAGAAGTGTCTGTTCATGTCCTTCGCCCACTTTCTGACGGGGTTGTTTGTTTTTTTCTTGTAAATTTGTTGGAGTTCATTGTAGATTCTGGATATTAGCCCTTTGTCAGATGAGTAGGTTGCGAAAATTTTCTCCCATTTTGTGGGTTGCCTGTTCACTCTGATGGTAGTTTCTTTTGCTGTGCAGAAGCTCTTTAGTTTAATTAGATCCCATTTGTCAATTTTGGCTTTTGTTGCCATTGCTTTTGGTGTTTTAGGCATGAAGTCCTTGCCCATGCCTATGTCCTGAATGGTAATGCCTAGGTTTTCTTCTAGGGTTTTTACGGTTTTAGGTCTAACGTTTAAGTCTTTAATCCATCTTGAATTGATTTTTGTATAAGGTGTAAGGAAGGGATCCAGATTCTGCTTTTTACATATGGCTAGCCAGTTTTCCCAGCACCATTTATTAAATAGGGAATCCTTTCCCCATTGCTTGTTTTTCTCAGGTTTGTCAAAGATCAGATAGTTGTAGATATGCGGCATTATTTCTGAGGGCTCTGTTCTGTTCCATTGGTCTATATCTCTGTTTTGGTACCAGTACCATGCTGTTTTGGTTACTGTAGCCTTGTAGTATAGTTTGAAGTCAGGAAGTATGATGCCTCCAGCTTTGTTCTTTCAGCTTAGGATTGACTTGGCGATGCGGGCTCTTTTTTGGTTCCATATGAACTTTAAAGTAGTTTTTTTCCAATTCTGTGAAGAAAGTCATTGCTAGCTTGATGGGGATGGCATTGAATGTATAAATTACCTTGGGCAGTATGGCCATTTTCACGATATTGATTCTTCCTACCCATGAGCATGGAATGTTCTTCCATTTGTTTGTATCCTCTTTTATTTCATTGAGCAGTGGTTTGTAGTTCTCCTTGAAGAGGTCCTTCACATCCCTTGTAAGTTGGATTCCTAGGTATTTTATTCTCTTTGAAGCAATTGTGAATGGGAGTTCACTCATGATTTGGCTCTCTGTTTGTCTGTTATTGGTGTATAAGAATGCTTGTGATTTTTGTACATTGATTTTGTATCCTGAGACTTTGCTGAATTTGCTTGTCACCTTGAGGAGATTTTGGGCTGAGACGATGGGGTTTTCTAGATATACAATCGTGTCATCTGCAAACAGGGACAATTTGACTCCCTCTTTTCCTAATTGAATACCCTTTATTTCCTTCTCCTGCCTGATTGCCCTGGCCAGAACTTCCAACACTATGTTGAATAGGAGTGGTGAGAGAGGGCATCCCTGTCTTGTGCCAGTTTTCAAAGGGAATGCTTCCAGTTTTTGCCCATTCAGTATGATATGGGCTGTGGGTTTGTCATAGATAGCTCTTATTATTTTGAGATACGTCCCATCAATACCTAATTTATTGAGAGTTTTTAGCATGAAGGGTTATTGAATTTAGTCAAAGGCCTGTTCTGCATCTATTGAGATAATCATGTGGTTTTTGTCTTTGGTTCTGTTTTTATGCTGGATTACATTTATTGATTTGCATATATTGAACCAGCCTTGCATCCCAGGGATGAAGCCCACTTGATCATGGTGGATAAGCTTTTTGATGTGCTGCTGGATTCGGTTTGCCAGTATTTTATTGAGGATTTTTGCATCAATGTTCATCAAGGATATTGGTCTAAAATTCTCTTTTTTGGTTGTGTCTCTGCCCGGCTTTGGTATCAGGATGATGCTGGTCTCATAAAATGAGTTAGGGAGGATTCCCTCTTTTTCTATTGATTGGAATAGTTTCAGAAGGAATGGTACCAGTTCCTCCTTGTACCTCTGGTAGAATTCGGCTTTGAATCCATCTGGTCCTGGACTCTTTTTGGTTGGTAAGCTATTGATTATTGCCACAATTTCAGCTCCTGTTATTGGTCTATTCAGAGATTCAACTTCTTCCTGGTTTAGTCTTGGGAGGGTGTATGTGTCGAGGAATTTATCCATTTCTTCTAGATTTTCTAGTTTATTTGCATAGAGGTGTTTGTAGTATTCTCTGATGGTAGTTTGTATTTCTGTGGGATCGGTGGTGATATCCCCTTTATCATTTTTTATTGTGTCTATTTGATTCTTCTCTCTTTTTTTCTTTATTAGTCTTGCTAGCGGTCTATCAATTTTGTTGATCCTTTCAAAAAACCGGCTCCTGGATTCATTAATTTTTTTAAGGGTTTTTTGTGTCTCTATTTCCTTCAGTTCTGCTCTGATTTTAGTTATTTCTTGCCTTCTGCTAGCTTTTGGATGTGTTTGCTCTTGCTTTTCTAGTTCTTTTAATTGTGATGTTAGGGTGTCAATTTTGAATCTTTCCTGCTTTCTCTTGTGGGCATTTAGTGCTGTAAATTTCCCTCTACACACTGCTTTAAATGTGTCCCAGAGATTCTGGTATGTTGTGTCTTTGTTCTCGTTGATTTCAAAGAACATCTTTATTTCTGCCTTCATTTTGTTATGTACCCAGTAGTCGTTCAGGAGCAGGTTGTTCAGTTTCCATGTAGTTGAGCGGTTTTGAGTGAGTTTCTTAATCCTGAGTTCTAGTTTGATTGCACTGTGGTCTGAGAGATAGTTTGTTATAATTTCTGTTCTTTTCCATTTGCTGAGAAGAGCTTTACTTCCAACTATGTGGTTAATTTTGGAATAGATGTGGTGTGGTGCTGAAAAAAATGTATATTCTGTTGATTTGGGGTGGAGAGTTCTGTCGATGTCTATTAGGTCTGCTTGGTGTAGAGCTGAGTTCAATTCCTGGGTTTCCTTGTTAACTTTCTATCTCATTGATCTGTTTAATGTTGACAGTGGGGTGTTAAAGTCTCCCATTATTAATGTGTGGGAGTCTAAGTCTCTTTGTAGGTCACTCAGGACTTGCTTTATGAATCTGGGTGCTCCTGTATTGGGTGCATATCTATTTAGGATAGTTAGCTCTTCTTGTTGAATTGATCCCTTTACCGTTATGTAATGGCCTTCTTTGTCTCTTTTGATCTTTTTTGGTTTAAAGTCTGTATTATCAGAGACTAGGATTGCAACCGCTGCCTTTTTTTGTTTTCCATTTGCTTGGTAGATCTTCCTCCATCCCTTTATTTTGAGCCTATGTGTGTCTCTGCACGTGAGATGGGTTTCCTGAATACAGCACACTGATGGGTCGTGACTCTTTATGCAATTTGCCAGTCAGTGTCTTTTAATTGGATCATTTAGTCCATTTACATTTAAATGGACTTTATTACATTTAAATTAACTTTATTAACAAATAAAGTTAATAGTGTTATGTGTGAATTTGATCCTGTCATTATGATGTTAGCTGGTTATTTTGCTTGTTAGTTGATGCAGTTTCTTCCTAGTCTCGATGGTCTTTACATTTTGGCATGATTTTGCAGCGGCTGGTACCGGTCGTTCCTTTCCATGTTTAGTGTTTCCTTCAGGAGCTCTTCTAGGGCAGGCCTGGTGGTGACAGAATCTCTCAGCATTTGCTTGTCTGTAAAGTATTTTATTTCTCCTTCACTTATGAAGCTTAGTTTGGCTGGATATGAAATTCTGGGTTGAAAATTCTTTTCTTTAAAAATGTTGAATATTGGCCCCCACTCTCTTCTGGCTTGTAGAGTTTCTGCTGAGAGATCCGCTGTTAGTCTGATGGGCTTCCCTTTGTGGGTAACCCGACCTTTGTCTCTGGCTGCCCTTAACATTTTTTCCTTCATTTCAACTTTGGTGAATCTGACAATTATGTGTCTTGGAGTTGTCTTGGAGTTGCTCTTCTCGAGGAGTATCTTTGTGGTGTTCTCTGCATTTCCTGAATCTGAATGTTGGCCTGCCTTGCTAGATTGGGGAGGTTCTCCTGGACAATATCCTGCAGAGTGTTTTCCAACTTGATTCCATTCTCCCCATCACTTTCAGGTACACCAATCAGACGTAGATTTGGTCTTTTCACACAGTACCATATTTCTTGGAGGCTTTGTTCATTTCTTTTTATTCTTTTTTCTCTAAACTTCCCTTCTCGCTTCATTTCTTTCATTTCATCTTCCATCGCTGATACCCTTTCTTCCAGTTGATCGCATCGGCTCTTGAGGCTTCTGCATTCTTCATGTAGTTCTCGAGCCTTGGCTTTCAGCTCCATCGGCTCCTTTAAGCACTTCTCTGTATTGGTTATTCTAGTTATACATTCCTCTAAATTTTTTTCAAAGTTTTTAACTTCTTTGCCTTTGGTTTGAATTTCCTCCTGTATCTCGGAGTAGTTTGATCGTCTGAAGCCTTCTTCTCTCAACTCGTCAAAGTCATTCTCTGCCCAGCTTTGTTCCATTGCTGGTGAGGAACTGCGTTCCGTTGGAGGAGGAGAGGTGCCCTGCTTTTTAGAGTTTCCAGTTTTTCTGCTCTGTTTTTTCCCCATCTTTGTGGTTTTATCTACTTTTGGTCTTTGATGATGGTGATGCACAGATGGGTTTTTGGTGTGGATGTCCTTTCTGTTTGTTAGTTTTCCTTCTAACAGACAGGACCCTCAGCTGCAGGTCTGTTGGAGTTTGCTAAAGGTCCACTCCAGACCCTGTTTGCCTGGGTATTAGCAGCGGTGTTTGCAGAGCAGCGGTTTTTCGTGAACCGCAAATGCTGCTGTCTGATCGTTCCTCTGGAAGTTTTGTCTCAGAGGAGTACCCGGCCGTGTGAGGTGTCAGTCTGCCCCTACTGGGCAGTGCCTCCCAGTTAGACTGCTCGGGGGGTCAGGGGTCAGGGACCCACTTGAGGAGGCAGTCTGCCCATTCTCAGATCTCCAGCTGCATGCTGGGAGAACCACTGCTCTCTTCAAAGCTGTCAGACAGGGACATTTAAGTCTGCAGAGGTTACTGCTGTCTTTTTGTTTGTCTGTGCCCTGCCCCCAGAGGTGGAGTCTACAGAGGCAGGCAGGCCTCCTTGAGCTGTGGTGGGCTCCACCCAGTTCGAGCTTCCCGGCTGCTTTGTTTACCTAAGCAAGCCTGGGCAATGGTGGGCGCCCCTCCCCTAGCCTCGCTGCCACCTTGCAGTTTGATCTCAGACTGCTGTGCTAGCAATCAGTGAGACTCCGTGGTCGTAGGACCCTCTGAGCCATGTGCAGGATATAATCTCCTGGTGCGCCGTTTTTTAAGCCCGTTGGAAAAGCGCAGTATTTGAGTGGGAGTGACCTGATTTTCCAGGTGCCATCTGTCACCCCTTTCTTTGATTAGGAAAGGGAACTCCCTGACCCCTTGCGCTTCCCGAGTGAGGCAATGCCTCATCCTGCTTCGGCTCGCGCACGGTGCGCTGCACCCACTGACCTGCGCCCACTGTCTGGCACTCCTAGTGAGATGAACCCAGTACCTCAGATGGAAATGCAGAAATCACCCGTCTTCTGTGTCGCTCCCGCTGGGAGCTGTAGACCGGAGCTGTTCCTATTCGGCCATCTTGGCTCCTCCCCCCAGCATAATGTTTTTTTTAGGATTCATCCATGTTGTAGCATGTATCAGTACTTTATTCCTTTTCATGGCAAGGTAATATTCCATTGTGGGTATACCACATTTTATTTATCTGTTCATCAATTGATGACATTTAGGTTGTTTCTGCCTTTTGACCATTACAAATAATGCTGCTATGAACATTTGTATACATATTTTTGTGTGGGTATGTTTTCATTTCTCTGGAGTATATACCTGGGTGTGGAATTACTGGATGATGTTTCACCTTTGAGGAACTTGCAGACTTTTGATTAGTGATATACGGAAGCTGCTAAAATGTTAACATGTTGTAAGCATGGCTGTTAGTGATGACCATATTTCCTATTTTTTAATCTTCCAGCCTAGAACATTCCATATTCTGCTTCACACACGGTGACTCACTCACTACTGCTTTGTACCAGTGTGCCCACTCGAGTGCCTGTAAAGTACAAGCTCCAGATCAAAAAAGCTTCTAGATGGATCCTTTCCAAACTTGGTGTCTTTTCTACAAACTCTGTGCCTCAACAACCATTTCTAAGTGGTAAGGACATGTATATTTCCTCTTTTCTAGGCCTTCTTTCCTTTTTTATATATGAGTTAATACCTGCACTTTTTGCTGATTTTTCTAAATCAAATCTAAAAGTGGCAAAAACATCAGATTTTTCAAGACCTCAAAACATTTTTTACATATTACATTCTGTGCACAGAACATGCATGTTTATGAAGAATATAAACACATGTGAACAACTATGCCTGTGCACTTTATGTGCCTTATTTGTACTCTATAGTCCCTTATTGTAAGGCTGAGATAGTTTATCTTGTTACTGTCTTACCTATTTAGGGATTTTCAGCCCATTTGTTGAAGAATATCCTCCTACTTCCTGGCAATTGTAAATTATGTATACATTCATGGAAATGATAAGAGAGGTGTGCAATGCCAGCTCTTCTTTTTATAGCATAGCACTATGTGTGCCTTTTCATATTCTGACTTTTTTTTGGAAGCATAGATGTCAGTTAGCCAACAAGTTTTCTAGGCAACTCTGATATTTACTCAGAACACATAGGGGTAGTGAGGGAAGAGTAAAATTGAGCAGAAATGGGAGACCTTTAAAAGAAAATGATTAAAATAGGTTCATTTTGAGCCAGTCGACCAATGCCTACTGTTTAAGAATGAAAATATATAATGACATTTAGCATAATAGAGAAGTAAGTTACCAAATGGAAAATGTGGTATTAGATAAAGATGAAAGGCAGATAGAGTGAAAATTGGGGTACATTTTAGCTCTAGTTCTAATCATTAATTGCATAGTTTTCTAGAATGCCAGTTAATTAGCCTTGGTAGACGCAGTTTTCTCGTCTGAAATGGGTGAATTAGACTAAATGATTGGTAAGGATTTTTGGTGGTTTCATAATCCCAACACTTTATGAACTATAATGAACAAATTGATAGATTTTTGGTTTTTTTTGAGGCTATGTTTTCTTCCCTAACCTATCTGATAGAGATACTTTAGATCTATTTTTGTTGAATTGTGGGGCAAGAATAAGATCTCCACTGTCAGAACATTTTTCAGTTAATCTTTCTGTTTTGAAGTTGGTGTCTTTCTTTTATTCTCTTTCTTTCCACATTCTTATCCTTCTCTCCTACTGACCTTGAGGACTTTCCTTCATTTCACTCAGACCGTCTCTTTCTGTCCACTCCAATATCATATTAGTGGCTCTCATTATGCTTCCTTAACGTGTCTAGCATCCATTATTTTCATGTTAGCAATTTTCCAGGGTCACTACATCTTAGATCAGTGATTCTAATTCTGGGACCCTTTATAAAAACACAGATACCTAGGGCTGGGTGCGGTGGCTCATGCCTGTAATCCCAGCACTTTGGGAAGCCGAGGCGGGCAGATCACGAGGTCAGGAGATCGAAACCATCCTGGCTAACACGGTGAAACCCAGTCTCTACTAAAAATACAAAAAATTAGCCAGGCGTGGTGGCGGGCGCTGTAGTTCCAGCTACTCGGGAGGCTGAGGCAGGAGAATGGCGTGAACCCAGGAGGCGGAGCTTACAGTGAGCCGAGATCGCGCCACCGCATCCAGCCTGGGAGACAGAGTGAGACTCCATCTCAAAAAAAAAAACAAAAAACAAAAAAAAAAACACACGATACCTTTTGAAGCTAAGTGTGATGGCTCATGCCTGTATTCCCAGTGCTTTGGGAGGCCCAGGTGGGAGGATGACCTGAGGCCAAGAGTTTGAGACCAGCCTGGGCAACACAGCAAGACCCCATCTCTACAGAAAATTTAAAAATCAACCAAGTGTGATAGTTGCACACCTTTAGTCCCAGATACTTGGGAGGGTAAGGTGGGAGGATTACTTGAGCCCAAGAGGTTGAGGTTGCAGTGAGCTATGATTGCGCCACTGCATTCCAGCCAGGGTGAATGGATTGTTTATAATCTTTTGCTAATATAAATGGTATAATATAAATGCATAACCTTGCGGATATATACATCTTTTTATATCTTGCCACTGTGTTTGGGACAGGTTCTTAGAAGTGGAATTGCAGGGCCCAAGGGTAAATGAGTACGCAGTGTTTGTTTGTTTGTTTAAGATAGTCTCACTGTCACCCAGGCTGGAGTGCAGTGGCATGATCTCGGCTCACTGCAACTTCCACCTCCCAGGTTCAAGCAATTCTTGTGCCTCAGCCACCCGAGTAGCTGGGATGACAGGTGTGTGCTACCATGCCTGGCTAATTTTATTTTTATTTATTTATTTATTTATTTATTTTTTTGAGACGGAGTCTCGCTCTTGTTGTCCAGGCTGGAGTGCAGTGGCTCAATCTCGGCTTACTGCAACCTCCGCCTCCTGGGTTCAAGCGATTCTCCTGCCTCAGCCTCCTGAGTAGCTGGGATTACAGGTGCCTACCACCCTGTCTCTTAAAAAGAAATACAGGCCAGGTGTGGTGGCTCACACCTGTAATCCCAGCACTTTGGGAGGCCGAGGCAGGCTGATCACGAGGTCAGAAGATCGAGATCATCCTGGCTAACACAGTGAAACCCCCTCTCTACTAAAAATGCAAAAAATTAGCCGGGTGTGGTGGCACGTGCCTATAGTCCGAGCTACTGGGGAGGCTGAGGCAGGAGAATCAATTGAACCCAGGAGGCGGAGGTTGTAGTGAGCCAAGATTGCACCACTGCACTCCAGCCTGGGAGACAGAGCAAGACTCCATCTCAAAAAAAAAAAAGAAAAAGAAATACAGATACTTTTTGAAACAAATTTGGGAGAAGGGTGTGATTCTTTGGCAGGTAGCTAAAGTCAGCATTAGTTCACCAGAACTGGAGCCTCAAAGTTCTCTTACTTCTCACTTCAATCACTTCTTGCCTTAGACCTCATTATTACCTGGAACAGTTTCTTTTCTAAGGTCTTGGAAAGAGGATCTTCTTTTTATTTCAGGATTTTTTTTTTCTAGTGTCTGTAAAATAAACTTTTTGTCTTATTTATTTAAAGTTTTTATTATGGAAAATGAGAAACATATGCAGAAGTAAACAGACTGGTGTAACCAATTGCTTTGTATTCAGACTCAGATTCAGTAATTATCAAGTCATGCCCAAATTGTTTAGCTATTCCCCACCAACTTTTCTCTCACTCCTGTGTTATTTTAAAGCAAATTCTAGACATCATGTATCTTATTTATAAGTATTTCAGGATGTATCCTTAAGACCTTTTAAAAAAGTAATGATAAAATTGCTATGAACACTCTTGTACATATCTTTGGGCAGATCTGTGTACTTTTTTTCCTTGGGTATATACTCAGAAATAGAATTTGCACTTCTGCACATTCATATTATAAAAAAATCATGATGCAAATAAAAATAATTAAAAAATGAAAAAGAATTTGCAATATTGTTTTGGACTTAGCACATTCTCTTAGCAATGTTTAGTCAAATTACTATATATATTATTATCTATTACTGTGTAACAAACTACCCTGAAACTTAGTGGCTTAACACAGTGACATTATTGTCTCATGGTTGCTGTGAGTCAGTTTCTTTGGGGTGCAGCTTAGCTGGGTGCTTTTGGCTCAGAGTCTCTCATAAAGCAGCAATCCAAGTATCTTCTGGGGCTGCAATCATCCCACAACTCAAGTAAAAGAGGCACAAAGGAACAGCCTTCTGGGGGTGCTTTCAAGCTCACTCATGTGATTATTAACAGGTCTCAGGTTCTTTCTGGCTGTTGGCCAGAGGCCAATTCCTTGACCCTTCCATAGGGCAGCTAACAACATGGGCAGCTGGTTGTTAGTTCAGAGCAAGGGAGAGAGGGCATCCAAGATGGAAACCAAGCTCTTTCTGTAACTTATTCTTAGAGTGGGAGCCCATCACACTTGCTGCATCCTTTTAAAAAAATTATTGTGCTAAAGTGTGCATAATGTAAACTTAACATTTTAACTATTTTAAGTGTACAATTCAGTGGCATTACATACATTCACATTGTTGTGCAATTATCACTATCATGCATCTCCAGAACTTTCTCATCTTTACAAAATGAAACTCTATACCCATTAAATAACTCCCCATCGTCTTCTTTGCCCAGCCCCTGACAACCACCATTCTACTTTCCCAAGAGTTTGACCCCTCTAGGTACCTCATAAGTGGAATCATGCAGTTACAGTATTTATCCTTTTGTGACTGGCTTTTTTCACCCAGGATAATGTCTTCAAGGTCATTCATGTTATAGTACGTGTTAGAATTTCATTCTTTTTTAAGGCTGAATAATATTCCATTGTATTTACATACCACATTTTATCCATCCATCAACTGATATTTGAGTTCTTTGCACATTTTGGCTGTTGTGAATAATGATGCTAGGAACAAGGTATTCAGCTGAATTCTATTCCTAGAATCAAGTCTTTCAATTCAGTCTACACTAAAAGGGAGGTGAGGCCAGGCGCAGTGGCTCATGCCTATAATTCCAGCAGTTTGGGAGATTGAGGCAGGTCACCTGAGGTCAGAAGTTTGAGACCAGCCTGTCCAACATGGTGAAACCCTGTCTCTACTAAAAATACAAAAATTAGCCAGGAGTGGTGGCGTGTGCCTGTAGTTCCAGCTACTCAGGAGGCTGAGGCAGGAGAATCGCTTGAACCCAGGAGGTAGAGGTTGCAGTAAACTGAGGTCACACCACTGCTTTCCAGCCTGGGCGACAGAGTGACACTCTGTGTCAAAAAAAAAAGGAGGTGAATAGTGAATACTTAAGGGTGTGAATACCAGGAAGTATGGTCATAGGGGCTGCTCTCAGAAATACTATACTGTTTAAGTTAGTCTTAATAATTGTTCTCTGTATAGTTATGCCACCAACTGGATATACAATTAAGTTCATTATCTTTCATATTTAATAACTGTTCTAAAATGTAACTTTGTTTTATAATCATGTATAATAGTTTTATGGTTCCAAAGTCAAATTCTGTTTTCTTCTCCGTATAAGTACTCATATTCTAGAAACTTTGTTTTTTTTTTTTTAAGAAAAATATAAGCAAGCTATATATTCATATGTCTCCTTATATAAATGATAGGATACCATATACTTTGTTTTTTGTTTTTTTTTTTTACTTGTTATATTCTGGGGATCACTCCTTAGTGGTGTATTACTGATTTCTTTTTATAGCTATATAATAACCCATTGGGTGAATGTGCCATAGTTTATTTAACCAGTTCCCAATTGATGGGGACTTGGATTGTTTATAATCTTTTGCTATATATATATAGCAAGATATATACCAATATATATAATGGTATATTATAGTGGTATAATATACCATTATAAATGGTATAATATAAATGCATAACCTTGCGGATATATAAATCTTTTTATATCTTTCCACTGTGTTTGGGGCAGGTTCTTAGAAGTGGAATTGCAGGGCCAAAGGGTAAATGAGAATGCAGTGTTTATTTGTTTGTTTTAAGACAGTCTCACCGTCACCCAGGCTGGAGTGCAGTGGCATGATCTCGGCTCACTGCAACTTCCACCTCCTGGGTTCAAGCAATTCTTGTGCCTCAGCCACCCGAGTAGCTGGGATGACAGGTGTGCGCTACCATGCCTGGCTAATTTTTTTTTTTTTTTTTTTTTTGAGACGGAGTCTCGCTCTTGTTGCCCAGGCTGGAGTGCAGTGGCTCAATCTCGGCTTACTGCAACCTCCGTCTCCTGGGTTCAAGCGATTCTCCTGCCTCAGCCTCCTGAGTAGCTGGGATTACAGGTGCCTGCCACCATGCCCAGCTAATTTTTGTACTTTTAGTAGAGACGGGGTTTTGCCTTGTTGGCCAGGCTGGTCTGGAACTCCTGATCTCAGGTGATCCGCCTGCCTCAGCCTCCCAAAGTGCTGGGATTAAAGGCCTGAGCCACTGCACCCAGCCTGTTTTTTGTATTTTTTAGTAGAGACAGGGTTTTGCCGTGTTGGCCAGTCTGGTCTGGAACTCCTAGCCTCAGGGATCTCCCTGCCTTGGCCTCCCAATGTGCTGGGATTACAGACGTGAGTCACCATGCCCAGCCTTGTGGTGTTGTTGTTGTTGTTTTTTAAAAGCTTGGGTATTGCTAGATTTATCCTCATAAGAAGTTATACCTCTTTGTGTTCCCATCAGTAATGTATGAGAGTGCCTTTTTTTCATACATAACCTTGCCAGCAGAATATGTTGTCAAATTTTGAGGGTTTTGTCAGATGGAATCTCATTGTAGTGTTAATTTCCCCTTTGTGAGTGATATTGAATATCTTTTTATATGGCTAAGAGGCATTTGCATTTCTTTTTCTTTTTCCAACTGTCCATTTCTTTAGCCCCCTTTTCTGTTTGTTGGTGTTTTTTATTTTATAAGCTCTTTACACATTAGAAATACCAATCTCTTGTCTTTGTTTTCTTTTTCCTGTTAAACAGAGGTATTCTCTGTTCTGCTTTCAACTGGCTTCATTTTTTCCTCATTCTTTTTCATTAATGTTACATTTATTCTTTTGGATAAGTGATTGTTCCACATTTAGTGTCTCCACTTGTACACGTCAGACCTATTTCATTATTTTTTCAAGTTCAACATGCTTTAGATAGAATGTGACTTTATCCACAAACCTGTGTTCCCTTTATCAGGTAATGGTATTGCCATTTTCCCAGATGAGAAATTGAAGTGACCTTTTTGACTTTATTTATTATTTATTCATTATTTATTCAACAAGTATTTGTTGAGTACCTATCGGGTTTCAAGTACAGGCTAGGCACTAGTGGCAAATAGTATAATCCTAGCTCTCAGGGAATGGTCTAAGAGGGGAGTAGGTGTTCCACAAATACACAAACTATGTCTAAATATGTGGTTAAGAATTCTAAGAGAGAATGTAAAAGTGGGGACACATTATTACATTGGAGAGGTTGTGAGTTGCCTCTTTGAGAAAATGACACTTAAGCTAAGATTTGAAGGATGTTTAGGATTAGCTTGGTGGAAAAAAGTCAGTGTGGCAGCTTCCAGACATAGGAAACAGTGTGTAAAAGGATCCTGAGGCAGAAACGAAGTTGGACTTCTAGGAAATGAAAAGACCAGTTTAGCTGGCATGCAGGGAGAAGGGATTGAGGGGCCTGAGATATCATCTGATTGCTTTGTAAAGAGATCACTCTGGCTGTGGCAGGGGTAATCCATTGGAGGGGGTCACGTAGAAGTCAGTCAGGAGCTGGTTAGCAGACTGTTGTAGTAATTGTGAAAGGTGATGGTGCCTATTTGTTCAGTTATAAAATTCTTTCAGTTCTAATTCAGGATTTTGTTCATTCCCTCTCTTGACTACTGGGATAGATTTTTAAAAATTGGTCCCATACTGTCTTAGTCCCTATTCCCCATCTAGTCTGCTTCAGAAGACAACTTTTAGAGTCAACAGTCTGTTCATATCACTTCCTTTCTCAAAAACTTACGGTGGTTCTATGATTGTGGAAGAATGAGATCCCATCTGGTATTGAAGCTTTTATCATTTTCTTTAGGTTTCAAGATCTGCTCTCCTGAGACAACTTTCTTTGGGCAGCCAAGATGGGTACTTTTCTGCCTCTTTTCTTAGCTCATCTCCGATCTTCCATCATGACATCTGTACCTCTCTTCTCCACCAACCCCCACTATTCTCTGATCCTTCTTAGATCCCAAGATTAATTTTTTTTAACTCAACATATACTCAGTTTTCTTTTGCTGTGTCAATTCTAAGATTTATCATAGTTTATGTTGAGAAATATTCATGTATTTATTTGGAGTACAAAGAAATTATGTATTTTTTCTTTTCTTTCTTTTTCTTTTTTTTTTTTTTTTGAGACGGAGTCTTGCTCTGTCGCCCAGGCTGGAGTGCAGTGGCCCGATCTCCTCTCACTGTAAGCTCCGCCTCCCGGATTCACACCATTCTGCTTCAGCCTCTACGAGTAGCTGGGACTGCAGGAGCCCACCACCATGCCCGGCTAATTTTTTGTATTTTTAGTAGAGACGGGGTTTCACCATGGTCTCGATCTCCTGACCTCGTAATCCGCCTGCCTCGGCCTCCCAAAGTGCTGGGATTACAAGCGTGAGCCACCGCGCCCAGCATTTTTTTTTTTTTTTTTTTTTTTTTTTTTTTTTTTTTTGAGACAGAGTCTCACCCTGTCACCCAGGCTGGAGTATAGTGGCACATTCTCGACTCACTGCAACCTCCGCCTCTAGGGTTCAAGCGATTCTCTTGCCTCAGCCTCCTGAGTAGCTGGGATTACAGACATGCACCACCATGCTTGGCTAGTTTTTGTATTTTTAGCAGAGACAGGGTTTCACCATGTTGGCCAGGCTGGTCTCGAACTCCTGACCTCAGGTGATCCGCCCGCCTCAGCCTCCCAAAGTGCTGGGATTACAGGCATGAGCCACCATACCTGGCCTATTTTTTATTTTTAAAACTGATAGGAACCCAGTAGATATACGTTGAATTGTATGAGATTAGGGAGCATTCCATGTGGTGGATCAGTCATTCAAATTTCTTATAAAAGAAGGAAGTCTCAAGTATAATTTTATAAAATTTTGAATAGAACTTTTGGGAGTAACCTCATTTAGAAACAGAAGAATGTTACTTGCTGTTTGAAGCAGCTTTTATAGTTCAGTGCACATCAAATAATGCTTATATTCTGTATATTGGGTTGACAAAAATATGTTTATAAGACAGTATGACGATATTAGAGTTCTTATGACTTACTGGGGGTAATGGCATATTCAGGGCATTAAATATTTGATCGCCAGGTAGCAGAAAATGGTCAATAAAATAATGAATGTGTAGGTATTTGAATGCACCTCTGCTTTTATCTGAGATACCTTTGGACTCATTGTCCGCTTAGCTGACTTCTTAGCGTGTATCTTTCTAGAGTAAATGTAATAGTCTGTCTATTGACAAGGATTAGTTTACTTGATTCTCATACTTGATTTTGTTAATAGATCAGCGCCAGCCAGCATGTTTCTTTTGTAAAGGGAAGGGTACTAATATTATTTACTGCCTACAACTTGCAAAATGATTTCATATACTCTCTTTTTAAAAATCCTTACAGGTTTCCTTCTGTCTCTCTCTTATTCAATTTTTCCTTCACTCCCTTCTTTTTCCTCTCCTTTTCTTCCTATAAATGAGGTTAAGTGATTTTGTGTGGGTAACTGTGGCTTAGTATTGTGTAACTATACTGCATACATTGTGTTGCCTTCTCATATGAAATCATTTCTCTGAAATTACATTGGAAATGGGGTTTTTACAGATTTGTTGTGGATATGACTTTACAGATATTAATCTAACTTTTAGTTTCTTTGGATCACCTCTTGAATTAAATAGTTGTTTTTGTCTCCTAATACATATTGATGCAATAAAAGAGTTGGGCGATGATAATAATTTTGGTCCTATACTGAATTTTTGTTATCTGAAATATAGTAGAAACTAAACCTTTTAAACCCATTTAAAAGTCAATTTTCTAAAGTCACATTTAACAGTTTTGGTGTTTCAATAATATTAACTAATGAAAACTATTTTGGTTGTATTATTTTAAGGTAGAAGTATCTTAATGGAATTTTTAAATGAGCTTGCCTAAGATTAAATAAGCACCTTGAGTCTAGTTTCTGCAATGTGATTTTAAGTTTTTTTTAAAAATTACTTTGAAACAGTAACTAGGGCAAGTACTTACAGGTAAGAGTGAAATTATTTGGTACAGTAAGCTTCAATTATAATGCATTTAGTTTGGAGTGATGAAAGTTTTTTTTTTTTTTTAATTTAATTTTTTTGAGTCAGGGTCTTGCTTTGTCACCCAGGCTGAAGTGCAGTGGTGCAATCATAGCTCACTGCAGCCTTGACCTCCTGGGCTCAAGCGATCCTCCCACCTCAGCCTCCCAAGTAGCTGGGACTACAAACACACACCACCATGCCTGGCTAGGATTTTGATTTTTTTTAGAGATGGGGTCTTACTATGTTGCCCAGGCTGGTCTTGAACTCCTGGGCTCAAGTGATCCTCCCACCTCAGCCTCCCCAAGTACTGGGATTACAGGCGTGACCACTGTGTCTAGCTGAAAGTTACTATTTTTAAAACTGAGAATCTATAAAAGCAAAAATATTCATTGTAGCTCATGGTTTGACAGGTTTATGAAAGGCTTAAAATGTAAAATTGTCATAAGTAAAATACTGCATTTCACGTAGGATTTATGTAACTAGTAGTGATGGTGAAAAAAACCTGATGAGGTGGGAGAAATGACCCAGTGTCTCACTTTGCCCTCCCGGTGTCTTATTTCCCCTCTCATTTTAAGTTCTACGTGAGTATTACAGCTTCAAATATAATCATGGCATTAATTCAGAAGCCTGATATATTAAAAAAAAATCTTTTGTTTTTCTGTAATAACTGCATTTGTACCGTATTAGAACTTTCTACCACAATCTCCTTCTGAGACAGTATAGAGCTAGCTGGGTGAGTCACACCACACCACAAATTCCTTAAGGTGGTAGGTGGTGTCTTATTCATCATTCGTGTCTCTCACTGCCTAGTGCAGTGCTCGATAGGCAGTCGGACTCTGTTCCTTTATTATACTATACCTGGTGTTAGGTTTTTAGAGCACTTAAATTTTTTTTGTCTTTTTGCTTTACTCTAATAAATATTCTAGTTAACATTAATATCTAGCTTAATATGATTTAAATGTATGTTAAAATTCTTAAGAGTAGTAGCAAATCTAGATTGGGAACTGGATCTGTAGACAATATTCAAAAGATACAATTCAGATGACCCTGAACACCAGTAAACTGATCCAGGGGCCAAATATTCTCTCAAAATAGAGGAGGAAAAAGGAAAAGAGGCATGTAGGGACCCAGAAGAAGAAGGGCGATTTATGTGGAGTGGAGGGAATTTTCATGTTAAACCACAGGTAGGGCTTGTTTACTTTGTCACATTTTCCCTGTAATAGAGAAACTGCTGAGCCAGAATTGTGCAACTGATTGAATTAGCACCTTGTTTAAATTGTTAGCATCCATCTTTGAGAAGCATGTATTTTAGATTAAAGATTTAAAAATCTTGGCTGAAACAAAGGACAATCTCTTTCCTTTATGAAGTTGTTCATTGAACTTTAAATAGTAAGATATTAACAGATGAGGATTGAATTTAGTCTTCAAATAAGCATCTCTGTGATTTGTTGGTCACAGTATGATCTCTTTCCCATCCCCCACTATTTTTTACTTTTGATAGGGCAAACTCTTATGTTTTCATGAAATATTTAAAGCAAATGATGTGTTAATTATGTTTAGTTATCCTTTTTGAGAGTTCTCTAGCTTTTTCTGTTCTGAGGTTCAGAATCAATATAAGGACATATTGAAATCATAATTGCATTTTATCTTCCAAACAGCCATTGAAAATAATTGCATTTTAATTTGAGAATTTTATCTCAACTCCATATAACAGCTTATACTTTAAAATATAATCCAGAGGTACAGTACTTTTCAGTTCATTTATTAGCTTTGTCAGTTTCCACATTTGTAAAGTTGAACATTTACTGAAATTATGGGCTGGTTTGGGTTAAAATGAAGTAACATATGTGAAGCATCTTAGATGGTCACACATAGTAGGCTCTCGGTAATTAGTCGTTGCTGCTGTTGTTATGGGTATTTAATTAACTTGGATTTCTAGGGCACCATTTGTTAGAGTGCAGTGAACCAATTCTGAATTCTACCCTCCTATATTTGTTACTTGTTTAGACTGACTTAACCACTGTGGAGAATAAAGCCTATTTGTGGGGGTTGGGGTGGGGGTGGTGCCTACTGACTCTTATATGCATGTTTTTTCAGAGTTACAGGATGTGTACTGGAATGTGAAGGATTAAGCTTTGTGGTGGCATGTTCTATATGGTCATCCATAGTGACCAAACTAATTTGGAATGTTGTTTTGTTACTAACTTGGAAATGTGTTATTTTCTCTACAGAGGATGTTGATCTGAATAAACTGCTTATTATGCTTTATACATTTCTAGAGCGAGAGGAACTGTCAATCAGTGTAAATCTCACCCAGCACAGTATTTTCTTTCACAAACATGGGGAGGAGGCAATACCAAGATAACCACTTTTGGGACAGAGCCAGGAGCTGTTGTGTAACTCAGAGGGTGTGTGATAGCATCCAGCTTTGGAGCCCATCACGTCACATTGAGAAATTGTGGCAGGGAGGCTTACAGGAAAAACATCTTGTTTATTAACACCTGAATATGTTACTTATGTAGCTTTTTAAAAGTCATCAGTTAGCTAGCTTCTCAAAGAGAGGCAAGAACCCATTCGCGTAGTTACAGATTGTGGCTATAGTAAGTCTTCTGGTAACAGGAGCTGTGAGCACCACTTCTTCAGTGAAGTCTTTCCTGTTCCCTTCTCCACTCAGGTTGATGACTGTCTCCTTTGTACCTGGTTGCAGCTTGAACATATTTAGGTAACTTCTCTCAAAGCACTTGAAACATGCTACTGCCCATGTCTCCTTTCCAGCTTGTCTGTAAACTCCTTGATGGTAGCAGCTGTGTGTGTAAGTGCCACTGAGTATAGATTCCTGGAGCTTAGGTTGATCCCCAGTAAATGTTAAATGCAGGTCTCCCTGTGCCTGTGGAAATGCCTCAACATCAATTGGTTCAATTGTATCCTTCAACTTGATCACTAACAGGTCTTTAATGAAAAGTCTCCAGAGATGCTATTCCCATTCTGTACTATCCTCATCATTACCATTCTTATTTCTTCTTTGCCAATGCAAATTCTCTATTTCATTTTTTTCTTTAAGTACTTCTCTATGAAGCTTTTTAAAAGTATGCTTCATTTTAGGGCCAGACATGGTGGCTCATGCGAGGCCCATGCGGGTGGATCACCTGAGGTCAGGAGTTTAAGACCAGCGTGACCAGCATAGTGAAACCCCATCTCTACTAAAAATACAAAATTAGTCGGGTGTGGTGGCGTGCACCTGTAATCCCAGCTACTCAGGAGACTGAGGCAGGAGAATTGCTTGAACCCAGGAGGCAGAGGTTGCAGTAAGCTGAGACACCGCAGCCTGGGGGACAGAGTGAGACTCCATCCCAAAAAATAAAAATAGAAGTATGCTTCATTTTAGTTAGTTTATAATCAACATTGAGAAATCCAAGAAAGGTGAGAAATGTAAACTAGAGCTGGAGATTTAAAATTGGCACCTGTAAAAATACATTATTTTTTGAAGTAAAAAAAGTTTGTAAACATTTCCCTTGTTTACAAATCTGAAATTATATTAATTTTGGTAAAATTCTAGATTTTTTCCAAATAAGTCAAAACCTCAAAAGAATGGAAATTTTAGGTAAAATTTAGGTAAAAATGGAAAGAAAGTAAGAGTCATAATTTTCAGGCTGTTATAAGAAATGTCTTTTACTGTATCATATGGTATTTTATAGTATATAAAAATATAGGAATTGACCTTATTATCCTTAGTGTACAAGGTTTTATTGTGGTTTAAAATTCCAAGTCTTCGATGTAGCTTCCTTTATTCTTCTTCTTCAGTTACACCATAATAGTTTATTGAAATTTGATGCATATAGGAAAAAACCTTGTAATTGACTTTTTTTGGAGAAAAATTATTCATTTTAAGACAAAAGCAGAGATTGTTTGAGCCAAAACCTGATGGATTTAAGAGTGCTGTTGATCATGGTTGACTTGTGAAAGTGATAGATAGATAGATAGATAGATAGATAGATAGATAGATAGATAGATAGATCTCTTATCGTTATTTTTCTTTTATACTGGGCTTATGTTTTTTTTTTCTTATTTTCTTGCTTAATAATAGTATCATTAAGCAGGCAGGAGAAAAATAATACCATTGAAACTAAAAGTTAGTAATTTAATTTGATTATGTATATATATATTTTATTATACTTTAAGTTCCGGGATACAAGTGCAGAACGTGTAGGTTTGTTGTATAGGTATACGTGTGCCATAATGGTGTCCTGCACCTATCCCCCCATCATTTAGGTTTTAAGCCCCACATGCATTAGCTATTTGTCCTAGTGTTCTCCCTCTCCTTGCCCCCCACCTGCTGACTGGCCCCAGTGTGTGATGTTCCCCTTCCAGTGTCCACGTGTTCTCGTTGTTTAACTCCCACTTATGAGTGAGAACATGCGGTATTTGGTTTTCTGTTCTTGTGTTAGTTTGTTGAGGATGATGGCTTCTAGCTTCATCCATGTCCCCACAAAAGACGTGAACTCATTCTTTTTTATGGCTGCACGGTATTCCATGGTGTATATGTACTACATTTTCTTTATCCAGTCTATCATTGATGGGCATTTGGGTTGGTTCCATGTCTTTGCTATTGTAAATAGTGCTGCAGTAAACATATGTGTGCATGTGTCTTTATGGTAGAATGATTTATATTCCTTAGGGTACATACCCAGTAATGGGATTGCTGGATCAAATGGTATTTCTGGTTCTAGATCCTTGAGGAATCGCCACCCTGTCTTCCACAATGGTTGAACTAATTTACCCTCCCACCGACAGTGTAAAAGCATTCCTATTTCTCCACAGCCTCACCAGCATCTATTGTTTCTTGACTTTTTGATCATCGCCATTGTGACTGGCGTGAGATGGTATTTCATTGTGGTTTTGATTTGCATTTCTCTAATGATCAGTGATGTTGAGCTGTTTTTCATATATTTGTTGGCTGCATAAATGTCTTCCTTTGTGAAGTGTCTATTTATATCCTTTGCCCACTTTTTGATGGGGTTGTTTTTTTCTTGTAAATTTGTTTAAGTTCCTTGTAGATTCTGGATATTAGACCTTTGTCAGATGGGTAGCTTGCAAAAACGTTTTGCCATTCTGTAGGTTGCCTGTTCACTCTGATGGTAGTTTCTTTTGATGTAGAGAAGCTCTTTAGTTTGATTAGATCCCATTTGTCAATTTTTGCTTTTGTTGCAATTGCTTTTGGCATTTTAATCATGAAGTCTTTGCTCATGCCTATATCATAATTTTGCAGTTTATTATATTTATGGACAAAGTAACAAGAATAGTATTTGTTCTGTGGCATTTGTTTTATGTATTTTGTCATACATTGTACCCACATACAAATATATATATATATATTTACAGTAAATATATGTTAACATCTTAATGCTTATGAATTTTCAAATGATACATAGTAGCATTGATTTTTACCTGTAATCATACGTGGAAAACTTACCTTTAAATGACGGAGACCTTTACATATATGCGTAGTTTGCACATTATCAGTTGAAGCTAGTACATCTTTATTTAGTACTCTATTTTTCCGAACACCACTTTTCTAGTTTCTGTGGGAGATGTAATGATGTATGTACCCTTTAGAGGATCACAGTCTCAGAGCAACTCTTACAGCACCACAGAGCTCTAGAACAGGAAGAAACTCTGGAGGTTATCTTCTCTTAGGGGTATGTTTAAACAGTAGTTCACTGATTCTTACGCATTTTCTCCTTTGCTCAGTAAGCAGGAGATGTGGGCCAATTTTTTGTTTGTTTGTTTGTTTGTTTGTTTGAAACAGGGTCTCACTCTGTTGCCCAGGCTAGAGTGCAGGGGCACAGTCACTGCTCACTGCAGCCTCTACCTACCAAGCTTAGGTGATCCTCTCACCTTAGCCTGGGACTACAGGCTAGTGCCACCATGCCCAGCTGACTTCTTTTACTTTTACTAGAGATGAGGTTTCACTATGTTGCCCAGGCTGGTCTCAGATTCCTGAGCTCAAGTGATCCCCCTGCGTTGGCCCCCCAAAGTGCTGAGATTACAGGAGTGAGCTATCATGTCCAGCCATGGGGCAGTTTTTTTGGGCCAGGGATTTACAAATTATGAAGTCAAGAAATAATTTTAGTGGGAAATGACTAGAATATAACACTTGTTTTTCCTGTAATTACGTTAGAGACTACCAAAGCATATTGCAGATTATTTCCAATATATCATATTATATTGTGTATATGTATACTGGGTTTTAAAAAATGTATTATAGGTTGGGCACAGTGGCTCACACCTATAATCCCAGCACTTTGGGAGGCCGAGGCAAGTGGATCACCTGAGGTCAGGAGTTCAAGACCAGCCTGGGCAACATGGTGAAACCCTGTCTCTCCTAAAAATACAAAACGTAGCTGGGCGCAGTGGCACATGCCTGTAATCCCAGCTACTCAGGTGGCTGAGCAGGAGAATTGCTTGAGCCCGGGAAGCAGAGGTTGTAGTGAATTGAGATTGCGCCATTCCATTGCAGCCTGGGCAACAGAGCAAGACTGCCTCAAAAAAAAAAAAAGTATTCTAAATTTTTAAATACTTTTTTAAATGTATTTTTTTATTGAAGTGAAAAGATTTTAGAAAACATATCTTTAATGTGTCTTCTCCTCCACCTCCCACCCCCCACTTGAAACCTGGAGAGCAGCCATTGTTCTTCATCCCGAGATATGCAGCTTAATCTCTTTGCTGTGCTCTCTTGCTGTCATGCCTGACACCAAAGTCAAGCATTTTCTACCCAGAAACCAGGTGATATTTCCCTGTGATAGTAAAAAATATGCAGTGAGATCATTTTTTCATTATGCTGGTCTTCCTTGCAGCCTTTGGGCAAAAATAAAACACTTTGGTGGCTCTGTTAATCTGTAGGTATTGCTTATGATGTGCCTAACTTGGTACCAAGATGCGATTTAGTCACCAAGAGAATTTGGATTATTTAATACTCGTACATAATAAAACTCCTCATCAAATATTCATGTGGGCACATACAGAGGCCTAATTGTATTCTTGTAATGCACAATATAAATACTAATATTGTTTTGGAGAATCAGCATGGTATGCTGAAGCCATGGTTTGGAAAAATGCATTGTAGTATGTTTTTATCTGTGGGAATTACTGGCAAATATAATTGAGAGATTCTAAATACTGTAGTTGTTTCCTTCACTTTTGAACTTGGCTTAAGTATTTTTGGTCTTTTTTTTTTTTTTAAATCGCTGAATTATTGTTTTGTTGTATCAACGGTTGAAGCTAAACCATGATTGTTATTTTAATATTTATGTCTTCTTTTAAAGATATAATTTAAAAACAATTTTCTCCCACTGAGAGGGATTAAAAAATAAACGGGGAGAATAGTAGAATAAATGCTCAGGTGCCCATTCCTCAGCTCAAACATTTATGAAACCATTGTTACCCACCCTCTTTCTGCAGGTCCCAATTATTTTTGAGTCATTTTCTTTGTCACAACATTTCACCTGTAAATACTTCAGTATGCATTTGTAAGAGACAAGGACTTCCGTTTTTAGATAGATAAAGAAGAATCTTAAAAACCTTTTTGAAGAATATACTGAATTATGATAATTAAATTTGTGTATGGGATGTTAGAGCGATATAAAGGAAAATGAGATAGCTTAAATGGAGTAAGTGGAAAAAAGAAATACCGACAAGCAATTGTACCAAGAAATAGTAGAAAAGGTGTGAAAAGGCCAATTAACAGCTTTTAAAGTACTCATGGAGAAAAGGAAGACATTTGCATTTTTTAACAGGCAGTATGTGTCTGCATTCCACATAGGTCAGTAGGGGAGTAAAGCCAAGTGTATTTCATACCATTTGAAATAGCAATTCTGTTTCAAGACTTTTTCTTAAGGGAGAAATCAAAGATGTGTACAAAGATTGCCAATCAAGGTATTCACTACAATATTACTTATAGAAATGAGGAATTGAACCTTTTTTTAAAGAGATCTTTTAGTCCGTTCTTTTATTTTTATAGATAATAGTACAGGTAGTTTCCATTTATTAAGTACTTGCCATATTTCAAGCATTTTGCTAACACCTTAACATGAATTATATGACATAAACCTCTAACAACAATAATAAATAAGCAATATTTATTACAACCTCCAACTTTCACATGAGAAACTAAGGCTTAGGCCGGGTGCAGTAGTGTACTCCCAGCACTTAGGGAGGCCAAGGCAGGCAGATCACCTGAGGTCAGGAATTCAAGAGCAGCCTGGCCAACATGGCAAAACTTTGGCTCTACTAAAAATACAAAAATTAGTCAGGTGTGGTGGCATGTGCCTGTAGCCCCAGCTACTCAGGAGGCTGAGGCAGGAGAATCACTTGAACTTGGGAGGTGGAGGTTGCCGTGAACTGAGATCATGCCACTGCACTCCAGCCTGGGCGGCAGAGTGAAACTCTGTCTCAAAAAAAAAAAAGATAGAAAGAAACTAAGGCTTGAGTTTAACTAACTTGTCCTAGATAACTCAGGAAATAATCATAAAGGAGAGTTCTAGACTTAACCTAATTCCAGAGCCTTTGTATCTAAACATTATACTGTACTACTTCCTGACCTAGTCAAAAAGGCGATTTAGGCCCATAGTAAGAAATGTGAAGAAGGGACTTTGCTCCAGGTCACAAGAAATAATGCAACAGTGAGGTTGAAAAATCCTAACTCAGGGCTAAATACAATCTGTTGCCTCCCTGCATGAATATGGCTAATAAAAATAATTGTTTCTTATTTCTTCTCTTTAGTATCCTATATTCAACATTTCCCCATCTACTATTTATGAAATTATAAGTTTCTAGTCTTTATTTTCTTCTCTGAGGAATAATTTTCTAAATTATAGTTGCTCAGCAACATTCATGAAATAGCACTGCAGTACTCATTTCCTGAGCCTAAAGGAATTGAACTTAATGCTCAATATTAGTGGAATGATTAAATGAAGATAATATATTTATAAAATAATGTTTTGTAACCACTAGATATTGTACAATATGATTCCGGTTGTATACAGTGTATACAGTGTTTAATTTATGTAGGAAGACCTGACAGAAATTAACCCAGATGGTAAAATGAATTCATAGTGGCTACCTCTAGGTGTTAGAATTATGAGGAATTTTTATTTCTTCATTACTTTTTTGGGAAATTGTTGCAAATGTTATCAGCATTTGTGGTATAAGTTAATAAATATTACCATTATTGAGTACTTACTGTGTGTCAAGCACTGTTTAAGCACTTTTCATCTTTTACACTTAGTTCTGAAAATAGCCCTAAGAGATTTTATTATCCTTATTGTATAGATGAGGAAACGGAGATTGAATACTGAGACAATTTGAGTGTATCCTTCTAGGTGTGTTCTTGGCTTCCAAATGTATTTTTTTTCACTTTGTAAAAATGTATGTGGAATATTATCGCAAAGTAGTCAATATATTTTTAAAAAAATTGATGGATGACATTTCATCTTAGGAATGTGCCATGATTTTTTTTCAACTGGTCCTTTTTGTTCTTTGCCTCTACTGCAATATTCTGCTCATAGGAATAATAGTACAATGAACGTCTTTGCAAATAAATTTGTGTGTGCATGTCTGATTATCTTTCTAGAATAAGCTCTTAGAAATGGAGTTACTGGGTCAAAGATCATAAACATTTTAGAGGCTTTTGGTACAAGTTGTGAGATTGCAGGTGACAAATGACCTTCTTTCCTTAAATTTAGAAAAGTTGTTTTGGGGCTATAAATTTGGGAGAAATGGGTCATCTAAATCATCTGTGGGAATTTGTGCTTTCATAGTTTCTGTTACAGAAGTCAGGCTTCTCTAAGCTTGCTGGAGGCAGTGAACACAGAGAAAAAGAGGAAAGACAAACTTTGGAGATTAAATTGTAGCTACTTACTTGCTTTATGACCTTGAGCAGCTATTTATTCATTTTTCTCTTCTAGTTAACATTTTTATTAACTTAGAAACCTTTTCATTGCAATTGTTTTATATAAACATGTAAAATATAGCTATCATCTATACACATTTTCTCTGATGTTTGATCTTATAGGACCTTAGGGTCATAATTAGATAGCATAAGTTCCATTGTATAATTAAAAAAACTATACATATAAAAGGTTAACACATTGATTACAGATGACCCTAGAAAGCATTTTAGATGTTGCATCTTTAAATTAAAAAGAATTTTTCTAAGGGGTCACATGTTCCCTTCCTCTGACAAGCAAGAACAGAAAATTTTGGATGAATTAATTGAAATTTTTGTTAAATAGTTAAAGATTTATTGTGTGTTTCTCGTGGGCGTATCATCTTCCAGAGACTTTGTAGGCAACTTCTGGAGACTTTAATTATAGGTTTGGGTGGTAGGGAGAAGAGCATTTTAACTTAAGGGAGTCCAGAGAATCATTAATGAAATCAGTAAAGAAAGTCTCCATATGAAGCCACTGAATACATTAGGGTTGGTTATTCTAGGAAAACCATGTTGATAATGGGTAATCTGATAGTCCAGAAATTCATGAGCAGTACAAATGGAATAAACAGAAAACATTCTATTGAGGGTTGAAGGCTGTAATTGGTTTAATGGAAAAAAAAGAAGTACTACTTTTTACTACGAATAGTAAAATTGTAAAACAATCTACTGGCCGGGCGCGGTGGCTCACGCCTGAAATCCCAGCACTTTGGGAGGCCGAGGCAGGCAGATCACGAGGTCAGGAGATCGAGATCATCCTGGCTAACACAGTGAAACCCCATCTCTACTAAAAATACAAAAAAAAAAAAAAATTAGCTGGGCACGGTGGCGGGCACCTGTAGTCCCAGCTAGTCGGGAGGCTGAGGCAGGAGAATGGCTTGAACCCGGGAGGCGGAGCTTGCAGTGAGCCGAGATTACGCCACTGCACTCCAGCCTGGATGACAAAGAGTGAGACTCCGTCTCAAAAAAAAAAAAAAAAAGAAAAAAAGAAATTAAAAAACCTACTATAAATGGTAGGCATAGAAAATAAGTATAAGGAGGATTTTTATCAGAGGCTCTTAATCCATAATTAATGGTTGGATTAGGAGGGCTCAACTCTTCAAAGTTATAGAAATGTGCTTTTTGGAAGATGACATCTCCACCTCTTTCAAATTTCTAAAGCAGTAACTCCAAAAGGCTTAAGCTCCCACTGGAATGTAAACTCCGCAAGGATAGGGATTTTTGTTTTATTCACTTTTTTTTCCCTCATACTGGCAGATAGTTCTGCTTAATAAATATTTGTCGAGTGTATGATTTCTGTAAACTTATGTGTGGTGTACTTATAGTAATAGATTTTTAGAAGTTAGGAGTGTATGTAGTAAATCCCAGATTGATGTCTTAACTGGGCTACTTCTGAATTTGTCCAAAAATTTTCTCTTGGTACTTAACTCTAGATGTAGAATGGAAAGATTTATATGATAAATTTGTAGTTGAATTCCATTTTTCTGTGCCAACATGAAAATGTAGTATGAAAATTATTCTAAAAATACATATTCATTCATCAGTGTATAAGAAAATGTACCACTGTGATGCTGTTTTCATTTGATTTAATGAATGAAACTGTTACAGAAAACTTCCTCTTAAAATTGTGAATGGAAAATTTGCTGCTTGTTTTCATTAGATCAAGTAATATGACAATAACTGCTGTTCTGGCTGAAAATGTAAAGTCAATAAAATGTTGACAAATTCACCTGCAGAGAACATTGCTTTATCAGCAAGAAATTTAGATTTTTGCAGTGAAGCCCAAATATTATGGCTGAGTATCATTACACAGCATTTTTAGCAGGTCATGTAATATAATCTGTAATTATATTAGTCAGTGTAGTATGTTTCCATACTTTTTAAAATTGAAATTTGGGAGAAGGTTAAAAAGAGGCTGGCCGCGGTAGCTCACACTGTAATCCCAGCACTTTGGGAGGCTGAGGTGGGTGGATCACTTGAGGTCAAAAGTTCAAGACTAGCCTGGCCAACATGGTGAAACCCCATCTCTACTAAAAATACAAAAAATTAGCCAGGCATGGTGGCACACGCCTGTAATCCTAACTACTTGGGAAGCTGAGGTAGGAGAATCACTTGAATATGGGAGGCAGAGGTTGCAGTGAGCCAACATCGTGCCACTGTACTCCAGCCTGGCAACAGAGTGAGACTCCATCTCAAAAAAAAAAAAAAAAAAAAAAATTGACTAAGAGAAGGTTAAATGCAAGTTCATTTTTAAAAAAATTTAAAAATTATAGCATTTGTCAAGAGAAAAAGTGAATTACTTAGCAATTGAAGAGTGATAAAACCACTGATAATTTTACAAATCATGAATTTTCTTTGGTAATTAAAGGGATGACCATAAATATTTTTTTAAAATGATTTTTACCAGTCAGATATAAACAATATTTGACTAATTGCTTGCTGCCTGCGCTTGATTATTTGTGAGCAAATTTTTCTTGTTTTACACCATCTTTGGCAGATTAAAGAAGTTACTGCATTTTGTTTTCTATAATTATTTTGGTATTACAGGAACTACAATCATTTTAAATTTATTTGAAAACGATTGCATCCTCACTCTAAAAGGCTGTCAGAACACTTGTGTCATTTTGGTTTTTGCATCATTTTAAGAGGCCTTGCAAGATTCCCAGAATTAATTTTAGTAGAATGGCAGGAATTGACCTTCATAGATTCCATATCTTAAAGTGCGGTTTCTAGCTTTAGTTGAAATATGAATTTCTAAGTCACCACACCCTCTAGTATTCAAGTATAATGTAAAATACATTTTGAAGTTAGATTTAGAGTTTTGAGCTTGGATCTTTGAGGTAATTTACCATAATCTTTTTACCTGGTGGCATAATCCCTTTTATAACATTCTGTAAGAATGTTAACATTCCTAACAACTGTTGCCTAAAGACTCACGGAGCAGGGACCCCAATCTTTTATGAAGCAGTCTTCGTATTACTTACATACTAATTAAGTCGTTTTTCCTTATGTTGAGCTCAAATTTACCATATGCCAGGCACCATAACTTCTCTGTTCAATTCGAATTGTGGAGTATTCCCGGCATACAGACAAGTATTGCGAATACTATATTGAACATCTCTGAAAGTCATTTACCCTTAATTTTTGCTCTATTTGCTTGGGATTGTTGTTTCCTGTGTTAATGTATATCAGAGACACATACATCAAATGTCTTCCTAAAATTAAGATAAATTTGTGGCATTTCTGTTATTATTCTAGAAATTCTGTTCAGAAAGGAAAGAGGTTCACGTGTTATTTGAACACCCATTCAGCTTTCTTTTGCTTTGTGTACTGAAGTGAAGCGAGGCTTTCCGCCCCCCTCCCCCCTCACCCCCCCCCCCCCCGACCTCATTTGCCCTGAGGCCCTCCCAAGCACCAGAGCTGGACCACTGTTCACTATTTATTACACATGGAAGCTTCCACATTATTACTCTGGCTGTAGGTGAAAAGTCTTGCCCTTCAAAGCTTGTGCTGTTGGGCTGTTCACAGTCTTCTCTTCAGTGTTGTCAAATACCAACTGATGTCCGTTTTTATTTGAACTTTTTTGTTTTAAATAAGAAAGAACAGCAATGGTTATTTGTATAGCATGACCATGTACAATTACCAAACCTCTCTGACCTTCACTGTCTCAAAATAATATTTTAAAAGTAGTAGTAAAAATTGCTCTCCTTTACAGATAAAATGTTCTCTGATCAAGTGGAATGAAAATAAAAATTAATCCCATGTTAAGTAATCCATATGGAGACAAGATGAAAAAGTGATTGTCCTGCAAGTAAACAGACGAAAAAGGTCCCAGAAAGACCCACCCCCACCAATCCAGCCCTGCTAAAAGTGATTATAACCTATAAAGAAAGCCAGTGAAGTATAAACTATGTATTTTCCAGGGTTACCAAAAGATGCATTTATTTTATCTTATCAAAAGCGAAAAGTCGAAAATAGCAAGGTTGTGTGTCTGCTGAAGAAGTGTTGCAAACTCTGGACAAATATTCAAATATTGAGAAGTCTTAAAGTGACATAGTGCCATGACAGTGTGATTACAAGAAGAATAAACACATACAACAAAAGCATGACATTAGCACTTGCTATGTCTGAGCGCAAGACTGCAAAAGCAAAGCAAAATGAAATACCTAGACATGGTGGTACAAATTGGTCCTAGGTAGGATTTTTGCTGTATTCCTAAAACTGCATTGTTTTCCAGTAGTGACTGGTTTTGTGATTTGTCCCAGAAGATGAAATGAAAGATAGCTTAAATCTCATTAAATATTGTCCAGTGCAGGACCGTGCCCACAAGACATGGCATGCTATTTGTCACATTAGTTTTTTTTTTAGGTTTGAGGGAGAAATGATTCCATGAACCTAAGATAAGCAAAGTATCAAGATTATGGCAGGATTGTTAACTATCGTATTGATAATAAATTTTAGAAATATTTGCTGGAACAGTAAAAAATTCCAGTAAGTTTGAATGATATTATGAACAGGCACAAACAAGTTAGTATTTTATTCATATTTCCCAGATTTTTGGCTTTGAAGATTTGGCTTTAGTCATGATTTAATTGATTATGCCTGTGAGTAAATGAAATATTATATTTTTCTAACTTGGCTAAAGGAATTTCAAATTAAGAGTTTTTAGTACAAATTACTATTTCAGGATATTTCACCCTTTCTGTTGGGTTGGAGATTAAATTAATTAAAGAGAAAAACTAATATGCAACTGGTTATTTAAAATAAGGCTAATTTGAGTTTCAATGCCAGATTTAAAATTTGTCTTATTTTAGCTATAGAAAAATACCAAGACCAGCCAGGCATGGTGGCTCACGCCTGTAATCCCAGCCTTTAGGAGGATCACCTGAGGTCAAGAGTTGGATACCAGCCTAGCCAACATGGTGAAACCCCATCTCTCCTAAAAATACAAAAAATTAGCCGGGCGTGGTGGCGGATACCTGTAATCCTAGCTACTCAGGAGGCTGAGGCAGGAGAATCGCTTGAACCCGGGAGGTGGAGGTTGCAGTGAGCTGAGATCGTGCCACTGCACTCTAGCCTGGGCAACAAGAGTGAAACTCCGTCAAAAAAAAAAAAGCCAAGAAAACATGAAATGTGCCTGATAACGTGGAATCTTTATAAATGGTAAAAAGACAATTCCCAATTCCCTGTGGTCATTTTCTTTATTCTTAGTAACCATCCAAGTATTACAGATATGGTACAGTAGTTCATGGTCCATGACGCCCTCAGAGTTATTTTAGGTAGACTCTGAAAAATATGCATCCCAAATGTTATCTGTAGATGTGATAAATATCAGGCCTAGCAGATACATGAACTATTTTACAAATCTATATTTATTTTAGTGAATAAAATAATGTATTATTGAATAATTAAGTTGTGGTGTATTAGTTTAACCATTGGCTAGTAAAAGCATTGTCACTCTATACAGAAGAAAGGGAGGAGAAAAACTATAGATTAAAATTTATTTAAGAGATATGGTCACAATTGCCTGTATGGATTTTGTTTAAATTTAGAGAAAATTGTTAAAAAGATACTTATGAGACAATTGGGGAAATTTGAGTGATGATTAGTAGTTGATTATTATTATTATAGTAGTAGATGATTATTAATGTAAGCATTATAATGGTATTAACTTATTTTTACAAAGTAAATCCTTGTCTTAGAGAGATACATAATGAATTATCTACAGATGAAATGTTATAATGTCTGGAATTTGCTTTAGAATAATCCAGAGTGGTGGGATAGAGGTTGGGGAAAGTGGATGAAGATATAAATGAAACATGATTTGCCATGAGTTAATTGTTGAAGCTGGGAATGGTGGGGGGTTCATGATACTATTCTTAATAATTTTGGATTAGTTTGAAATTTTCCATAATAAAAAACTTAGAAAAAATGTCATGTAACATTATTGAAAGAGGATCTCTGCAGCACTAGGTGACACTGGTGTATAAAATGTATAAAATGTGTTCAGAAGGATGGATGTGAGTAACACACAGGTGTTAAACGCACCTAACGTGTAAATGTATTTTGTTTTTCCTCAGAGCTGAAGCCATTTATTGGTATCTTGGATGGTTAACATCTAAATGCTTAATTCCTGAAACCACTCAAGAGTCATAGGATTAGATGATCCAAGTCACCAAGAAATTACTGTCTCAAGTGATACGGTAAGATTATAGTAAATATTCTCAAGGCTAAATAGTGATTGAGGTCTGAAAAGATTTTTAAATGCTGTATTTTAGCTGTGAGGTTCTACTATAATTTCTTGATCCTATAACTATTATACCAGGAGTTAAAAGTTGTGGTAATCAGCTAAAGTGCTTAGAAGTATCACCATGTAAACAAGGCTTTGTGGCATTTCCTCCTTATAGATCCTGTCAGTAATAAATACAGTTTCATTACTGGAGTACTTCCCCTTTGCTGTATGTCTCAGAGTGGATCCTCTCAATGTTTGTTAGCAATCAACACCTATAACGAGGGGGCTTAGGAAGCAGATGAAGCATAGGAAATTGAACTGCAGTGCAGGCTTAACAAAGGTTTGGCCTACCCTACACAGAATATTATAACTGTGAGAGTATATTTCCCTTCTTAAGTAGTCAGCTTTTTGGGTAGAGAGACATATCTTCAATGCCTTCATATCTTGCACAGATCATTAGAGAAGCTATTCAACAAATATTTGTTGAATGAAGGAAATCAGAGAAAAATCTGTGGGATCTTCTATAACACCTAATCCTATCCCTATTACCTTAACCCCTTGCTCTCTCCAGTTGAAAGTGCAGTTGAGAATGGTGAGGTTAACAGTGACACAAATGGTTGTCTTGCATGTCATGAACAAACATGAATTAGCATTCTTCTATGTACCACTGTGTTTCTGGGCTTCATAGATAAGGACAACCTGCAGAGGGACCTGGGGAAAACCACAGACAAAATGGAAATAACATGGGATCATATCCAGAGAGAGAAGGAGGGAGAGAGGGGGAGAAAGGAATGAGTTTTAGGCATATTAAGGCATGCAGTTTACCATTCTAACAAGTTGTTTTTTCTGTTTGTGGGGAATAGACTGATTGGATCTTAATTTTGACACTTTTATGCTTGAAGATTAAGAGACAATCTGCTTCTAAAAGTCAGTGCTTTTTTCCTGTTGAATCTATACCTGCTTCAGGGCAACAAATTTATGTCTTTTACTTGACTTTGTTGTTTTTTTCCTATGGGAGTTCTTGAGACAGGATTTGTATTAATAAATCCTTAAACTTTCTCTGAACCTTAATACTATATTAATGCTTTACATGGAAAGGATCTTGAATGCTTTTTAAATAAATGAAGACTAGTTGACTTAATAAGTAATGTGATAGGAGAATAAGAATTAAAAACGAAGTAATTCAGAACCAGAAATTTACCCATTTTTCTTTTTTTTTTTTTTAATTATACTTTAAGTTCTGGGATACATGTGCAGAATGTGCAGGTTTGTTACATAGGTATACACGTGCCATAATGGTTTGCTGCACCCATCAACCCATCATCTACATTAGGTGTTTCTCCTAATGCTATCCCTCCCCTAGCCCCCCACCCCCTGACAGGCCCCAGTGTGTGATATTCCCCTCCTTGTGTCCATGTGTTCTCATTGTTCAACTCCCAATTATGAGTGAGAACATGTGGTGTTTGGTTTTCTGTTCTTGTGTTAGTTTGCTGAGAATGATGGTTTCCAGCTTCATCCATGTCCGTGCAAAGGACATGAACTCATTCTTTTTTATGGCTGCATAGTATTCTATGGTATATATGTGCCACATTTTCTTTTCTCCAGTTTATCATTGATAGGCATTTGGGTTGGTTCCAAGTCTTTGCTATTGTGAACAGTGCCGCAATATACATACGTGTGCATGAGTCTTTATAATAGAATGATTTATAATTCTTTGGGTATGTACCCAGTAATGGGATTGCTGGGTCAAATGGTATTTCTAGGTCTAGATCCTTGAGGAATCACCACATTGTCTTCCACAATGGTTGAACTAATTTACACTCCCACGAACAGTGTAAAAGCATTTCTATTTCTCTATATCCTCTCCAACATCTGTTGTTTCCTGACTTTTTAATGATCGCCATTCTAACTGGCATGAGATGGTGTCTCAATGTGGTTTTGATTTGCATTATCTAATGACCAGTGATGATGAGGTTTTTTTTCGTATGTTTGTTGGCTGCATAAATGTCTTCTTTTGAGAAGTGTCTGTTCATATCCTTTGACCACTTTTTGATGCAGTTGTTTGTTTTTTTCTTGTACATTTGTTTAAGTTCTTTATAGATTCTGGATATTAGCCCTTTGTCAGATGAATAGATTGTGAAAATTTTCTCCCATTCTGTAGGTTGCCTGTTCACTCTGATGATAGTTTCTTTGGCTGTGCAGAAGCTCTTTAATTAGATCCCATTTGTCAATTTTGGCTTTTGTTGCTATTGCTTTTGGAGTTTTAGTCATGAAGTCTTTGCCCATGCCTGTGTCCTGAATGGTATTGCCTGGGTTTTCTTCTAGGGTTTTTATGCTTTTAGGTCTTAGATTTAAGTCTTTAATCCATCTAGAGTTAATTTTTTCAACCATTTTTTCCTGATTTCTATGTAGACCATTTGTGGTTCATCTTTTGAAATACTATGCAAATCATTTTCTTCATGTTGAGCATTGGAAGAATGAGATTGTATTGTGTTTCACTAAGTGAATCAGATTTTTTAAATTATTATGTGTCATTCAGAGTTATAGATATGATTGCTTAGGGGTTTTACCCTGTTACCTTTGTGTTTTCATTTCCTTCTTGCTCACTTAACAACCCCACAAGAGGGCAGGCAAAGGAAGGGAGAGAACTTTCAGTTTTCAAAGTCTTTTGTAGGTATTCCTTTATTGTACTCTCTTGTTATACTTCTGAATTACATCAAAGCAGTAGGATTGGCTACTTTTGCTATTTCCAAATATTTTGTAGGGTGCTCAGTTATTTTGAAAAACATATAATGTTGATGACTGTGTTTATTGAATTTAAGAATTTATACTTTCAGTACTTCAGCTTTATGTTTTTAGATCCATATATTTAAAATTATCAATTTTTTTGGTTATTCATGCTGAAGTTTTCACCATTACTATTGATAAGTATCATTGATTGTAATAGGGAGTTTTTTTGGTGTTTAAAAGTAACTTTAGAATGTTTGTAATATAGAATAAAGTTTTAAATGACTCCTTTTCATGTTTTATAAAAGTTGACATTCCTGAGGTCTGTTAGTGAATTTTCAAAATGATAAGAATTATCTTTTGAATACAAGTTGCTGTTTTACACGTCAGCTCTAAGTTTATTTAAAAGGAAGACACACCTCAGGCCAAAGTAAATTTCTCTTTACATGATCACAGTGAAAGTTTTCAAAATCTAAATGTTAAACTAGATGGACGCTCAATATTTTATGGTCTCAGTATTGTCGTTAACACCCATTGTACATGTACGCGTACATGAAGGGCAGTTTCATGGTCTATAGCTGTTTGGTTTGTTATCAGCACAAACAGTAATGTCCTGAAAATCAGCTTCAAAACAGCTGGCAATTGACTGACTGGGGTTTAGCACCGCCTAAATTCATATGACGTTTATTTGCTCTTTGACACAAATAGTGTACCTGAACTTCTCATCAAGGAAGTTGGTATAGGCACCTTTCTGTGTGCTTGTGGGCCTAGTAATGTAGAAGAACCTTAAAATGGATTTTTTAAAGAGAGTTGTTCCTCCCATTCTTTCGGGAGATGTGGTTTTGGATACTAGTACTGAGGAAAGTTCCCCAAGATTAGTTAAGATGAAACGTCTTAGCTCACTTTCATCTGAGAAGACGGTGGATGAGCAAGGTGGAACCAATTTCTGTCATAGTAATTATGACAAATACGAACACCAACAACTAGGTAAAGTAAAAACGTATTTCTTTGCATCCTTTAAAAAAGTATTTTAGGAAAGTAAAACTATTTTTACAAGTATGAATTCTAGTGAGCAGGAATATTTTGAAAATCAAGTTTAAATATTAAAATGTTTAATGAAGTATATAGTTGGCCTACTTTTTTAATAAAATTTTTCTTCAAGTATAGCTGGAGAAATATTTATGCTGTAAGTCAAGATAAAACTATAATGCACTTAATAGTTTTGATCTTTGGAAAATATTTTGAAGCGTTATTGACAGTATGTTAGTTACACCTATAGGATATGTAAACAAAAAATAAGATACTGAATTGTGTCTGTTACTATAGAAACCATTTAAATTTTGTTTAAAAATATGTTCCATTGTTTTATTTTAAAAGATAATGAATATTTGGGCTGAAATATTAAAAAGTTAAATCTTTGAATAGAACAAGGATTATTTTGTATCATAGTATTTTTGTTATGTGTAATCCTGCAAAGGTAAATATAATGTTCTTTAAAGTTTGAGAGGATAATGGTTAATATGTTTTAGGATAAACATCAGCTTGCATATAGTAACTAACAAACATTAGAGGAAAGGAAAATTAGGAAAAAGATGAAAAAATGCTTCAAGTTTTCAAATATTTGATTAAAACAGTTTAAAATATTCTCTATGATTTTTTTTTAATTTTAGGGAGTAAATAGCTGTACCTATAAATTAATATGCTATTTATTAGAAGGGAGTTTCTGTAAACCCTCTGCAAGTTTGATATGTATTATAGCTGTTTTCCATGCATATTTTAATATGTATACATATTTAAGCATGCACATACACATTTTTATTAGCAGAATTTGAAAAAATGAGACTTATTGTCCAAGTCATTCTGATACTTGCTTTTTCATTTAGTACATCATAGACATCTTCCTGTCTCATTTGAAATGTGCTTTGTTGTGTGAATATAATGATTTATTCAATTCCTTATAGAGGAACATTTAGAATGACTACTTTTTAGTTATTAAAAATAATTATGTAATATTCATTGATATATCACTTCATACTTTGGGATGAGTGCTTATTAGTATAAGATTTCATATTAAAATTATATTACATTTTATTTGTTAAAATTGACATCATAATTGTACATATTCATGGGTTACATAGCGATGTTTTGATACTTACAGTGTATAGTGATCTTACCAGAGTTATTAGCATATCTATCATCTCAGACATTTATCATTTCTTTGTGTTAGAACATTCAATATTTTCCTTCTAGCTGTTTGAAACTGTATATTATTACTATGGTCATCCTACAGTGGTATAGAACACTAGAACTTATTTCTCCTATCTAGCTGCAATTTTGTATCTTTTAACAAATCTCTCCCTATTCCCCCACCTTCCCCCTGCCCTTCCTAGATTCTCCTATTTTCTGTTCTACTGCCTTTTAAGTTTTGATAGACAATGCGATTACCTTTGAAAACTTTATCATTTTAAGCTCCTTAGGGTAGGATATGAGAGTTCCCATTACCTTATATTCTCCCTACCATCGTTTCATGTCAGTTTAAAAAATAGTATATTTATGAGAAACCATACTTTCTTTTTAAAAAATACCAGTTACGTAAAAGAATAAAGAAGGAGCTTTTACATTTTAAAAAGAAATATATATTGATGTCTAGTGTGTACTGGTATTAGGAGTTACCAATTTTGTATACTGTTCGCTTATTTGAGTAGAAATGGAAATGAGGCCACTGATGGGTTGGCATCTCATAATTTTAATTAAAAAAATATAAATCAGCCAGCACTTGGTTTTGTGTTCAACAGTGTATATGCATAAGTGAAAATATGTATATATTAATATGTGCAGTTACTTGAATCATTTAGTTGTTTTCTTCACTTTACTACAGCCTACATAATTGGACTTGGTATTTAAATGTAATATGGTATGCCTATTTATATGGCTCCTTACTTTTATCTCTTAACTGGTTCTTTTTTTTAAAGACTATCTTATACTCTTAAATACAGCACACATGTTACAATTTATAATAATTAGATTTTATAATTTGTATTAATTTGCAAATAAGCAGTCAATCTAATGATTAAGAATTTCCTATGGTATATATGTTTTTACTAGTCAAGATCAAAATAAAGCATAATCATGAAACAGCAAATAATCTGATGTATGTTGAAATTTCTGAGGCTACAGGTTCTTTGTGGAATAACTCTTGCATGATTTTTCTCTTCAAAAATAAAATTCAGGGCTGAGGATGGGGAAGCAAAAAAAAATTCAACCTCAGGAAATGACTATTAAAATTAATTTAAAGAAATTATTTGGCAATTTATGTAGAGAGATTTGGTTTTAAAGTGTCTGGCTCTTCCAATGTACTTGTACTGATCAATTCCTTCTCTCTCTATTTTTTTTTTTTTTTTTTTTTTTTGAGATGGAGTTTTGCTCTGTCGCCAGGCTGGAGTGCAGGGGCGCGATCTTGGCTCACTGCAACCTCCGCCTCCCTTGTTCAAGCGATTCTCCTGCCTCAGTCCCCCTGAGTAGCTGAGATTACAGGCACACACCACCACACCCAGCTAATTTTTATATTTCTAGGGTTTTTATGGTTTTAGGTCTTAGATTTAAGTCTTTAATCCATCTAGAGTTAATTTTTTCAACCATTTTTTCCTGATTTCTGTGTAGACCATTTGTGCTTCATCGTTTGAAATGCTATGCCAATCATTTTCACCATGTTGGCCAAGATGGTCTCGATCTCTTGACCCTTGTTATCCACCTGCCTTGGCCTCCCAAAGTGCTGGGATTACAGGCATGAGCCACCGCACCCGGCCAATACCTTCTCTTGAATCTCAAGATTTGATACTAAATTTATATTGCATATACAAATTGTAAATATGACGGTTCATACCAATGTACACATAGGTTACTTGCGTCTCAACATAAGTGAATCTTACTTCCTATTTACTGGTGGTTCTGGGATAGAGATAATGCAGTGGTTTAGCCAGAAGTCATTAAAATATGACCAGTACAGTTCACCTAAGGGGTGTTACAGTTTTGTTCATTTACTGAAAGGAGAACTCGATGATATGGAGAGACTTCATGTAAAAAGATGCAAAGAAAGAGCTATTCTTTTAGAGAAAAAAATGGCATGTAATCTCAAAGCTTTATACTTGAATCAGTTGTTTCCAACTTCTTTAATTACTAATTCAATATTTAAAAAGTTATTTTTTCGGGCTGACGCGGTGGCTCACGCTTGTAATCCCAGCAATTTGGGAGGCCAAGGCAGGCGGATCACCTGAGGTCAGGAGTTTGAGATCAGTCTGGCCAACATGGCAAAACCCCGTCTCTATTAAAAATACAAAAATTAGCCGGGCATGGTGGCAGGCGCCTGTAATCCCAGCTACTTGGGAAGCTGAGGCAGGAGAATCGCTTGAACCCGGGAGGATGAGGTTGCAGTGAGCCGAGATCGCACTACTGCATTCCAGCCTGGGCAACAGAGAGAGACTCTGTCTCAAAAAAAAAAACAAAAACACACACACAAAAAATCGTTATTTTTTCCTAAGATATTTTAGGTAAGATTGTAATCTGTACTGACAGTTGTACGTTTGTGAGAGAATCAACCGAGAATAAGTCTAGCTTAGAATATATAGAAATCTACCTGCAGCTTTTAACTGTAGAATTATTTATAGATGCTTATGATTTAACAAAAATATGTGTAATTTGAAGGGAATGATATTTTAAAGATTCTTTGCTATTGATAATTTTTTTATTTTTAACTTTCTTTAAATGTTAAGTAGCCTAATATTTTAAAAATTTTCCTAGAAGTTCTCAAACAACTCTTTGGTTTCACCAATATCCTCTATTCCTCTGTAAAATATATTTTTAAATGCCTGTAGAGCACACTACTAAATACTGATGAAATTCCCTGCTACCATTTCTGCTCCTAACAGGCTAAGTTGTGGGCTTAACAAGAATTGGTTATATTTTTAAACAAATCTGTTTATGCCAGTTATACTTATTGTGATTATGTAATTCAATTAAATATTACATAATTCAATAAAGTGCGATTCAAAAGCAAGAGTTGTTTCAGTGTAAACAAAGTTGAATGCTTTGGTTAGACTTCATAAAGATTAATTCCCGAGAAAAATGTGCATTTGAATTTCACATAGGCCAGGAAAGTATACAAGATTGGAAGGATTTTGCCCTTGGATACCTTCAGTTTCTTCTGTCACTTTAAAGAAATTGAAACTTGGCCAGGCGCAGTGGCTCACGCCTGTAATCCCAAAACTTCGGGAGGCCGAGGCGGGCGGATCACGAGGTCAGGAGATTGAGACCATCCTGGCTAACACAGTGAAACCCCGTCTCTAATAAAAATACAAAAAAAAAAAAAAAAATAGCCGGGCCTGGTGGCGGGAGCCTGTAGTCCCAGCTACTCAGGAGGCTGAGGCAGGAGTGTCCCCGGAATTGGTGGTTTCTTGGTCTCACTGACTTCAAGAATGAAGCCGCGGACCCTCGCGGTGAGTGTTACAGCTCTTAAGATGGTGCGTCTGGAGTCTGTCCCTTCTGATGTTCAGATGTGTTGGGAGTTTCTTCTTTCTGGTGGGTTCGTGGTCTCACTGGCTCAGGAGTGAAGCTGCAGACCTTCGCGGTGAGTGTTACAGCTCATAAAAGCAGCATGGACCCAAAGAGTGAGCAGTAGCAAGATTTATTGCAAAGAGGGAAAGAACACAGCTTCCACAGTGTGGAAGGGGACCCGAGTGGGTTTCCAATGCTGGCTGGGGCAGCCTGCTTTTATTCTCTTATCTGGCCCCACCCACATCCTGCTGATTGGTAGAGCTGAGTGGCCTGTTTTGACACCGTGTTGATTGGTGCGTTTACAATCCCTGAGCTAGATACAAAGGTTCTCCATGTCCCCATCAGATTAGTTAGATACAGAGTTTGGACACACAGGTTCTCCAAGGCCCCACCAGAGCAGCTAGATATACAGAGTGTTGATTGGTGCACTCACAAACCTTGAGCTAAACACAGGGTGCTGATTGGTGTATTTACAAACCTTGAGCTATATACAGAGTGCTGATTGGTGTATTTACAACCCCTGAGCTAGACCTAAAGATTCTCCAAGGCCCCACCAGACTCAGGAGCCCAGCTGGCTTCACCTAGTGGATCCTGCACAGGGGCTGCAGGTGGAGCTGCCTGCCAGTCCCGTGCTGTGCACTCGCACTCCTCAGCCCTTGGGTGGTCGATGGGACTGGGCACCGTGGAGCAGGGAGTGGTGCTCGTCGGGGAGGCTAGGGCCACACAGGAGCCCATGGAGTGGGTGGGAGGCTCAGGCATGGCAGGCTGCAGGTCCCCAGCCCTGCCCCGCGGGAAGGCAGCTAAGGCTCGGTGAGAAATCGAGCGCAGCGCTGGTGGGCTGGCACTGCTGGGGGACCCAGTACACCCTCCGCAGCCGCTGGCCCGGGTGCTAAGTCCCTCATTGCCTGGGGCCAGCAGGGCTGGCCGTCTGCTCCGAGTGCCGGGCCTGGCAAGCCCACGCCCACCCGGAACTCCAGCTGGCCCGCAAGCGCCGCAGGCAGCCCCGGTTTCCGCTCGCGCCTCTCCCTCCACACCTCCCTGCAAGGTGAGGGAGTGGGCTCCAGCCTTGGCCAGCCCAGAAAGGGGCTCCCACAGTGCAGTGGTGGGCTGAAAGGCTCCTCAAGTGCCACCAAAATGGGAGCCCAGGCAGAGGAGGTGCCGAGAGCAAGCGAGGGCTCTGAGGACTGCCAGCGCGCTGTCACCTCTCAGGAGAATGGCGTGAACCCGGGAGGCGCAGCTTGCAGTGAGCCGAGATTGCGCCACTGCACTCCAGCCTGGGCTGCACAGCGAGACTCCGTGTCAAAAAAACAAAAAAGAAAAAAGAAATTGAAACTTGAAGTCATAGCTGATGTACATGGGTTTCGTTTTAGGCAAAAAGACAATGGCGTAATCAGCATATCTGCCTTGCAAGATAAGGCCTTGGCACTATATCAAAAGGCTGGGGAATAAACATGAATTTTATATTTTAAGTTAAAATAAAACTTTTAGTGAACCTCTTGATCTGTTTTTCCCCCAATTTCTACTTCAATGGAGTTTTGGATTAAATAATTAGACAACAGTTGTGTTACAGCAAAGGGCTTCTACTATATATAGCTGTATAATGTTGCTATTTTTTTTTTTTTTTTTTTTTGAGACAGAGTCTTGCTCTGTCGCCCTGGCTGGAGTGCAGTGGAGCGATCTTGGCTCACTGCAAGCTCCGCCTCCCAGGTTCACGTCATTCTCCTGCCTCAGCCTCCCGAGTAGCTGGGACTACAGGAGCCCGCCACCACGCCCGGCTAATTTTTTGTATTTTTAGTAAAGATGGGTTTTCACCGTGTTCGCCAGGATGGTCTCTATCTCCTGACCTCGTGATCTACCCGCCTTGGCCTCCCTATGTTGCAATTTTTAAGAGAAATCATTTATTTGCTATTCCTACTTAATAAAGAAATCAAAATGATCACATGTGATGTGATATAATCTTATCCTATTCATGAAATGCTTAAATATCCTTAGACTGTTTTTTTGTATGTGTGTGTGTAGAGTCCTAATTATGTGATCCAAGACTGGTTTCACTGATAAATACTAGTAGAATTGGAACTTATATTATCTATATTCAGGTATAAATGTTGGTGGGAGGAAGATATTATTTACTGATTCAGAATGTACTAACAATGTTTTCTGACTGTTGAACAGAGAAGTCCTTCTATGTCTCGGATTGGGTTATTTTATTCTGATGGAATCAACATTAATATTGTCGCTGTTCATTCCATTTGGAATCAAGGATAAGGGTTAATGTAACAAAAAATATATTTTAACATTGATTTTTATAAAATTCATCAAGAACAGAGACAATGATACATTTAACAGAAGAAGATATATACCACCATTAAGAATGGAAGAAACATATGAGCACCTTCTATATTCTGGACACTATTAACTTGTTCTGTTTTACCAATAACTGAAGTGATCTCATTTGTCTACCTATTTAGTACATATGTGTTCCATTCCCCACATCAAATAGAACATAAGCTGAGCGTGAACTTTGTTTTGTTTCATGTGTTCCAAGGCTTGGGACATAATAGTTGCTCACTGATTGAAGTTAGTGAATGTTATCTAAGTCCTCTTGACAACCCTGTGAGACAGGTCGTTATCTAGAATTTTAAACATTCCTGGGAACTTAAAATTATTTGAGGCCTTTTGATTACTAAGTGATATAGCCATGCCATTGTTTTAAAATAAGGCGTTTGCTCCTTCTACTCTATTGCATTGCATTATTGTTTGATGTTTTTGAATCTTTAGGTATACAGTATTTTTTTTTTAAAAGACTAGTGTGTCTGATGGGTGCAGTGTCATGCACCGGTAGTCCCAGCTACTTATGAGATTGAGGCTGGAGGACTACTTGAACCCAGGAGTTCCAGGCTGCAGTATCCAATGATGACATCTGTGAATAGCCTCTGCATTCCAGCCTGGGCAGCATAGCGAGGCTCTGTCTCTTAAAAAAATAAAGACTAGTGTATCTATCAAGTTTTATTATTTTATTAAAGAACATGTACTTTTTTGGTGCTTTCATTTGAAGATATATTTTAATAGGAAAAAACTTTAATTCTAGTGTGTATTAAGCATTAGTCTTTGAAACTGTCTTTAATGATCAGTTGATAATTAGTTTTTGTAACACTCTGGTGAGATAAACTGATTAAGTAAATGGCTATTTTACATGACTTTTACAAAACAAGAGACACATATTGTATTGGTTCCATTTCATTACAAAGTGTTAATGGCTTCATGAGATATAAATGTTTAAATCGTATACTGGTATACCTCTCCCTAGGTATTCAGCACAGCTCACTAGCAGGGACAACCCACGATGTAGCACTTATTTTACTAACTGGATTTCCTTAGTAAGTGATCTTTTCAGTTTTGTTTTCATAGAACCATTGCTCTCAGTTGTTAACTTGTGTTAAGTCCAGATTAGCAGATTTTTGTTTGATACTCTTAATGTTGGGTAGAGGAATAACATGACAGGCCACTTTCTTTTTAGAAGGGAACAAAGTGGATAATGGGTGACTTAAGTCTTCATTGAAGACCAGAGTATTCTTGAGGAGTTTAGAGAAGGTCCTGGGAGAAAATTGAGTTGAGGTTTCTGACACTTCAGATGCTTATGATTTGATACACTGAAGGAGGTGGAGAATTGTTTGGAATTCAGAAGTGATAAAAAAGGTTGCTGGGCAGCACAATGCCTGGAAGAACCTGAGCTCCAAATAATAATCAGTTTGCTATGGAACTTTCAGCCTGACCAAGATAGAACCTCATACTTACTATGTAAGTGTGTGAAGGAGGTCAGGACTTCTTTTTCCTACTACAAATAGGATTTGGAAGCACTGGGCTTTCATAGTGTCATAGTGTGAAATATGTTCCTTTTCTTAAGAGGGTCTTCGGAGTACTTTTCAGGCTGTAATTATTGGAAGATTTAGGAGAAGCCCTATTGGGTTGTTGTATTCATGTCTTCTCTGTTATCTTCTGGGAATTCTCATGACAAAGGAGGAATATTGGGAATACCTACAGTCATGATGGGGGGCCAGGCAGTGAAATGTTGAGAAAGGAAGGAGATGGCACTTCCATCCAGACTAAGCTGAGCTGTACCAGTGACTTGCCTTGAACCGGCTACTTAATCGCTCTAGACTAGTTAACCTCACCTATCAATTTGAATCATATCTTCTTTCTAGCATTGTTTTCAAGATTATAAAAAATTGTCAACAAAATTGATAATTGTTCAGTAAATGGTGTCTATTGTTATTACAAAGACTTCTTGATTTTTATTTGGATGTAGATGAATCAATTTAATTACAAATTTAACCTTGGAGCATTCTGTCACAGAAAGTATTCTAGGAATTTGGATCTAGGTCTTTTATTGTGCATAATTCCTGAAAATTTTAGCACTTGACTTATAGGACAGTTAATGGGGCTTGAAACAGAGCACCTTTTTCTGTCTTTCCTTCTTTTTTTTTTTTTTTTTTGTTTTTTTTTTTTTTGTTTTTGAGACGGAGTCTCTCTCTCTCGCCCAGGCTGGAGTGCAGTGGCGTGATCTTGGCTCACTGCAACCTCTGCCTCCCAGGTTCAAGCGATTCTTGTGCTTCACCCTCCTGGGTAGCTGGGATTACAGACGTGCACCACCAGGCCCGGCTAATTTTTGTATTTTTGTATTTTTGTTTTGTTTTGTTTTGAGATGGAGTTTTGCTCTTGTTGCCCAGGCTGGAGTGCAATGGTGCAATCTCGGCTCACCACAACCTCTGCCTCCCGGGTTCAAGCGATTCTCCTGCCTCAGCCTCCCGAGTAGCTGGGGTTACAGGCATGCGCTATCACACCCAGCTAATTTTGTATTTTTAGGAGAGATGGGGTTTCACCGTGTTGGCCAGGTTGGTTTTGAACTCCTGACCTCAGGTGATCCACCTGCCCCAGTCTCCTTAAGTACTGGGATTACAGGTGTGAGCCACCACACCCGGCCCTAGCTTTCCTTTTTTGTTCATAATGTGTGTCTTCCATATAGCTACTGCCAAATGATTGTGTGATTCAGATACAAAGGTTTTTTAAGAAGTTCGTGCAACAGTACTATATCAGTAGTTTTTGTTGGGTATTTTTATAGTTAGTCTAATCACTTCTTAAGTATCTTTTTAAGGTGCTTAACATCATTGATGATCAGAGAAGTGTAAATCAAAACTACAGTGAGATATCATCTCACTCCAGTTAAAAATGACTTTTATCCAAAAGACAGGCAGTAACAAACGCTGGTGAGGATGTGGAGAAAAGCGAACCCTTGTACACTATTGATGGGAATGTACATTAGTACAACCACTATGGAGAACTGTACGGAGGTTCCTCAGAAATCTAAAAATAGAGTGACTATATAGGATCCAGCAATCCCAGTACTAGGTGTATACCCAAAAGAAAGGAAATCAGTATATCAAAGAGATATCATCACTCCCATGTTTATTGCAGCACTATTCACAACAGCCGAGATTTGGAAGCAACCTAAATGTCCACCAACAGATTAATGGATAAAGAAAATGTGGTACATACACACAGTGGAGTACTATTCAGCTGTGAAAAAGGATGAGATTCTGTCACTTGCAGCAACATGGATGGAACTGGAGGTCATTATGTTAAGTGAAATGAGCCAGGCACAAAAGACAGACTTCACATGTTTTCACTTGTGGGAGCTAAAAGTTAAAACAGTTGAACTCATGGAGATAGAGTAGAAGGATGGTTACCAGAGGCTGGGAAAAGCAGTGATGAGATCAGAGGCTAGGAGTGGGGAAGTGGAGATGGTCAATAGTTACAAAAATAGTAATAGTTAGAAAGAATGAATAACATCTAGTATTTGCTAGCACAGCAGGGTGACTATAGTAAAAAAAATTATATATATATACATATATATATGTATATGTATATATATATTTCGAGATGGAGTCTCACTCTGTCACCCAGGCTGGAGTGCAGTAGCACAATCTCGGCTCACTGCAGCCTCCTCCTCTCGGGTTCAAGCAGTCTTCCTGCCTCAGCCTTCCAAGTAGCTGGGATTACAGGTGTGTGCCACCATGCCCAGCTAATTTTTGTATTTTTAGTAGAGATGGGTTTCACCATGTTGGCCAGACTGATCTCAAACTCCTGACCTCAAGTGATCCACCCACCTCAGCCTTCCAAAGTGCTGGGATTACAGGCATGAGCCACTGCACCAGCCTATAGTAAAAAATAATTTAATTGTACATTAAAAAAACTAAAAAGGTATAATTGGATTGTCTGGAATGCAAAGGATAAATGCTTGAGGTGATGGGTACTCCATTTACCCTGTGATTGTTACACATTGCATGCTTGTATGAACATGTCTCATGCACCCCATGTGTATATACACCTACTATCTATTCATAAAAATTAAAAGTAAAAAATGATTTTAAAAAATGTAAAAAAAAAATTGACAGTAAAAAAATTATTTTAAAAGCTGTCTTTTTAGACTGCCTCCCAAAGTTACACGGATGTATATTATTAAAAATTGGGACAGTTAAGTATGGTTAAATTTAGGGTCAGGATCTTTATTTCCTTGGCTTTTAGAATTTGCAGGAAACTTAATTGAAGTAAACATACATCTGTCTCCTCCATCTTTTAAAAATGTTTATGTATTAAATATATGTTTAATAATAATATAAGGGATATATAAAGAGGATATACATAATTAATGAGATATATAATTTTTATTTAATAAAATTTTTATGTAATAAAAATTATATATATCCCTTTAATATAATTTTACATATATATCCTTTATATATATATACCCTTATAATATTATTATAAATTATAATGCAAATTATACTAGTCACAAGACTGGTGTATATCCAGTATGTACTGGTATGGTGACACTGGTTGTTAAAATATTACCATTTGTCATATCAGTTGATATTTAGCCACTACTAAATCTCCTCCCCCAATTGCTCGTGATGCTCAAATACCCCTGCCCTCATCCCAGGACCACCATATGTTTCATAAACTAAAGGGTGAGGCACACCGTAGGGCTCCCAGAACTCAGCTCCACTCTGAGGCTGCACCTGCTCTAATTGTTCAGTTGCTGCACCTTCCTGGTGGATGACTGTTTTGATGATCACAGCTGCTTATTCCTCACTTAAGAAGCAAAAGGAAAGCAGTATTGAATCTAAGGTAAAATAATTGAAACAAAGGAGATAAGAAAAATGTATTGATAAGTAAATGTATCGCTAAATAAATAGCAAGTAAAACATACTAAAATAATAAAGGTGTAAAAAGATGAATAAGACAATAAAATGTCTATCTCAAAATATTGAAAAAATAAAGATACGGTTTTAAAAAGAAGAGTAGAATAGGTTAAGAAGAATAAAGCTAAGTTGAAGTTTAAAATGTAACTAAAGGAATATTCTGTAAAGGTTAAACAAAAATCAAATGCTATAAAGGGAATTCAGGAAGCAATATTCAGTCCAAGGGTTAACCCCACCCAGATACAAGTTGTGGCCTTTGGGTTGAGGCAGCTATAGTTAATAAGCCTCCAATTCTGGTGACTTCCTGAAACTGGAATCTACAAGGGGAGTGGAAATCTCTTGTATGACTATCGTTGGGGTTAATAAGTTTTCCTCACCGCCTAGCCTCAGTTATTATTCTATTTAACATGAAAGTATTGTTTCTTTTTACCAGATAGTGGGTTGAGGACTGAGTTGGTCTGACTTTTGTGGGTACCCCAGAGCTTAGCCCAGTGGCAAGCACTTCTTAAGCAGTTAGTAAACCTTTGTTAAATAAATGTTAAGAGTCCTCTAGCTTTCATGTACCAGAGCAAGTTTTTACTTGTTAACAAGAAGTGCTGTCAGTTGCCATATTTAGCTCACTGACTTGTCCTTCAAAACCATCTAGCACATTGCTCAGTAGGCAATGGTTCCCTAGGCAAAACCAGTCTTAGTTTCTTTCTTTCTTTTTTTTTTTTTTTTTAATTTTTTGAGATGGAGTGTTGCTCTGTCACCTAGGCTGGAGTGCAGTGATGCGATCTCCAGCCTTAGTTTCAAAATGGAAAGAGAAAAACAAAAAAACCACCTCAAATTAAGCAAACGATGATCAATCTAGAACAGCAGTTAGTAAACCTTTTCTGTAAAGGGCCAGATAGTAAATATTTTAGGCTTTGCAGGCCACAGGTCTTTGTCGCAGGTACTTAGCTCTGGCTTTGTAGAGCCAAAGTGGTTCTAGATGATATGCGAGTGAATGTGTGTGGCTGCATTTTACTACAACTTTATTTAAAAAAACAGCTGTTGGGCCAGATTTGGCCTTGGGGGTCAGTTTTCCAACCCCTAAGCTAGACCACAGAAAAGAATATTGGTAACATCAGAGAGCTACATACAAGTAACTTACCTGGGAAATAGAGAATGGAGGCTTTGGCCGGACGCTGTGGCTCTCGCCTGTAATCACAGCACTTTGGGAAGCCAGGGTGGGTGGATCACCTGAGGCCAGGAGTTTGAGACCAGCATGGCCAACATGGTGAAATCCTGTCTCTACTAAAAATATAAAAATTAGCCAGCTGTAGTGGTGTGCACCTGTAATCCCAGGTACTGGGGAGGCTGAGGCAAGAGAATTGCTTGAACCTGGGAGGCGGAGGTTACAGTGAACTGAGATCGCACCACTGCACTCCAGTCTGGGAGACAGAGCAAGATCCTGTCTCCAAAAAAAAAGAATGGAAGCTTTGAAGAAAGGGTCCAATATTATACTTAGTTCTATTTTCTGTAACCCTTGGAATAGTGTTTTATCTGTAGCAGGTGTTCAGTAAATATTTATTAATTTGATTTGAGATCCTACTATATTGCTTATCTTCCTTGGTCTTCAGTTGTCTCATGGAATTTAAGAGATTATGATAAATGATTGCTAAAATCTCTCCAGTTCAAAAAAAAAAAAGCGAGGGGGTGGGGTTCTGTGATTCTGTGTGACTGTTTTTGGAAGGCCGGATGTTTTATTTTTTAGAGATAACAATTGTTGGCTTAACACATTTCCTGTATGTGCCCAGTATCCTGATTTGCAGTTCTGAAGTGGTTGCTTTTATTAGTTATTTTGTTGTATGGACCTGTCTTCAATGACCTGTCCTCAGTGGAATGGATTGTCCACTAGGGTATACCTACATGCCTTCCACTCATCTCTCCCACCCCATCCTGCTACATATGGGGGTAGAATACATACTTTGTTTTATTTTAATAATAAAATTTATTAATCTGAGTCATTTTGTTTTGTTTTAAAAAAAATTAGCTGTAAAGGTAACCTAGACCATCTCAGATGATTCTTTGCAGAAAGATGGCAATCAGGATGAGGATTAGTCTATCTAGCAAAGCAAACATGCCATCACTGACTTATTTAAACTGTTAAACAATCCAAAATAATTTTAGTTATTACAAAGTAAATCATAGTAATCTTACCTAAATTCTTCTTATACTTAGTTCTTTTACTTAGACTTTTGATGGGTTTTTGTGTTTCTAAAGAGTGAGTTAAGATTAAATGGGCCGTTTGATGATCTCTTACACTGTCCTCAAGAGGAAGTATAAGCTGATGCACATTTCTAGTCAACTTGATGAAGAAACTTTAAAAAAAAACTATGAAACGTTCATTGTAATCAATACAGAAAATTTCTCTTTATTATTTCTTAGGCTTCCAAAATTTCCTGTTAAGTAGCCCTTAAAGTTGGACGTGCTTAAGAATCACGTAGGGGATCTTATTAAACAATAGATTCTGGTTTTCTAGGTTTAGAGTGGGGGTTTAAGGAATATTAAGATTATGAAGTTAGCTTTTTCTAAATTGCTTTGAATACAGTGCATTTTGATTAAGGTTAACCATGCATAAACATTTATCTATGTTTTGGACTTGCCCATTGAATTTTACTGGATGATCTTTTCATCTTTTCCTTTTAACCCTATTGGTTCTCTAATTCTTATTTATTTATTTATTTATTTATTTATTTACTTTTTATTTATTTTTTGAGACTGAGTCTCACTGTGTCACCCAGGCTGGAGTGCAGTGGCGTGGTCTCGGCTCACTGCAACCTCCACCTCCCGGGTTCAAGCTATTCTCCTGCCTCGGCCTCCCGAGTAGCTGGGATTACAGGTGTGTGCCACCATACCTGGCTAATTTTTGGTTTTTTATTTTAGTAGAGACAGAGTTTCACCATGTTGGCCAGGCTGGTCTCAAACTCCTCACCTCAAGTGATCTGCCCGCCTTGGCCTCTCAAAGTGCTGGAATTACAGGCGTAAGCCACTGTGCTTGGCCTTGTCCTCTTAAGAGTTATTTTTGCTCTTATATTTGGTTGCCTCTGCAGTTTATTGGCTCTTCCTTTCCTGGTTTAGACCTTTATTTTGTTACAGCCTTGCTGACTCACCTCTGTGGTTTAAAACTAGAGTGATATCAAAGGTGGCTTTAATGGTAAAGAACCTATAGTTGATTGAAAATGTAGTTTACTACTGACAATTTAGGAAACAAGGCAAGTTTTGGCAGTAAATAGTGAGCCTTTACTTTGTGATGAGTGCTTCATGGAGAAGGTGACTGTAAGAGGTCTCCGTACACCCTGGGTAGTTGCAGTTTAAGTCTCTTTTCTGGCATCATTATTAATAGTACCTACTTCATGCTCAAAACAGCTCTGCTATATTCACACTATGGGTGATTCATAGAATTTTACTCGTTCTGTTCCATTAGGACTAGCCAATTTTGATGGCAGATACCCCTTTCTTCCCTAAGCATCTGTATAACCTGTATTGTCAGTGAAACTATGTTGGTATTAATAATTCCAGCTTCAAGACAATAAAATAAATATGCATTATGTTATAAAAATACAAATCCAGTAACTGGGAGCTTTTTGAATAGAAATTTTAAAATCTGGATTTTAATTAACAATATCTTCAAAAACTGTTGTTTCAAGTAATTAAATATTTCTATCTCTATTTCAAAGGAGCTTGAGAATGATTTTTAAATATATTTGGAAAGAGCAGATGTTTTATCTTTGAATAAATAATATCATCTAGCACTGTGCCAAATTTGATAGGAAATTGGTATGGTGTGTGATCTTCTAGACTGTTTCATTCTAGCAGAGGAATGTTTTTTAAATGTGTGAAATATATAAAAAGAACTAAAACCAAAAGCCAGGAACAAATTGGGCTATTAATGAATACCTGTGTCAGGAATGTAACAGTAATTGTACCTTATGGCTTACACAAGCAATATAATTGCTGCATAGGTAACCACACCCCAAATTACAGAGCTTAGTTAAAATACTTTCTTACTGGTTTTATGTTGCTAACTTATGAGTATATTATTGCACTGGTCCAATCTGTAACATTTGTATAAAACTTACCTTTTTTAGAAACCCACTTATAGCTATGATTAGAAACTTGATTTATACTTCTAAATATAAGCAGTTAATTTGGACATGACCTGAAACCTTTCTATTTAGAATTCTAGGCAGAATTCTGGTCCAACTGTTTCAGCAACAGATTCTCTTCATTATTGAGTGGTTTATTTTGTTTACCTTTGATACTGCTATATTTGAATTATTGTCTCTTTACTGCTTTCTTTTTCCTCAGTTCAGCTGAATTCATTAAGTGTGGTTATTGTTGGCTAGCAAGCACTTGAAAATAATTCACTTTTCCCCTTCATAAATAAACAAGATGCCGTGAGAGCTATGTGGGACTGGTAATCTGTCTACTTCTCTGCTGTCTAGTACTTTCATCCCTTTGTATTTTAGATTTATTAATATATAGCCTAGACTCTTCTTTATGTGACCCATACCGGGCTATTCCACATTCAGCATGACCTTCTACTGAGTCCGCTAAGCCTGGGGGTCACCTTTGAATATTTTAACTTTACTTATGTTTTTCCATTTTGTTAGTCACCAAATACATCAGGAAATATCTAGCAGGAAAAATTGGAAATCTGTTTCCTTATTTTCATTCTTACTGCCTTCTTCCTAATTACTATCAGTGTACTATTTTCTTTTAAAGTAATTGTCTTTCACCTCAGCAATTTAAATAGCCCATTGACTTCCACTGTGTCCTCTGCAAGTCCCCTCGCCACCTAACCAGTCAAGTGGCCTGTCTGATCTTGTTCTGATCTCAAAACCCTTCTTGGGCATTTCAGTATCTACTTTAATATTTCCTGGAGCCCTCTGAGTATTTCAGATGTTCTCTGAGAATCATTTCAGGTAAATGGAAGAGCCCAGTGGATAGGACTCTGGCACTTTAACCGTGGTCAGCCAGAGTTCCTTTGCTTTTATCCTTTTTTCTTTTTGGGCTTGAGCATAAAGATTCATTCTTCAGAAGAATACCCACCTGCTGAACAGTTTCATGTTTGATGTTGTTCCCACAGAGTGGCCTTCCCTGACCACCCTATCTCAGGCTCCCTCTGGTTTCCTCTGTGAGTATATCCCCTTCACTGCCTTCACAGCACTTCATCACAGTTCGTAATTTTATATACGTGTTTGTATGTGGGAACATTTGGACACACACACTTCTAATATCCACTATTGCATTCTAACCTCTCCAAGGACACAAGGGGATCTCTTTTTTTTTTTTTTTTTTTTTTTGAGACGGAGTCTCGCTCTGTCGCCCAGGCTGCAGTGCAGTGGCGCGATCTCGGCTCACTGCAAGCTCCGCCTCCCGGGTTCACGCCATTCTCCTGCCTCAGCCTCCCGAGTAGCTGGGACTACAGGCGCCCGCTACCACGCCCGGCTAATTTTTTGTATTTTTAGTAGAGACGGGGTTTCACCGTGTTAGCCAGGAAGGGGGATCTCTTTTATTTACTCAATTATTCTTTGCAGTTTTTAGATCACTTGTATTGAAGGTAACCACCGACATGTTTGGGTTTAAATCTGTCTTGCTGTTTGTTTCCTTTTTGTCCTATCTGTTGTGTTTTCTTTCCCCACCCGCTTTTCTTTCTTTTGGATTAATTGTGTAGTTTTTAGTATTCTAATTTATTCTATTCTTGGCTTATTTTATGTATATATAAATTAAATTAAATTAAATTATATATTTAATTAAAAAGTAGCTGTTCTGGGGTTTATAAAATGAATTTCAACTTCTCACAGCCTACTTTCAAATAGTAGGATAACATTTTACATATAATATAAGAACCTGAAACCTTATACTTCTGTTTGTCCTCCTATGTGCTATTGTAGTCACTTGTTTTATTTCTACATATATTATAAACCCAAATGTTCATTGTTAATTACTTTTACTTTAAATAGTTAATTAACTTTGAAAGGACATTTAAAATGAGAAACAAAAAGTATTTTAACTACACATTTACTGTTTCTGACATTCTTCATTCATTTGTATAGATTCAAGTTTTCATCTTGCATGATTTTCTTTCCACCTGAAGAACTTCTTTTTTATTTTTTGTAGTGCAGATTTGTTGGTGACAAAGTCTTTTAGCTTTTGTCTGTCTTGGAAACATTTTTACTTTCCTATTATATTTGAAAGATATTTTTACTGGATATAGAATTCTGGGTCAGTAGTTTTATGCTTTAAGCTTTTCATTGATGTCATTCTAACTTCTGCCTTGTATAATTTCCTGCTTTTTTTTTTTTTTTTTTTCTTCAGGAGATGAGATCTTGCTATGTTGCCAAGGCTGGTCTCAAACTCCTGGGCTCAATTGATCTGCCCACCTTGGCCTCCCAAAGTGCTGGGATTACATGCACGCGCCACTGTGCTGGCTAATTTCTTGCTTTTAAGATTCTTTCTCTATCACTGGTTTTCAGCAGTTTGATTATGGTGCACCTTAGCATGCTTTTTCTTTGGGTAGTTGTTTACTTTTGCTTGAGATTTTTGGATTTGTGGGTTTAGCCAGTCAATTTTAGAAATTTTTTGATCATTATTTTTTCGAATAATATTTTATTTTCTAAATTTACTTTATTTAAAAAATATTATTGTTATTGTTATTTTTTTTAGAGACAGGGTCTCGCTCTGTTGCCCAGGCTGCAGGTAGTAGCTCACAGTAACGTCAAACTCCTAGGCTCAAATGGTCCTCCTGCCTTAGCCTCCTGACTAGCTAGGGCTACAGGTCCTAATTTTTAAATTTGTTTATAGAGACAAAGTCTCACTATGTTGCCCAGGCTGGCCGTGAACTCTTGGCTTCAAGCAGTGTTCCCGCCTTGGCTTCCTGAAGTGTTGGGGATTACACGTGTCAGCCACTGTGCCTGTCCTCAATTAATATTTTCCATTCACTCCTTCTGAGATTCCAATTCCATATATATTAGACCATTTGCTGCTGTTCCATAAATCACTGAGTCTAGGTTCATTTTTGTTTGTTTGTTTCATTATGTTTAGTTGTCAGTGCTTCACTTTGGAGAGTTTCTATATCCATTTCTCCAAGTTTACTGATTTTTTCTTTGGCAGCATCTTATCCTCTGTTAGTTCTACATAGTGAATTTATTGTTTTAGATACTGTGTTTTTCTTTCTCCATTTTATTTGAGTCTTTTATTTTCTATTTCTTCTTCATTGTATTTATTTTTTCCTTTACATCCTGGAACTTATTTATAATTGCCGTTTAAAGAACCTATCAATTCTGTCATCTCTGTCATTTCTAGGTCTACTCTATTGACTGGTTTTATAGGACACATTTTCCTACTCCTTGACACATTTAATACATTTCAATTGGATGTTGCCATTTGTGACATCGCTGAGTGCTGGATTTTGTCACATTATTTTAAAGAGTGTTGTTTGTTTTGGAAGGCAGTTACTTGCAGATCAGCTTGATCCTTTGCAGCTTGGTTTAGAGGATTGTTTTGGAGTCTTTGAAACTACTTTAAGGAGTGCTTAGATAGTTGCTAGCCCCATTATGAGGCATGACCTTCTGGAGAATCTACAGAATGCCCTCAGTATTTAATGGGGACCTCTACTGTGGTTTGTGGGACTTCATGGGATCCCTTCCTGTACTGTAGTCCTGAAAGTGCCCTTAGGCAGAAGTTGAGGTGCTTGTAGTGTTCCTCTTATTTGTCTCTCATCTCTCAGGGGTCATCATTCTCCTTTGTCATGTCTGAAAACCTTGATCATATACTTTGTACAATGTTGTAATTATTTATGGTAGGAGAATAAGCCCAATTCCAGTTACTCCCTCAGGGCTAGAAGTAGAAGTCTTGAAAATGAAATTTTTTTTAACAAACTTTTTATTTCGGAATACTTTTAGATTTATAGAAAAGTTGCAGGGATAGTACAAAGAGTTTATGTGTACTCTACAATCAGTTTCCACTGCTGTTACTATTTTACATTGTTGTACACTGTTTACAGCTAATAAACCAATGTTGATGCATTATTATTTACAAAAGCTCATATTTTATTTGAATTTGTCTTATTTTTATCTATTGTCCTTTTTCTGCTTCAAGAAACCACTTTACATTCAGTTGCCACATTTCCTTAGGCTCCTCTAGACTGTGACAATTTCTCAGATTTTCCTTGTTTTTAATGATCTTGATAATGTTGGATTATTGGTTGGGTATTTTGTATACTGTCCCTCAATTTGGATTTGTCTCATGTTTTTTCTTTATAATGGTTAGACTGGGCTTAAAGGTTTTTGGGAAGAAGAATACAGATTAAGTGCCATTCTCATCACATCATTATCAAGAGTCTGTAGTATTAAAATGACTTATCACTGATAATGTTAACCTTGATCTCCTGGCTGAGGTAGTGTTTGTCAGGTTTCTCCATAATGAAATTACCCATTTCTTCCTGTTTTTATTTCCCTAGGAATGAACTATCACACCACAGGTGAAATGGTGCCAACCCTGGAAGCTCATTAGAGACAGTGCTCAGGGTTTTTATTGGAGCTATTCATGTGGGCACCCCCTTACCTGGCATAAACTCAAATTTTAGATGCCCAGGAGGAAAGCAGGTGTTTGATGTAAATTGTATTATTTATACAAACAGTTTAGGCATAGTGGAGCCACTCTTAACCAGTTCTGGGAGTGGTGGGTCCCTCCCAAAATCTAATTTCTCAGATGCCAGCCAAGGGCCAACCTTGTAAGGCCTTTCAAAGGATAGCAGTCAGGCCTGCTAGGTTAACTCCTTTCCCATACAATGAAAACTTTTTCTGTTCTCCCCTGTTTATTTACTTCTTCAGTCATTCATTTATATCAATATGAACCTATGTTGTTTATTGTGTTGCTCAAATTTGTTTCAGCTTTGACCATTAAGAGCTCTTTCAGTTGGCCCCTGTATCTGACATACCACATTGTTTTATTTTTTGAGCCCTTGTCTTTCTCTACCTTCTCTACTTTCTTTGTTTCTGATACTCCAAGATGCTCCAGGCTTATCTTGTATATTTTCTGCCTGTGTCCTAGAATTTCTCCAAGGAGCCCTGCTGCTGCTGCTGCTGCTGCTTCCTCCTCCTCCTTTCTTCTTCTTCTTCTTCTTCTTCTTCTTCTTCTTCTTCTTCTTCTTCTTCTCCTTCTCCTTCTCCTTCTCCTTCTCCTTCTCCTTCTCCTTCTCCTTCTCCTTCTCCTTCTCCTTCTCCTTCTTCTTCTCCCTCTTCTCCTTCTCCCTCTTCTCCTTCTCCCTCTTCTCCTTCTCCCTCTTCTCCTTCTCCCTCTTCTCCTTCTCCCTCTTCTCCTTCTCCCTCTTCTCCTTCTCCCTCTTCTCCTTCTCCCTCTTCTCCTTCTCCCTCTTCTCCTTCTCCCTCTTCTCCTTCTCCCTCTTCTCCTTCTCCCTCTTCTCCTTCTCCCTCTTCTCCTTCTCCCTCTTCTCCTTCTCCCTCTTCTCCTTCTCCCTCTTCTCCTTCTCCCTCTTCTCCTTCTCCCTCTTCTCCTTCTCCCTCTTCTCCTTCTCCCTCTTCTCCTTCTCCCTCTTCTCCCTCTTCTTCTTCTCCCTCTTCTTCTTCTCCCTCTTCCTCTTCTCCCTCTTCCTCTTCTCCCTCTTCCTCTTCCTCTTCCTCTTCCTCTTCTCCTTCTCCTTCTCCTTCTCCTTCTCCTTCTTCTCCTTCTCCTTCTTCTTCTCTCTCTTTTTTTTTGTTTTGAGACAAGAGTCTCACTTAGTTGCCCAGTGACTGGAGTGCCGTGATGCGATCTTGGCTCCCTGCAACCTCCGCCTCCGGGGTTCCAGTAATTCTTGTGTCTCAGCCTCCCGAGTAGCTGGGACTACAAGCGCACACCACTATGCCTGGCTAATTTTTGTATTTTCAGTAGAGACAGGGTTTCACCATGTTGTCTAGGCTGATCTTGATCTCCTGGCCTCAAGCAATCCACCCACCTTGGCTTCCCAAAGTGTTGGGATTACAGGCGTGAGCCACTGCACCTGGCCCCTGCTTCCTTTTTGTAGTAAAGTTTAAAAATGTTAAAACATTTTTTGAAGAAAATTTGAGAAATATAGGAAGGCGTAAGTAAATAGAAGAAAGAAGTAAGTATATCAAGAAGTTAGTCAATGCTATAGGTAGTTACTGTTAGCATTTTGTTGTGGTATTTAATGAGGTTTCAAAGAAAAATATGAAGTGATTGTTACAAATGTTTTTTTTTTCTTGTTTATATTTCATGTGTGGTGGTAATTACATAACAGATGTAAAAGCAACTTTCCTTCTACCTAAAACCTTGATTTTCTTATTTATTTATTTATTTATTTATTTATGAAGGTCTCACTGTCACTCAGGCAGGAGTGCAGTGGCGCATTCATGGCTCACTGCGGCCTCGACTTCCTGGGCCCCGTTGATCCTCCCACCTCATCCTCCTGAGTAGCTGGAACTGCAAGCGGCTGCCACCACACCTGGCAATTTTTTTTTTTTTTTTTTTTTGTATTTTTTTGTAGAGATGAGGGTTTTGCCATGTTGTCCAGGCTGGTCTCAAACTCCTGGGCTCAAGCAGTCCTCCACCTGGGCCCCCCAGAGTGTTGGGATTACAGATGTGAGCCACCTTACCCAGCCTACCTAAAACCTTTCAGTCTCTTTTCTAAACTCCAGAAAAGAGAAGACTCTGAAAAGCTGAAATCTGTGGGGGCTGTAGAAGGTTCTAGGATTGATGTGGTATTTGACATTTGTATAGAAAAAATTGCCAATTTCTTTTTTTTCCTTATGGTAATTCTGGATACCAGTTTAATAATTTTGGAGATATTTAAAACTGTCAATATGAGGAATAATTCATACATGTGTACTTTTTTCCTACAAATGAGTAATTGAAGAATTTTGTTTAGCCAGACCATTTAATTCTCATCAATTGCATATTTCTAGTTAAATCCGAACTTCATTCTATATTAAGTAACATTTTATTCAGATCCATATCTAAATAGCAATATTTTGTGAGATTTACTAAGAATTTTTCCTGGTATGTATGGTTTTGGTGTATTGGAATGTACCTCTGTTGACTCTGTGCTTAAAAATGTAAAGCAAGTAGCTACTTCCATGAATCCTCAAAATGCCAGTTAAATGGGCATAGAGTTAAGTGGAAGGTGATTAAAAGAAATAGGGAAACCTACTTTCTAACTCGTTGAGGGCAAGAGAACTTCTATGGTCATCTTTTGTGTCAAATCTTTAGTATATAGTATTTGGCTCATGCCAGGAGGACCTTATTCAATAAAGGCTGATAATATTGAAATTGGACTTTCTTAAAAAATGTTTTAAAACTTACCATTTAAAAAGCCTTCTTTAATATATAATCTAAAAGTTGGGGAGGAGTATAATTGAAGGAAATTATCCAAATTAGATTTTTCTGCTTTGCCAAGGATATGCCATCAAGAAACAATTTTTGGGGCTATCTTTTTATGGTGATGAGGTATGTGATACAATTTGGAGAATTCTGAATTTATAAAAAGAATACAATCGAAAATTGGCATTGCTTGTCTTTTGACAATCTTGCAGTAAGCTCTAGGCGGTGGCCGTGACTTAGTTTCTGTGAATAATTGGCAGGTTAAGGGTAGAAAACTCATTTGAAGATTGATAGCAGTATCGTTCTTTGCGTAATTTAAAAACAGGATTAGTAGCTGGAGCAACATGGCAAGAACCTACTTCTCCAAAAAAAAAAAAAAAAAAAGAAAAGAAAAGAAAAATCAGCTGGGCGTGGTGGTGTGCACCTGTCTACCCAGCTGCTTGAAAGGCTGAGGTGGGAGGATGGCTTGATCCCAGGAGTTTGAGGCTGCAGTGAACCTTGTTCGTGCTACTGCACTCCTGCCTGGGCAACAGAATGCGACCCCATTTCAAAACAAAACAAAAACAGGATTAGTAATCAAAGGATTGAGAAAGCATTCAGAATATAGTGGGACTCTTCCATCATCATCTAAAAGGTTTGGTTGCATGCATATGTAGTTGTCCTAGTTAATACTTTGCTAAACTGGATGATAAAAGTTCAGGAAGGATTAGAAAGAAAATACTTATTACACTAAGCTTTGCTAAGATGTTTGTGATTAATAGTTGAAATAGTAACACTATTTTAGTCTTTACATTTTAGAATTGAGTTGAGAGAATGAGGCTCTGCCCACATGGGCCTATTGAGTTAGTCTACATATAAATGGGAAGTGCCATAGTCACCTGCTTTCTGTGTATGATAAAGCCCTGATGTAAAATGGAACTTCCAAAATAAGCTCTGAAATTAATTTCTTGCGTGTGTTCCAAAGAAACTATTAATTTGCCTTGGCGATAAATAAATATATATATATATAGTCAGTCATATATATACATTTTATATATATGCATATATATGTATCAGTCATATATACATACATGCACATTATATATAATGCATATATGTATACATTACTATATACATTATATATAATGCATATATGTATACATTACTATATACATTATATATAATGCATATATGTATACATTACTATATACATTATATATAATGCATATATGTATACATTACTATATACATTATATATAATGCATATATGTATACATTACTATATACATTATATGTACATGATTATATGTACATTATACACACATGATTATACATTATATATACATTATATATAATTATATATTAATTATATATTATATATTTAGTATATATTATATAATATATTTAGTATATATTATATAATATATTTAGTATATATTATGTAATATATAATATAATATACAAATTTATTTTGAATTCATATTTGAATAATGTATATTCAAATATATATTCATAATATATATTCAAATTTTCATGAATATATAATGAATAATCATGTATATATAATGTATATATAACTATACATTATATAATGTATAATTATATACGTTTTATAATGTATATATTGTATATATTATTTATGTATATATGTATACAATATATACATTATATAAAATTATATATAATTATATAATGTATAATTATATGTACATTACATATTATACATACATTATATTTTACATTATATATTTTACATTATATACATATATTGCACATTATATATAATGCACATTATATATAATGTACATATAATTACGCATATAATGTACATAGAATTACACATTATATATAATGTACATAGAATTATACATTATATACATGTATGTGTATATATGTATGTATATAATACATTATATATAGTATATATAATTATATAATTCTGTATATATAATTTTACATTATATATGATTATATAATACAGAATGTATTACATAATGTATTATATAATTATACATTAGATATAATTTTATATACTTATACATTATATGTATATATACATTATATAATATATACATTATATAATACATTATACATTATATATAATGTATATATAATTATATATTTGTTTGGGTCTAAATTGGCTTATTTCCTGAATTTGTTAACAACTGTTTGATGAAAAGAGGATTGTATTATGAAATCACTTTGGAGGATAAATTAATCAGAAAAATTTAACTAGTTTCTGTAAAACTGGGAGTATTTTGCATGTTGACATATATTGTTAATGTATAAGAATGGGATGTATTATAGTATGTAGTGTTTCTGGGCTGTGGGATGCACTTTTTTCATTCAGCATCTTAAGGCATGTTTTCCATTATATGAGGAGAAATCCTGGTGTCTAAACTAATTACGAGATGTCTCTAATCGCGATGTATCCAAACAACAGTATTGTGGTATTATGGTTCTGTGTTGGTTAGCCTTTGCCTTCCTGATTTGAATTTACTTTTTGGGTCAGTTTAGGAGTAGGGATGGCCAGATTTCTTGGACTGCTCTGAGAAAAAATATACCTTCAAATGACCCCCACCCCTTCCAAAAAATACCACTACCACTGAATATCTCTTAATGAATTTCCCATAATGTATGATAGTTGTTTGTGAAAGGATGTTATTTTAGCTTATGATACAGTGCCTAGCCATTTGGCTGTGAATAAATTTATTCAGTTATGACTTTGATCACTGCATTTCCTTATTCTTTGTGTTACTTAAAGGGTACAATGCCATGTAGATGGATTGGTACAAATGTATTGCTACATATGGAAAAAAATAACTCTAAACACATGACCTTCAAAGTCACAGTAAACTAATATGAGGCCAAGACATTTTTCTTCTGATAATGACATATTATTTGTTCATTTTGGTTGTGAATTTTTTCTACTGTTTTGAAGAGCAGTTAGGCTTTAACAGCGTCTGCTTTCAGTGTAGAACAGCTTCTATAGAAGAAAGTTTTACAAATGTGTAGTATTTTGTTTGACCAGAGGATTTCTCGCTATTCATTGACATTTTGACTATAAGATTTTCGTGGGAATTATGTGCTATATTAAGAATAGAAGACTGTATTTTCAACTAATCCCATTATTATAATAGAGTTATCGCTTTTGAGTAAGTTGCACGCAGCAGAGGAAAGTTTGTCCTGAGCTGAGCAGTTTTAGAGGCTGATGGGGGCTCAGCCATAGATTCATTACATCATCTTTTCATTCCATTAGCCAGCGTGATCTCCAGTGGGGTAAGTGAGACAGTGGACTCTGCATCATCACAAACATGCTGAGAAAATCACTGCTTACTGCCTGGGTGTGTAGAGAGGTGGAGAGAATTTACTACTAAAATAACCTAGAGGAAACTGATGTTGAAGTCAGCCAAATACCTCCAGTTTTTTTTGTTTTTGTTTTTGTTTTTTTTTTTTTTTTGATCAGCTATTAAGGGAAAAGATTTAAAGATTTTATACTAAATCCTAATTTATTTATTTTTTAAAAAATTTCTAAGGCTCTTAGTGAGAAAAGTTGGTACCCAAGGGCAGAGCTTCTTACCCTTGTCTGTTTACTAGCAGTCGTGATTACATAGCTAGAGACACTGCTCCTCAAAACTGGTAACAGTAACATAAACAAAGAAGATAATCTTGGCCATGTGTATATCTGCATAAAGAAAGGTGAGGGTGTCCTTCTGGGCACTTATAATAAACTTGTAAGCTTTTATTCAACTGGATAGTTCATCTGCATTCAGCGGCATTTCCACTATAGTTGTGCGTCACTGCAAGACTGCATGGTAATGAAGCCAAGGCACTGTGGGCCAAAACTCTGCTGCCTGTGAGAAGAGAAGGGACAGCGGCTTGGAGAGACAGAACGGCAAAACCGCTGCTGCTGCTGCTTCTGCTTCTGCTGCTGCTGCTGCTGCTGCTGCTTTTGCAGCTGATTGAGACACTATGTTGAGTCTACAGGATTCTGTGTTTTTTGAAATTAGCATAAAGTCCTTGTTAAAGTCCTGGAGCAGCAGCTGTAAGTATATATTCCTACATGAAAAAAAAAATGCTGAGGTATTATTATCATTGCCATTCCTTGCATGCTGATTCTTCAGACCAATCCAAATAGATAAAAAGCTGTTGAAAATAGCATGAAGAATATTTTCTTGAATGGTAATCAGTAAGATAGAAAATCTAGACATGCACACATCAGACAGTTGTAAAATCAGTAGTTAATTTTCTTTGATGAAAATTTACCAGCCTTGAATTTCTTGGTAATTTGTGTTATTCTGGCAAAGTTTCTCGCAATTAGTCATAAATGGGGGGCGGGGTGTGGGACGGGGGAAGAAGACCACAAATAGATTCTAATCTCTGCAGGGTTATCAGATACCAGTACTCTTCCACACTTCTGTTAGCACAGAATGTTGTTTGAATCAACATCAGCTATCTTAAGGCACTAGAAACATAATATAATGATAATAGCTTTCCCTCATTCTTCTAATTGAAGTTATAATGTGTAATTTTCATATGTAGTAAATTTTCTTATAAATAACATTCAGGATGATATACTTAGATTTCAAAGTTCAGTTAAGTCAATACAACTGATGCCGTTGAGCTATTATTCTGTCCGTAACTCTCTTCCTAACATATGAATTTGGCAGAAATATTGCTTTTGTTCAATATTTCAATCACACTTTTTCCTTTAAAGATCTCAAAACACTTACCATAGTCTGTTTACTTTTTTGCCAAAAGTATCATAATACAATATCAAACTCATGAATTAAGTAAACACAGGTTCTATTATCATGTTTGTTTTGGTCAAAGAAAATTGAAGTATAGAAAAATTGTGACTTTTCCAAGGTCATACAGTGGCAAAGAATTGGAATAGAACCTGGTTGTTTTTGCTCCCAACTGTGCTGCTGGTGCCTAAGCAAACTAATGTATAAAATATCAGAAATTAAATTTACATTTTTCCAGGTTAACTCTTTACCAAAATATTTATTTAGTGTAGTTTTGTTTTTTAAGCAAATAATATGAAAGTGAAAATATTGACATGAGAACAAAAACCCTCTTAAGATAAAGTCTTATTGAATATGGTTTGAGGAGGTTTGTAAATGCAGCCAAATATACTGCATTTACAATCCCTATATTTCTTTTATTTTTTATCTATAAGTAATTCTTCCATATGGAGATACTGTTGTGCCAGATGGCAGAAAATTATCTTAGTTCTAGGAAAGTTTTTAAGTGAATATACATAGTTAAAATATTGGGAGAATTGTAATTACTGACTAAATCAAGTTAAATACTTTCACTAGTTAAAAGGGAGACAGTAATGTAGAATACATTTTTGCTCAAGTAAACTGGACTGTAGCTTCTAATCTTTCTCTCAGTACTGTTTCCCCTGCTTCTCCCATCCTCACCATGTACTTTTTTAAAAATAGTAAGACAGTTTTATAGTGAGAATAAAGCTATAATTAACAACTTCTTATAGAAGAACAGTGTATTATATCACAGCAGCTTGTCTTGTAAGAACTTTGTTTAGGTACTTGTGAACTATGTGGTTATCCTGTTTTATGGCCATTTAAATATTTCTGCATGTCGTTGCCTGAACCCTGTAACCAGCCACAGCCAAATCTTGTTTAATCATACTCCTTGAATCCAGTAGTGAACCAAAAACAGATGTTTGTAAAGCCTTTGTTTTTTAGCAGTTAGTAATATAGTGATTCAGTCAGTCTGGGGGTATCCCATTGCCCTTGGGCATTCATAGTACACATCTCATGAAGGTGTCTTTACCATTCTGAAGTAATAGGTTATTACTGGAAAGAAATTGCTAGTCTCAGTGTTCAGCAGGGCTCTGTCCTTGTCTGCTGTAGCCCTGGAAAGTGGAAGAACGTTTTTATTTCACCAGTATCTGTGGGTGTCTTCTTTGTCTTCACTTATCTTTGTTGTATGAGAGAGTTAAATACAACTCATAGGGGGAGGGGTTAAAATATTAAGACCATAGAAAAGGATAGTAGTTAGCTCTTTCTTCCTAGGAATGTTTTTGTAACATCAACACTTTTGAGTCAACCAGTGTTTATAGAGCGTATGCTACTGTGCTGTGGCAGATAGAAGTATAAAACGTGTTCCTTTCTCTCGAGGAGCTTAGAGAAAGTATATGTGAAAAGTTGTAGTAAGGAAGTCAAATGAGAAATGTTGTGTGTGCACTGTGACTTACCAAATGACTGTTATACATAAAACAGACTGAGAGTCCAGAGATAGAAGGAATCACATTGGTCTGCTGGGCATGGGAGGTCACGTTGGTAGTCCTAGTACTTTGGGAGGCTGAGGTGAGAGGATCACTTGAGCCCAGGAGTTTGAGTCCAGCCTGGGCAACATAGTGAGATCCTGAGATCCTGTTTCTACCACTACACACACACACACACACACACACACACACACACACACACACACACACACAGTGAGATCCTGAGATCCTGTTTCTACCACTACACACACACACACACACACACACACACACACACACACACACACACGGTGCATGTGGTCCCAGCTACTCAGGAGGCTGAGGTGTGAGAGGATTGCTTGAGCCCAGGAGCCCTGTTCATGCCACTGTACTCCAGCCTGGGTGACAGAAGGAAACACAAAAAATAAGAAGGAATCACATTGAACTACAGGGTCAGTGGAGACTTAAGAGGGAAAGGGATTTTTCTGAGTTTGGTTTTGAATGATAGGATGCTCTCCATGATGGTAGGTAGTACTGATATCCACAGTCTCCCCAAGCCAGAAACCAGAGGTTGGTTACCACGCCTCTTTCACCCCAACCCCTTTCGGTCCTTGACCACAGCTTGCCATTCTGCCTACTCAAATTTCCGTAGTCTCTCCTCTCCACAGCCACTATCCTAGTTCAGGCCTCTCTTCATCATCACCTGGAATATTGCCACAGCTTCCATATTGGTCCTGTTTGCATCTTCCACATTGCTGGTAAGGGTTCCTTTTAAAAGCTGGCTCTTCATGTCCCTCCCTTCCTTACCTCACAGATTTTCTGTCTCCTGTAGGAGGAGGCCTTTCATCATCTAGCCTCTGCTCATTTTGCCTGTTGCCGTTCTCGCCATGCTTTGCCAGTTCTGGAAGCATTCTGTGCCTTCATATTTGCTGCTACCTTTGCCTGAAATGTACCCTCTCATCTCTCTGCCTGCATCGCAATGATTTTTACTCCTCTTTCAAGACCCATTCTTCCTTCAGTCAGCCACATAGTTAATGCTTCATCTGTTCTCTTCTTCACTTTAAACATCATTGCATCATTATACTCATCATCTTGTTCATGTCTTTCTCTGCTACTTGAGTGTAAGCTTCTGGAGGGTATTGGTTGATTGTCTTTTTGTTCTTTGTGTATTTAATGCTTATTTAAGCTCTGGTAAATGTGCAGACAAGTAAGATATTGGGTAGAGCTGCAATAATTTTTGTTGGGATGAGTTTATAATAGAGAAGAAGGTAGAAGCATAAATATATGACCCCTTTTATAATTTGGTTATTAATATTATGCTACTGATGTCTCTCAGGGGAACAATTCCTGAAGTAGGAATGCATAAAATGATTTTTTAGTGATTAAATACATTTTCATAACATTTTATTTAGTGAATTTCTTGGAAAGAACAGAGGAAAACTTGATTTATTAATAGCCTTTATAAAAAAAGAAATGAAAAATTTTTTCCATTAAATAAATTATATATTTCAAATGTTGCCCCTACCCTCCTGAAGAAAAAAGAAAAAGAAAAAAATCTATGGGTTGTGTCTTCGAACATAACTTAAAAGCAGTGTATATTATTATAGTTCATCATTAATTATAATAGTGTTTCTTATTTATAAGATGCATTTGCGTGCTTTGTATTAATGTTAAATGCTACTTTTTATATTAGTCGCTAGAGGCCCTCTGGTTTCAGGGCCTGCTTAGCTGGCAGAATGTTGATGCAGTGCTGCTGAAGTTTGATTATAGTTGAGCTTATTTCTTTCAGTAACAACAATGAAGTGACATTCATATGGCCTAAATTCAGGATTTTGTCTTTGTGCCAACAGTTTTAGGCATTACTTCTTTTAAAAACTGAATCAGGAACATTCTGTTAAACCAGCTGTGTCGTGAGGATGTTATCATTTAAAAGATTGGCTTAGTTCCCTAAAATTGATAAGACAAAGCAAGACTCAGTACTGAGATCTGTTCATGTAATGCTAAGATCACAGATGCATTTGCTGTCCATATAATACCTCTTGTAAGCATATTAATTTATAGAATTTATTTTGCATACATACTTTTATGAGAGCTGGTGTTTCAAAGAATTTAGTTTTTATCACAGACATAAAATAGATTGACCTTCTTAAACCGTAATTTTATAAGTTAAAATGTGAATAAGATATGGTATGTTAAGAAACTGTATTTGCATAGATTACTTGCATTTTTGCACAATGAGAAAAGTTCATAAATTGTTTTTAATACTCAGATTTTTTTTTTGGATTGTAAAAATAGTAAAAGCCAACCCCAAAAAGCACATTATACATTCATCTAAATTTCAGTTAAAATCTGTGTTATTTGATTGAAATAATACCATTTGTTGAAGTATTTATAGGTCTAGTATTGTGGTAAGTACCTATCGTATGTCTTTGCACACGTATCTGTGTATACTCACATTATATGCACATACATTAAATCTCTTGTAACCATCAGCATGAAAATCTCAAGAGGAATATTATTGCTGTTTTTCAAAGTAGCAACTTTATTGTGAGATTCACATACTATAAAATTCATTAAGTATTCAATTTGGTGGGTTTTAGTGTATTCCAAAATTGTACAATTATCACCAGTATCTAATTGCAGAATGTTTTCATTATCTAAAAAAGAAACCTCATACTCATTATTCTACTTTCTGTCACTACGGATTTGTCTATTCTGGACATTTCATATACATGGAATCATACAATGGGTGTTCTTTTGTGACAGGGTTCTTACATTTAACTGTATTTCCAAGGTTCATTTATGTCATAACATGTATTGAATAATGTTCCATTGGATGGATACATCACAATTTGTTTATCCATTCTTCAATTGATAAATTGCTGTTTTATAGAGTAGTAAATTGGGGCTCAGATAAGCAAAAGAACACTAAGAACACTCCCTCACCCCCCAGAAAATCTCACACCCAAACTCTTTAGCTAACTTTCTCTACTCCTTCATATTTTAATTGAAGGCTTCCCTGATCAAGTGATACTTTAGGAAGATCTGAAGGAAGAAATAGTTAACAGTTTGGGAGATAGGTGGGTGGGCAGAAGGGATATCAAGTGCTAGAAGCTGGAGGGAATGGCCGGTTTGGCTGGAGCAGAGAGCTATGGAGAGCATGGTGGGAATGAAGCTGGAAAGTTAAGCAAGGACTAGACCATGTAGAATAGCAAAAACCTTGTTATGGATTTTGGTCTTAATCCTAAAATAAATAGGTAACCATTGATGGGCTTTGCGACAGTGATTGGGGTGATTTCATCAAGTTTCTGTCTTTGGGGTGGTGCCAGGAGACAAGTTAGGATGCTATTGAAAGAGACTATATGTGAGATAAAGGTTGAACAAATGGAAGAAATGTTATTTATTTAGCAAACAAGTATATAATACCTACAACATGTGTAGGTACTCTTCTAAGCACTTTACAAAACATTCATAGTGATGGGAAATATTTAAGAGGTAGGAAAAATAGGTCTTGGGTTAGGTACAGGAGATAACGGAAATTTTTAACTAGCTGTTTGCACAACTAATTTTGTAGGGTCAGTTACATTCTCATTGACATCAGTTTCAGAAATGTATCTGTTGAGAGTTAATGTTGGTCATAGTGGAAAAGAATCACCTATTGCTTATTGTCAGAATACTCTTATCATCCCTCAGATAAATTTGTCTGCTTTGAGAAGTGGATCCTAAGAAAGCCAACTCATTGTACTATTAAGTAAACAACGTGAATTTTTCATGATGGTCCCTGAAAAGTGGGATTTCTAGCTCCAGGTGTCATTGGATTTAGAGTCATGGGCCTGCTGTATCTTTTTTTTGTTTGTTTGTTTAATTCTAACTTCTTAAGCTAGGTTCACCTCATTTGAGAAAGGAGACATTTCATTTTTGAGACTAAACAGTTAGTGTTGTGAGAAGTACAGCTGATTATCGGACTCATTAAGTATTTGGGTTTCACAATTTGCTTTAAAATTTTATTGATAAATATTAAATACATAGTTTACTAATAAGATTCAAAATCAAGAAAATCCAACATAGATGGTCAAAATATTCATAGGTGACTGAGAGTATCCAAATGGGCCAGGTGACTGAGAATACGCAAACAGGCCAGAATAATATCTGTGTTAAATTTGACCCTCTATTTTATTAACATATCTGTCATGACCTTTCTCTGTACCTGCTGTAGTACTCATGTATAGACTCAGTCTTATAGCAGGCCCTGGGTCCTATCCTGTGCTAAGATGGGGAGTTTGGGACATCCCTAGTTCATTAGTTCAAGTGACTTACCATCAGCCCAACCTCACTACAAATTTGGATCTGCCTTTGTTCTTCAGTTGTAGTATCTCGGCTACCCATTCTTGTGTCAAAGCCTCCATCTGTAATTATTGGTATCTCTTCTTTCCTGAGCCTTTCCTTATCAAACTTTGGTATTCCATTTCCTTCAAATGTGGAACCCTGCTCTGATCTTGAAGAGAATGAAGTTCTGCTGGCATACCTTTTTGTTGATTAAACCCACCTCCCTAGCCGTGTGTCTATATATTTCCTGTTCATAGACTTTGCATTATTCAACTGTTTGCCAGGATAACATCTGCTGTTCTCCTGGACCTCCCTGGTGCTTTTTACCTGTTATCATATTCTCTAGGTACCATCTTCTGCCTCCATAATTAGATGCCGTATGACCTCCAACAATGCTGGTATTCAGTCATTAGGCATCCTGGCTGTAGCTCTTCTGATAGCCCCTCTGTACTGACTGCTTAATATTTTAAATATGATACCTGACAGCTGTCTTGCCTATTGTAGGCATAGCCTGTGCCAGAGTCTCAAATCACTGGGTTCTGGCCTATTCCACTACTGGTCAAACTCTTAGTCTTCTTTTCTGGAAGTAACTGTTTGCAGTTGCATTGTCACATTGATAAGACAAGTTTGCTAGCCTTTTGCAGGATGAGAATGGGTCATGTCTTTTTGGTTATTCTTCCTAGTCTGTTGATGTGTGATACCACAGGACATTGCCTGTTTGATGGCATTTTTGACGATTTTAGATCTATTAGTTGGTTTTCATTAAGCATGCTATTTTCCAATTTTTAAAATTTTGCTAAATGATTAAAGTTTTAAGGGTTTTTACAGAAAGATAATTAAAGAGAAATTCATTTGAATAGGGAAGGCTGTCGAAGAGAATTTCCAAATTGTCAGACCTGTTCTTCCCAGAAGGTAATGACTTGTAAATGTCATAGAAAATCTTGTGAATTGTTTTATAAGCTGTATTTTCAGTTACATTATTGATATATGATACAGAAAGTAGTTAGTCAAGGCATTCATAAAAAATGAGGAATGAATTATTAATATCCATTATCATGCAATATAGTAACGATATAACAAATACAGACTTACATTTGATACATTAAGTCGATCCTTTTTTCTTTAAAATAAGCTTTACATGATTTTGGAACAATATCTGAATGAGTAAATTTTATTATAGGGAGACTATATGGAAGAAAATAAGAAGATGATTCCAGTAACATAGCCTTAGTAATATCGTTGAAGATAAGGTTAGTAGTGTGTTTTTACGTAGAGTGCAAGGGCATTGTATTGCCATGATTTGAAGTGTAGGGCTTTTGTATGGTTGGAATAGAACTACTTGATGGCTATTATTTGTGGTATTATAATTACAGGTTTCCTTATTTATGGTGCTTTTGAAACTTTTTAATGATCACAATCAACTTTAAGTAAAATTATTGTATAGAGCCAACTGTTCCATTTTAGAAGAATAGGGTAAGGCAATAGTTCACAACCCTGGCTGCATATTAGAATCAGCCTGGGGAGCTTTCAAAAACATACACATACCTGGGCCCCATTCCAAAGATTTTGATTCTGACTTAAGGTATGGCCAGAGATGGCCAGCAAAGTTCAGGGTCAAGTCAGAAAGCTTAGCATTGTCAGAATGCTGAGAGTATATATGAAATCTTTTCTGGGAGTGGAATCATCATAAAGAATATGACAGACAAATTCTTATATGTTTGCCAATTTACTAATTTACAGTGAGAAATATGCCAAGTGGATATTAATGCTGGAGTTGGCAGCCCATCCTTTGCCATTTTTGTGGGATAAGCTCATACAAAGCTGAATTATTATCAGAAGGTTGCACAGAGAGCCTGAAGATCGAAGAAATTTATGCCCTGTTCTAGGGGCCAGAATATTTATCTTTTGTAAGAACACCTTCTCCACAGCGCTGTACTTAACTGGGCATTACCTTTTTATCAGCGCTGTGTTAAGTGTTTCATTTCCCTGTACCTTACCTGCAGTAGGTGATATATGCATTCTTTTTAGTATTTGCCAGTCTGATATATATATATATATATATATATATATATAAAATGAAAGCTCACTGCTGGTTTAATTTACATTTTCTGGGTACACTGTTTGAACATTTTTTCATATGCCTGTTGGCTTTTTAGACTTGCTGTTATGTTGAATTGCTTATGTATATCTTTTGGCACCTTTTCTTTATTGTGTTGTCTTTTTCTTATTATTTTGTAAGAGCTCTTTGAATGTTTTATATTTTCTATCATCTACATTATAAATATTTCTCCAACTTTGTCTTGTTTATGGTATCATTTCTCCTAAATATTTTAAATTTGTATTTGGTTAAATGCATTTATCTTTAAAAAATATATAATTTTGGGTTTGCTCTCTAGGCTACAGGTCTTTTCACCCCTTGATTATATAAGAAGATTCCCAATTTCTTCTAAGGTTTTGAAAAATGAATTTTTAACTTCATGTCCATCTGGACATTGGTTTTTGTTTGTTTGTTTGTTTGTTTTATCCAGTCAGGTTTGGAATCTGATGGACTTTGGTTTTTGAGTATAGTATATTTATTTTTTCTTTAGATGAATGGCCAGCTGTTTCAACATTTTTACTAGATAATCTTTTTCCTTCTAATTTTGCCCATGTGAATTCTTACCCTGGAATGCAGGGGGTACTTTTTTTTTTTTTTTTTTTACAATTATCTGATTTATCTACACTTATGTCTACTGAGTTGATTATTGTTATATTATGTTCTGATATAATCATATTATGTTCTGATATATGTCTTGATTATAGTTATGTTCTGATTATAGTTAATTTCAAATAATATTCTTTGTATTTTTTAAAGTAATTTTTTTGGCTTTTCTTGAGTGTTTATTCTTCCATGTATACTGTAATATAGATCTATCCAATAAACCTAGACAAAACAGTCTCAAAATTTTAGTGGGCTGGCCAGGCGCGGTGGCTCATGCCTGTAATCCCAGCACTTTGGGAGGCTGAGGCAGGCAGATCACCTGAGGTCGGGAGTTCGAGATCAGCCTGACCAACACGGGGAAACCCTATCTCTACTAAAAATACAAAATTAGCCAGCATGGTGGCGCATGCCTGTAATCCCAGCTACTTGGGAGGCTGAGGCAGAAGAATCGCTTGATCCTGGGAGGCAGAGGTTGCAGTGAGCCGAGATCGTGCTATTGCACTCCAGCCTGGACAATAAGAGCGCAACTCCATGTCAAAAAAAAAAAATTTTAGTTGGAGCTGTGCTAATTAATATATTAATTTTATGAAAATTGACACTTATGATAAATCCTTCCATCTATGACTATGTCTTTCCACATGTTCAGATCTTCTTTTATATCTTCTTTTATATTAGGAAGCGCTTGTCCTTTCCTCTGTATGAAGTCCTATGCTTTTCTTATTAAATTTATTTCTACCAATTTTATTTTTGCGAATAGAAGGTCTTTTAAAATCATTTTCTATTTCTAGGTGATTGTTGCTAGTTAATAAAGTTTCGTATCTTTTTTAATATTTGTAACGATTTAATTTTTTAATATTATTGCATTTACTTATCATCTCCAGGATGGTGTTGAATAGCAAGGCAAAAATCAGCACTTCAGTTTCTGTTTTTAATCGAAATAGGTTTGTTTTGCAGCCTATATTATTTGCTGCTGATGTTTGTTAAATATTTTATTTGTTTTCTTTGTCTCTGGCTGCTGGATACCTTTAGGTATACAGTTATATTACTTTGTTTGCTACTTGAGTGTAGGTCAGACTGCTACCGTCTTTTAAGAAGTAATCCCAAGAGTGATGGAAGGGAAAGCAGCCTAAGTTAGCAGCAGTTAACAGCCTGTTAAGATAGTAGGAGGGAGCCCCTTTCCTTCTTGTCTTTTCTCATCATCTCACCCTCTAAGCTACAGAGGACTCAGCCCATCTATTTCAATTCTGCTCAGCTTCATAGCAGTCAGAGAAAAGGGCTACACATCTCTATGTAGTTGTCAACCTCCCCCAGTCCCTGGGTCCAGGTATGTTTGCTGGATGAGGTCCTGCAGGATTCTGGTGTTTACAGGACTATTTTGTGTTGATTCGCAGGTCCATTTCCAGCTAGAGGAGAAAAGTCAGCCACAATAGCTTTTTCACTGGCAGTGAATATTTATATCAGGGGAAGAGTGGAGAACAAAAATGAAAACAACATTCTTGTTGCTTCTTACACATACTCATGGTAGCAATATAATTCAGCTTGTTCATTTGCTAGAAGGGAAGCAAAAGAGGTTAAATTTGACCAAGATTATAACCATCATGAGTAGCCAAGTCAAGTCTGGAGCCCTTGTCTTCTGGCTCCCAGGTCCATGCACATTTTTAAAATACCTCATTATCTCTAGGTTTTTAGAATAGTTTCTTAGTTGAGCTCCCAAAGATTACCAAAAAAGCACAAGAAAACAATAACCTCAAGGAAACTATAGCTGAGTGAATAATGGATTATTTGGATGATAGGTCATTTTTCTTGAGCTTTATAATAAGTGATATTTCTGTAGTAGACTTCAAGTAAAAAACATTGGACATATGCCAAAGATGTCATAGGACTTCTATGTTTAGAAACTCTTTTCAATAAGAATAGTTTAGGATAAATAAACATTTTAGGGACAGCTGTCCAAAGAACAAGCAGAAGTAATAATTTTTCTGTCCATCGAAATGGAACCAGAAGCAAAAACATTGAACTGGATAGTGAGGGAAAATGATTTCATTTGCACAAAATAGAAACATAAAGTATTTGGGAATAGAATTAATAAGAATTAGATCTCTCCTCTGAAGGAAAGTATACATTTTTTTCTCTAGGTACACAAAAGAAGACGAGTTAATGGAGGTGTGTCAGATACTAGACAAGAGGTTTTATAATATAAAGATGTCAAGTTTTTTTCAAGTAAGTTTGTGAAGGCATGCATAAGCTTGAAAGTATGAGTGACAATAGCTGAAGATGGTGAATACATAGGAATATTTGTCTCTACAAATAATAAAACCTGTTATACAGCTGTAACAATAAAAAGTCTGGTACTAACACAAACACAGATTTTTAATGAGCATAATAGAAAGCCCAGAAAAGCATATTTGAGTATGGATTTAGTTTATGATAGTGAGTAAAATCAGTGACAGAATTTCAGTAAATGAACCCAAGAGAATTGATTAAATATTGAGGAAAAAAGATAAAATCTTTATTTCGTATCAGTAGCTCAAATAAGTTACAATTGGATGACAAATTTAAATGGAACAAATAAAGCGAACTTAAAAAGAGTTAAAATATAGGTAAGTAGTTAATCAAAATGGGGAAACTTTTTTGCTCTTTTTATGCAAATGAATTAGAAGATATAACCAAAATATTAGATTTGGGAAATATTTATTTTAAGCAAACAGTATGATAAGAATTTGGACCTTTAAATGAGAGAAGGATCCATCCGCATTTGGTAATTATGGAAGAAATAAAGTTATTGATGGGAAAGTTCTTAGCAACCAGGATGCAAGTTTGTGTTCCAGTGCTGCCACTCCCACATGACAGTAGCTTTCATTTGGAGTCAGTTTCTTCATCATAAATGCGCTATAATTAGGAGTGATGTTCTGGATCTAATTCCTACGAGCCAGTCGTTAAGCCATTAGTGGCTTAAGAGCCTCTGGGGTGTGAATATTTATACCAAGGATATTGGCAAAGGCTGCAAATTGGGACCCTCTCCCCTGCCTTTTGTTTTCTTTTGTTTTTAAGAGAGCCATTTACCAGCATATTACTTGAAATAAGAATAGATTTGTTAGACTAAAAAGATAATATTTTATATATTAAATTATATTTTGTTCCCATTGGAAACAAACAGCATCTGGTATGCTTTTCACTAACATGGAGGAATTTTGAGGTATCCTTGCCTTCTAAAGCCCACTCTCTGCTCTTGATAAGCTATATCTGTGCATCAAATGATATTTTCTGATTATACCTCTCAACACACACAGCATACACATTACTTATATTTCCTTTTTTCCTCTTCACATTAGTTGCTTTCAAATGTAGAGTTTTCCTCTGGATAGGTAGTTGAAAGGTCTGGTACTGTCACCAATTCAACTGGCCTCACCAGAAGTTGAAATTTGCTATTTGCTATTATTCCCCAATACTGATTTTGCTTTTTCTGTTCACTACTTTTAATCTGTCTACCATATAAGCTGATTAGTGTTTTTGACATTTTCCTTTTAATTGACTTATAAACTGTTTCCTGTCTTTGAGTGTGATCCAAGTATGTTATTGTTTTAAGCTCCAGCTTGAGCTGTTTTTTATTTTCACTCTTCCCAGGCACTTTGGTTCTGGCTGACAGGGATAGGATAGGCTTGTTATTCTTTTCTTTGGCTTTTCTTTTGTAAATTAATCAGCTTTATTTTTTAGCATAATTTCGGGTTTACAGAAAACTTGAGTAGAAAGTAGAGAGTTCTCGCATACCCTCTCTCCACTCCCAGTTTCTTCCTTTTAGTGTGGTATGTTTGTTACCATTGATGAAACAATATTGAAACATTATTATTAACTAAAGTTTACATTCCAGTTAACTCTTTGGGTTGCACATTCTGTAGGTTTTGACAGATGTATAATGACATGTATCCACCATATACTATACTACAGAGGAGTTTCACTGCCCTAAAAATTCTGTGTTCTACCTATTCATTGCTCCCTTCTCCCAAGCCCTTGTAATCACTGATCATTTTATTGACTCTACAGTCTTTTCCAGAATGTCATATAGTTGCAGTCATACAGTATATAGCCTTTTTAGATTGGCTTCTTTCACTTAGAAATACACACTTAAGATTCCTTCATGTCTTTACATAGCTTGATAGCTCATTTCTTTTTAGCACTGAATAATATTTCATTGTCTGAATATATCACAGTTTATTTATCCATTCACCTACTGAATGACATTTTGGTTGCTTCCAAGTTTTAACAATTATGAATAAAGCTGCTATAAGCAACCATGTGCAGGTTTTTTGTGGACATACGTCTTCAGCTCCTGTGGGTAAATACCAGGGAGCATGTTTCCTGATCATGTGGTAAGAATATGTTTAGTTTTGAAAAAAATAACCAAAATATCTTTTAAAGTGTCTGTAGTATTTTGCATTCCCATCAGTAATTAATGACAGTCCTTGTTGCTCCACGTCCTCACCCGCATTTGCTGTTGTCAGTTTTGGACATTAGTCATTCTAATCAGCATGTAGTAGTGTATCATTGTTGTTTTAATTTTCAATTCCCTGAAGACATATGAGGTTGCACATCTTTTCATATGCTTATTTGCCATCTGTACATCTTCTTCTGGTAAGGTGTATTAAATCTGGTGCTCATTTTTTACTTGTGTTATTTGTTTTCTGGTGGTTGAGTTTTAAGAGTTCTTTATGTATTTTGTATACCAGTCTTATATCAAGTATGTATTTTGCAATTTTTTTCTCCCAATCTGTGGCTTGTCTTTTCATGTCCTTAATAGTGTCTTGCAGAGCTCGAGGCTTCATTTTAATAATTTTTTTCCCTGGATCATGGTTTTGATGTTTATCTAAAAAGTCACCCTCCAAACCCAAGATCACTTAGATTTTCTCCTATCTTCTAGGGGTTTAATAGTTTTCATTTCACATCTAGATCTATGATCCATTTTCAGTTAATTTTTGCAGAAGGTATAAGTTCTGTATCTAGATTTTTTTTTTTAACATGTGGATTTCTAGTTATTCTAGTACTATTTGTGGCAAGGTCTCCTTTCTTCATTGAATTGCCTTTGCTACCTTGTCAAAGATCAGTTGATAGTATTTGTGTGGGTCTATTTCTGGGCTCTCTATTCTATACCATTGATCAGTTAGTCTATTCTTTAATCAGTACCATACTGTCTTGATTACTTTTTTGAAGTCACGTCCTGTCAGTCCTCTGACATTTTTCTTCTCCTTCAATATTGTGCTGGCTGTTCTGGATTATTTGCCTTTCCATATAAACTTCAGAATATGCTTGTTGATACACACGAATTAACTTGGGGGGTAGACCTGCTTTCTAAACTAAAAATTTTGTGTTTGCTTTTTGAAGTCAGATTTTTTTTTTATTATACTTTAAGTTCTGGGATACATGTGCAGAACATGCAGGTTTGTTACATAGGTATACACATGCCATGTTGGTTTGCTGCACCCATCAACCCGTCATCTACATTAGGTATTTCTCCTAATGCTATCCCTCCCTTAGCCTCCCACCCCACAACAGGCCCCAGTGTGTGATGTTCCCCTCCCTGTGTCCCTTTGTTCTCATTATTCAGCTCCCACTTATGAGTGAGAATATGCGGTGTTTGGTTTTCTGTTCTTGTGTTAGTTTGCTGAGAATGATGTTTTCCAGCCTCATCCGTATCCCCGCAAAGGACATGAACACATCCTTTTTATGGCTGCATAGTATTCCATGGTGTATGTGTGCCACATTTTCTTTACTCAGTCTATCATTGATGGGCATTTGGGTTGGTTCCAAGTCTTTGCTATCGTGGACAGTGCCACAATAAACATATGTGTGCATGCGTCTTTATAGTAGAATGATTTATAATCCTTTGGGTATATACCCAGTAATGAGATTGCTGAGTCAAATGTTATTTCTGGTTCCAGATCCTTGAGGAATTGCCATACTGTCTTCCACAATGGTTGAACTAATTTACACTCCCACCAACAGCGTAAAAGCATTCCTGTTTCTCCACATCCTCTCCAGCATCTGTTGTTTCCTGACTTTTTAATGATTGCCATTCTAACTGGCGTGAGATGGTATCTCATTGTAAAGTCACAGATATTTTTTTACTTTTGTTCATGTTCCAAAGCCTTTACCTTCTACTTTTTCTTTTGTAGGTAATCATCAAAATTTTTATTATTAGCCAATATGGTGTATAAATAATAATTATTGTAATACTAAGCAATTGTATGTTATGTAAAAATTTCTGTTATATAAATCTATGCATAAATATATGCATATAATATTTGTGTACATATGTAAGTTTGTGGCTGTGAGGTAGTAGCCCAAAGATTTTTTTTTTAAATCCTTAAAGACCTCTGGGGGTGAGGAAGCTAGAGGCAGCTTCCACAGACTTCAGTGTGGTTATTTTAGACCACATCTACCTGTAGGGATTTTGAAATACCCCAATTGTTGAGAACTAGTGTGTATTTTGAGGGCTGTTACTATTCAGAATGTTGTGTGTAAAAACATAATAGAGTCAGAAAAAAGCTGAGATCTGCTGCTGTAATGAGCTCAAACACACCTAATTGTAAGAGTTATACGTTATTTCTCTTCTCACTTGTCTCTTCTTTTTGACTGAATTTAAATTTATTTTATAATGGTTTAGGAGTCTCATCAGCATGAAAAAGACAATTATTTTATTAAATATATTAAATACAGTGCTATGGAGAGTGTAAGCCATCCAAAAATACTGATATTTAGTTTTTATTTGAGCTTTATCTAAGAGACAGAGCAGGAATGCTAGCTTTTAGATTCCCAAATTTTAATTATTCAGGTCCTGTTTATTCTTATTATTAGCAGTTAGAGTTTAGTAGATTTATATTCCAAGTATGTTTAATACGACATGGGTTTTTCCAGTTTGTAATTCAATGCTTGAATTGCAATCTTTAGAATTATATTAACAGTTATGTCTTCCTTCTCTCATAGGCTTACATAAATCTTTCAAAATTTTGGGTTAGCATGTAGAGAAATATTACAACTTAGCATTATAAGGTATTTAATGCAAGCAGTCAGGTAATACCAAGTTAGTCTAGTTATATGGAAGCTAGCTTTTCTTCTTCTACTTGGAGTGATCATCCCTGTTTCTCTCCTATTAGCAGAAAATGAAAAGAATTCACGTATCTTTACCAAGGCTGAACATTATGATGAAATATAAAGTTGAGGGGGACAACTTTGATGGATGAAAAATGTTACCTGATTTTTATTTGTGTTTAGAATATTAATGAAATTAAATATTATTGGCCTCCTCCATTTTATTGTTTGTAACTTGCTTGTTCATGTCCTTGTCCTTGTTTCAGTTTGGGGGTGTGGGTGTTTTTCTAGTCGATTTCATCACAGCTTTGTGTGTAGAAACAAAAGTGATTAACTGTGTGTTTATTATATGCCCACATATTTTTTCCTGCTGTCTAATTTTACTTTGGTTTTATATACATACTCTTAGGATCTTTACTCACCTAATGCTGTATTTTGAACACTTTCCTGTGCCATTTGGTATTTTTTGATAATGTAATTTCAAAGATCTGTTTAGCATTCTGTTTATTAGATTATAAAAATCATTTGTCTTGAACAAAATAAAATTTGAAATTTATTTTGGAATTTCAATCAGTAGATCTGTTCATTGTTACTTTTTTATATTAATAATTTCAACTAACAGTTATTAAACACCTACTAAGAAATAAAATTTAAATAAATTATTTAATCAAAAAGGTTTTTTCATAAAAATTTGAGTTATCAAACAAAATATTTTTATCTTGACAGATAACTTGTAAATAAAGGTTTGCCTAAAACTTTTGGCTTTATAGGCAAATTTTTTAATGTATGCAATTATGATACCTAGGAATATTTGGTTATGCTTTATTTTTAAGAAAGTAGAAGACAGTAAAGGCAAATTATTTGTGAAGTCATTTTAAGTAAAGTTTTTTTCTTTGTAGAAAAAATGTTTAAAGGCTAGAATGTCATTTTAGAAGTTTTTACTTTGTTAAAATTTAGAATTGAAGTACCTAGGTTAGTTATAAGGTTCTTGTTTAGTTACATTTACTGTAAAGTTAAAGCCGGAGAAACTTTATAACTGTTATGACCTTATGAATCTTAATTAAAGGAAAAGATATAGTTTGTAACCACTACCTTAAGTTAAATTATGGTACTCTTAATGTTCCAAAATAATTTTTTAAAAATTAGAGAGCTCTTCTTTCTTCCACAATGACATTTGTTAACAGATTCCCTCTTTGATAATACACAATGTTGGATCATGAAACAGAGTAAACAAACAGGTCATTGTTTAAAATAATGTACACTGTGTTCAAAGGACTGTGAGTTTTTGTTTTGAGTTATATAATTTTCGTTCTAGAATACAGTACATAATGTATTTTAACTTGATATGACACAAAGATGTTTATTTTAGATATATTACGTTTGTGATACTCTTTAGATTACTTTTACAGATTTGTGTATTTTGACCTATGTGTGGTAGAGCAAGTTTTTTTAATTTGACAAAAATTTTTTAATAAGTTTTGAATTTATGTATTTAGAACAAATTTATTATCCTATAGTTATGTGCACATAGACACAAACACAGGAAATCAGTGTTTAAGTAATTGTGTTCTGCTTCCTCTTTCAAGGAAGGGGTTCAAGGGCAGTCTCTGGAGTTCAGGTTGAGGTAAAGAAGCACAAACTTGCAGATTCTCCCTGAATATTCTAAGCCAAAAAAGGCAACATAAGCTAAGTTAGAGGATATGGGATCGACATAGCAACATATGGGATCGATATGGACATGACTGGAAAACTTGTATGTAGGAAGCCAAGTAGGCTGCCCAGGCAGTCAGAAGAACAGAGCAGGTGAAGCTGCACAGCATGCAGTGGTGTGTCTTCTTTTGGGGCCAAGCCTGATGCAGCTTACTATTTGCCAGCACCGTGTCATCTCCATCTGAGTAAATGGCACCACTATCCTATGAGTGATTCAAGTAAAAATGCTGTGAGTCATTGTTAATTCCTTCCTGTCACCTCACTGATTAATCCACTAATATATGACAAGTCTCAAATACTTTGCTTTTTTTCCTGTGCTGTTGCCATCCTCTTAGCCCAAGTTGCAATGATCTCACCTGGATTTCTGTAATGGCTTCCCTGGGTCTACATTTTCCCTCTTTCAATCCATTCTCCAGAGGTACCAGAGAGATTTTTATAAAGAGAAAGCCAGATTCTATCCCTCTCCATATTAATGCTTTCCACTGAATTTTAATTGCATTTGGAATGAAATCTAATTTTCTTACAAAGTTCTTAAAGATCTTCTGTGACTTGCTCCCTGACTACTGATTCTGACCTTATCTCATATCCCCTTCCACCTCTGCTTCTTCCCTTGAGCTCCAGCCACACTGGTCTTTCTGTGTTTTAAGCATGCACGTTCAGTCTTGTGTTTTCTGTTCCTGGTGCTTTGTCTTGCTCCCTCATTTTAAAAATCATTTAGGCCTGAGTTTAAGTGTAGCTTCTTCAGTGAGGTCTTCACTGAGCATATTTTCCAAAGTAGTGTTGTTTTTCAGTTCCCCAATCCCGTTCCTGTTTCATTTATTCACACCTGTTTTATTTCCTTTATTGCATTTGACTATCTGATTAGAATCCATTCATTCATTCAGCAAATACTGTGCACCTAATCTATGCTAGGCATTGTTCTAGGTACTTGGGATTTACCATGAACAACAACAACAACAAAAACCAAAAGAGAATCCCTGTTCTTATATTCACATTAGTAGGATAGAGAGAGAAACAGTACATAATATACATGATATGTAATTAAATTATAAATATGTTAGTATGTTAGAAATAGACAAAATGGATTATGGTAGAGGAGATTGGGAGAACTGGTTGAGGGTTAGAGGCAGCTTACAAATTAAATAGGGTAGTTATGGTAGACCTCTTGAGTTGATTTATTAAAGTAGAGTTCTTTTGTTTCTTTTACTTTTAGCTTCAGCGCCAGTCAGCAAAGTAAATAAATACTGTGCTTCTTCCAACTTTCATTCCACTTGGGGAAAAAAAAATATCATCATGTCAAACATTACGATTGACCCAGATGTCAAACCTGGTGAATATGTCATCAAGAGCCTCTTTGCAGAATTTGCTGTTCAAGCTGAAAAGAAAATTGAAGTTGTAATGGCCGAACCCTTGGTGAGTACAGCTGACCTATAAATCTGAAATATTTTCTTGACTTTTGTATTAACCACTATAATGCAGATTTTTCAAAGGAAATAATATACTTGAAAAAAATATTAAGGGATAGTGGTGATGTAGAAAGCTGCACTGACTTTAGAATCCACTTTGATAAGTTGCTGCAGGTCGCAAAAGAACAAAAAGGAACTTCAACAGTGGGAATTGTGGAAACAAATAAAACATAGGAAATAAAGGAAAATTAGGATATAATGTGAGTTAACACTAAGGTCACAGCCAAACTTATAATAAACAAGAGAACATATTTTACATGTATATTGTGTGAGACATACTTGGAGAATGTGAGAAGCTCTATTTGATTAGAGCCCATGATGAGGAGGAGGGAAGAGAAAGACTGAAAACAAACACATGGGTCAGTTTCTAAAGAGTTGTAAATGCTATTGTGATGGATAATATGGTGGTTGAACAATAGAGAGAGAAGACATTGAGAGCGGAGACTATTTAGTTATTGTACATAGTTCAGGCTGGAATGAAAGGGGTCTTGAACTATGGTGTTAGAAGTAGAAATGGTTGCAGAAGAAAGTAAGAGAAATAACAGAAGTAAAATCAATAGAACTTGACAAGTAACTAAGTAGGGGGCATTTTGAATGAAAGTTAAGGGTTAAAGATGCTCTGGAGTGTTAGTAAAGATGATAATATATTTACTTTGGTAAAGTACACAGGAATATCTTTGGGTAGAAAAGGTGGATAAAATAATTTTTCGTTTGCGTACCTTAAGCTTGAGATACTGATGATCTCACCACATGGAATTAGTTGCTTGATTGGTAGTTGGAAATTCTTTTTGAGAACTCAAGAGATGGTAACTAGAAATACAGATTTTGGTATCATCTATATGAGGGTGTAAATTGAAGCCAAAAGAGCAAATGATGATTTCAAGGGAAAGAAAATATAGAATTATTATTGCCAATGACGTAGAGCAGCAAAGTACAATGAACATTGAGAGAAGTGGTTATTGGATTTGGAAATAAGCAGAAATAAAACAGAACAGTTTTACCTTCTTGATATAATTACAGGAAGTAACTTTGACTCTCTGCCAACTTAAATAGGTGACAGTTTAGGTTACTCTTTGGGCTGGAAGGAAGTGGGTATGTGATGTACTAAGAACACAGTGTAGGTTCGATGTGGGATGTTGGGAATGGAGAGGAAGGCGAAGGATGTTGTAACAGCTGAAACTCACTCCTTACACAACTGAATTAGGGATAGCTATTCACCACCAATTTCAGATTCAGAGGGTTTGTGACGGCGCACTGAGGAGTTAGGCACAATAATATATTGGCTTTAGAACCTGTGTGCTTACTCAGCCTGTTATAGTTCCTTAGAAGGATGAGAGAGGAAAACAACAGAAGGGAGGACAGGGCAGGAAGAAAGTTGAAGGAAGTATTGTCAATGCTCTTATTTTCTTAGTGAAGTAGCCTTGAAATTGCTGTGAAGGTGAGTTTCTTCTCAATGATTAAGTAGAGAAAACTACTCTGAGGAAAGCATCTATGAAATAATATGTTCCGGGATCTGATACATAATAATAGCCAAATGTATATTTCAAAACTGTGCAGATGTTTATATTCAGTTTAAATCATCCCATGATTGCTTTCCACATAGCAAATTGATTTTTATACTAATGTATATATATTTTTTGTGTATATTGTATAATGTATATATAGTATATATATAGACAGCATATATATTATTAATATAAAGTTCTGTTTTAGAAGTAAGGATTACAAAAGCCTATAGCATAAGTTCATGATTATAAGATTTGATTATAGATATGCTTAAACTACAAAATGTTAGTTTTCTTTTTCAATGGTCTCTGAATTACATGATAAATTACTACACTAGTCTACTTAAACAGCATACAGTAAGGGAACAACTCTAAACAAATTGAAGAATTTATTATGGAAAATGTCAAACATATATAAAACTAAAGATTATGGTATAATGAACACTTAGGACCCATCACCTGGCCTCAGCCATTTTCAAGTCACACAGCACATTTTAAAAACACTTTATTTTATAAAATGTTTTATAGTAGTATCATGTGATACAGTCCTACCAGTTCTCAATTTTTATATATATATTTATATATTTGAGATTTTGTGTGCGCATATATATATATATATATATATATATATATATATATATTTTTTTTTTTTTTTTTTTTTTTTTTTTTTTTTTTTTGGAGAGACAGGGTCTTGCTGTGTCTCCCAGGCTGGAGTTCAGTGGCGCAATTTTGGCTCACTGCAACCTTCACCTCCCAGGTTCAGGCAATCCTCCCACCCCAATCTCCTGAGTAGCTGAGACTACAGGCATGCGCCACCACACCTGGCTAATTTTTGTGTTTTTGTAGAGATGAGATCTCACCCAAGCTGGTCTCAAACTCCTGGGCTCAAGTGATTCACCTGCCTTGGTCTCCCAAAGTCCTGGGATTATAGACCCACCGCCTCTGGCCATATTATATATTCTCATTCCAAACTTCCCATATATTCCCTCTAACTTAGTCATCCCCCCCTAAGCTAAATGAATATGTATTTTACTGTAATAATTTGTACATACTTCTAGATTATGATGATATCACGTTATAGTTAATTGCTTACATGTTTATCTTCTCCGATGTGAGTTACTCGATACCAGGAACCAGGTCTCTCTCATCTCTGTATCTGTGGCACTGCTTGTGGTGGTGGGTACTCAGTAGAGGGTTTTTGTTAAATATTAGTATTTTAATGAATGTAGCCTTAAGAAGTATTGCTGTGGTGTGTGCCTTTTGTTTTTCTAATAATAATAATAATAATAATGTTTTCATTCTAGCCAGAGCTTCCGATAGTTCTTTCAGAATAGCCTGATGCTATTCATTTATCTTATTAGTTAATTCATTTATTTAATAGTTAATTTTAGAGGCATCTGCTATGTAATCTGAGATTATAAAATTATGATTAATAGTGGTAAGGATTTCATCAGAACGTAGATGTTTCTACTCTGCCATCACAAATAGAAGAGGCATCACTGCTTACTCTTCCTGACACACCAGGAAAACCCCCAAATCACCATCATATTTTACAGATTTTACCCCTTACACTCCTATATACCAAGATAATTTCTTCTTATCTAGAGCAGAGTGCCAGCTTTGTTTTTATTTATGTCCAAGTCTGGGTAAGTTGGGAATCCATAGCTTCAAGATTAGATAATGAAAATACATTTAATCTAATATTGTCACAGTTTTTACAATATAGCTTCAAATGCTTTTATTGGAATTTCATTTATTTTGAAATTTATTCTGTACCCTTTTAGGTAATAATCATCTAAGATGACTCTCTGGGTTCAGAGTCACTTTAAAGAAAATAGCATCCAGGGCTTGTCAGATACAAGGAGGCTGGCCTTGCTCATGGTCAGTCAGGTAGTAGGTTTCAAAAACACAAATGTGAATGGCTTTTGCTGAAAGAATTTAATCTACCACTAAAATGAGAGAATTGGCTTTTTCATTCTTACATTAGAAACCATAATAAAAGAAGATTAAGGAAGCCAAAAGACTCGAAGATTAGCTGAGTTGGATTTTTAGCCACAATTTCATTTTCATTTTAGAAGGAAGATTCAAGAAGGGCAATTGGTGATTGAAATGGCAACTTGCAGGCTATGCAATCCAATACCTTAGGTCCTTTTTTCCTAAAAGGAGATGGATCAATCCTCGGTAATAACCTAGGTATATCCAAGTTTATCTGTTAATCTTTTAGATTGCTGGGGACTAGAAAAGAAGATAGAAGAAAATCCATTTACCTATCTTCTTCTGATTTAGACCTTATGTTTTGATTTAGGCCCAGCATTTTAAAAACTCTAAAATTTTCACTATTTTTTTTGAGAGTATAAATATATGTATGTGTCTTAAAGGGTTTCTTCTCCCTGTATGGTCAGTTTCTTCCAAACTGCATTTTTCTGCTGGTTTTACCTTCTCCTCACATGTTTATTTTAACTTGTTATATTTTAAGAATGAAACACAGTTGATTGGAAGTCCAGTGTACACAGAGGAGCCTTTTTGACTGTGATCTTCTGTGTATTACTGTCAATGGACCATCAGTGTCAGATCTTTTTTGGGGGACTTGTCAGAGTCCCCAAAGAAGGTTCCTACAGTACTCTGAATGGGAGAGTTTAGGCTTTAGCTGCAAGCATTCTGGGGAACTAGACTCAGAAGATAACTGGGGTTTTTGATATTTGGTTTATATATTCTTGCTTAACCTCCCTATCTTCAGTATGGTACCTCTTCAACCATTGTATGCCCCAGTCAGCATCATTGTATTTTGCCCTTTCCTAAGAAAGGCAATGCCTCTGAAGGTAAAGTGAAAGGGAGGGTCTAAATCTTTCTTAAACAAGCTTTTTAAAACAATCTTTCAATCAGCCCTCTTATTTTTATCCTCACCTTTAGCCATACTTTCAGAGTACCCAAGTTCTCCAATTCCTGAGCCTTCTGGGAAGTTCTAAAGCATCAGTTGGGTTATCTTTCCTTTACTCTCTGTGGGTCAAGCTCACTCACTTCCCTCTGGTTGTGCCTCAAGTGTCATCTTCTCTATGATCATGTTATCTGAAATTTCAGTCCCCATTCCAACTTCCTGTCCTAAATCTGTCTGACATAATATACACTTCTTTACTCTCTAATTAGACTGTTAACTCTGTAAGAGAGCGAGTTGTTTTCCGTTTTGTTATGGCTGTATCTCCAGAACCTAGAACAATGTCTGGCATACTGTGAACCCAGTAAATAATTTGGACAAATGAGTGAATGACTGACTGAATGAACAGACTGCCGACTTTCCCCTTTGCTTACTCAGGAGTCACCGTTGTTTGGTGAGATAATTAGTTATGGTCTTCATCTGCTTTTCACCTCCTCTCCCATCCTTTTTGTTCTTTTGTTTTAGCCCTTATAAAAATTATTTCACTGTTCTGTTTTAGGATAGAAGGTTGGCTATACAAGTGTTCAACCTGCCATCTCCAATTACAGATTACTGAAATGTTTCAGTGTCATTGTTACGGTTTCAAAATTTTTCCAAAAATTCTCTTGCTTTCTCTGAAGCTACATATTGCTGTTGGTATCCTACATATGCACTATATGTAGAATTAAATTATAAAATATAGGATTGTGAGCCTTGGAATTATTATTAACTTTTTATAGTATTATGAAAATAACACTATAATACTGTATAATATTATAAAGTATTATAATATTTTATAATTATAATATTACTATAACTTTTATTACTATGAAAATAAGACTATAAAAAGTAGAAATAGTTTTAAAGATTATATAATAAAAACATCTAATCACTATCAACAGTTTTTAGTCTACCAGTTTTTCATGTCTATTACTTATCCATCTATGTAGCACCTGCCACCTTTAAAAACTTTTTATTCTTTCAATTTAAAAAATTTTAATCTTAAAAATAATTGACGTATAATAATTGCAGATCTCATGGGAGTACATAGGGATGTGGTAATACATATGGTGATCAGACCAGGCTAATTAGCATATCCATCATCTCAAGTGTTTGTCATTTTGTTTATGTTGGGGCATTCAATATCCTCCTTCTATTATGGCTATTTGAAACTATATAATGTATTATTGTTACTATAGTCATCCTGCAGTGGTATAGAACACTAGAAATTATTCCCCCCACTCTAGTCGTAATTTTGTATTCTTTAACAAATCTCTCTGTGCCTCTCTTTCCCCTACCCCTCCCAGCCTCTCGTATTCTTTGTTCTATTTTTTTTACTTATATGAAATCACCTTTAAACACACACACACACACACACACACACACACACGCAAATGAAGGGGAGATATATATAAAATACACATTTTTTCTGTACCCAGATATTTTTATTTTAACAATCTAAATTGGAGATTATTATGTATCAGCCAATATAAATTAATCTCATTCTTTCTAACAGTCGAATATTACATATATAGTTTTAAATCAGTCTCTATTGATAGGCAGTTTTGGCCTTACCCTAGTTTGAGGCTGCTTTAAAGAAATGCTACAGGACATATTGCTGTACACACATCTTTGCATTCATTTATGTGTTAGTGTAAAGAATAATTTTACTTTTTAGTTGTTTGTGATGAGTTACATAGACAATAAATGTTTTTTAATAGTTTGTCTTTTAAAAAATACTAATATATTGAGGCCGGGCATGGTGGCTCACGCCTGTAACCCCAGCACTTTGGGAGGCTGAGGCGCATGGATCACCTGAGGTCAGGCATTCGAGACCAGCCTGGCCAACATGGTGAAACCCCATCTCTACTAAAAATACAAAAACTAGCTGGACGTGGTAGTAGGCGCCTGTAATCCCAGCTGCTGGGGAGGTGAGGCAGAAGAATCACTTAAACCCAGGAAGCAGAGGTTGCAGTAAGCTGAGATCATGCCATTGCACTCCAGTCTGGGTGACAGTTTTTTTATATAAAAAAACTTACATATTGAAACACAGTACATCTACTTGAGCAAGCATTAGGGCATCCTCAACTACACTATAATGAACCTAAGAAGTTAATACAAAGTCCTTGATTAGTAATTTATATTTAGTGTAGTATATCTTTTCATGTTTTCTGTTTTTCTGTTTTTATTTATTTATTTTTTTGGATAACGTATCCTTTTGCATTCAAAAATCACTTCTGAGTTCTTATGGAAAAAACAACCCACCCCCATTTTCCGCTTCAGGAAAAGCTCTGTGAGGATGTCAAATCTTCAGAAATCTTTCAGGAAGTATGGATTTGTTATGAAACAAATAAATGTTAAACATAAGGCAACTGTGTGTTTCTGAAAAGTTTATCACTCTCTCTTATTCTTCTAGTTGGCTATAACTGTGTTGAATAAATATGCTACATGAGTAAAAAACTACTTGAATCAGCAGTCCTCAAAATGTTAAAGCTCTTTAGACTTAATATTTACAGTGAAAAGGGGGGATCAAATAAGTCAAATAAGTTAGAAAGAAACCTCTTACTGTATTCCCCACCCCCAGTCTTAGACACATAGTTCACATTAGGACAGTAAAATCCATTTTTAAAAAAGCTAAGATTTTTCAATATAGTCACTTTTAGAAACAGTGTTCTACAGGACTTATTATGAGACATACTGACTGTTTCACTGAAGTGTTAGAGCTAGTTAATTGAACATATATTAGTATATTATTGTACAGAATCCTCATGTTGCATGTGAATGGTGTGCAGTTTGATTTTAGAGATAAATGTCTTGTCCTACAAGATAATTGACCAAATATGCTTAACCCCAGAGACCCGAGTACTAAAGACGTTCCCCAAATCTCACCTTATTAAGAAAGTAAAGGTAATGTGGCTTCAGATGTAATCAAACATTATTCTCTTAAGTTAGATTGGGAATTTTTATATTTCAGTGGTAAATACATTTGTGATCGTGTTTTCATAAAGATTAATCACACATGAGAGAAAAAAATTGGGACTACTGGATAGAGAAGCTTCATAAATCTCTATATATTTCTTGTTTATTTCAGAGAATGACTTTTTCTGTGATATGTATTTAATGTAAATTTCAATTAAAATACATGATATAGACAGTTTAGAAAATCATCCTGAAATTCTCAACAGAAAAACCAATTATCATGTACTTATAAACATAATCACAAACATCTCTTATGAATATATATAGTAAGTTAGGGGCAGCCAGCAAGGCAAGTAGGTAGAAAGACTGACAAAAAGAATCACATCATACATGCTATTTTAAGTTAAACTAATTGTAATGGTTTGATTAATTTGATTAATTATATTAGCTTATCAAATAGCCGATATAATTTGATTAATTATATTGGTTAATTTTGTTTAACAGAACAAAAAACTAAAATGAAAATGATTTAATTTTTACATTCAGATAATGTTTTTGTTACAGAGCGAATAGTTCTTAAGATATCTTTAAACTTAAATATAAACATATGCATACGTATACACATGTATACACATATACACACACACACACATAGAGAGAGAGAGGTTTATTGACAAACAGATTTGACAATGAGGAAATTAAACCACCTCACTTCTCCATACCTCCTGGTTTTTGTTGAGGTATATTGTTATTTTAATGTTTTAAAACACTTTTATTCTGTAACCATAACTTTCGTGGCTATATTGTATTCTATAATTAAATGGATTTGCTGGATACCACCAAGTACTAGAAACCCCAGCAGCAACCCTTGAGTTTAAGGATGAGAACATGTCATCTGTGTTCTTTGTAGAAAACTCAGAAAATGAAAATGAAGTTAATAATGGTATAATGAAAAAATGACTTATAATTGTGCTTTACATATTAATGTATGATATATATATTCCTAGAGTTTTAAATTTATATGTATTAACTACCATATATACATACTTTCTTTCCTTTTATCTGTTATTCTCTAATTTAACTCATATATTGAGAACATTTTGCTCAATCTATAAATTTATGTCTACCTGTTACTTAACTGACTACACAATATTCTAATACAGTTGTCCTTTGGTATCCATGGGGGATTGTGCCAAGACCTCCCTTGGATATCAAAATTCATGAATGGTCAAGTCCCTTATATAACATGGCGTGGTATTTGCATATAACCTATGCACATCCTCCTGTATACTTTAAATCATCTCTGGATTGCTTGTAAGATATAATGCAATGTAAATGCTATAGAAATAGTTGCTATACTATATTGTTTAGGGAATAATGACACAAGTCTGTACATGTTCAGTACAGATGCAGTTTTATTTTATTTTTTACTGCTTTTGATCCAAGGTTGGTTGAATCCATGAATGCATAACTCAAGGATATGGAAGGCCAACTGCATAAGAATATACCATGACTTACTGACCCAAAGTTTTATTGTTGTACATTGACGTTGCTTCACATTTTTTCCATTGATAGTGAATGTCCTTCTATACACCTCTTTGCAAATGTGTATACATTTTTTCCCTGGGACATATTATTTTCTTGGGTCAAAGAGGAGATTAAATTAGAAATTATGTTTGTATTGTTCAGGGTTCTCCAGAGAAATGGAACCAATAGGGTGTGTGTTTGTATGTATGTAGAAAGAGAGATTGATTTATTATAGATAACAAGGAATTGGCTCATATGATTTCAGAGGCTCAGAAGTCCCAAAATCTGCAGTCAGAAAGCAGGGGACCCAAGAGAAACAATGGTGGAGTTCCAGTCTGAATTTGAAGGCTTGAGAACCAGGAGAGCCCATGGTATAAGTTCTAGTCTGAAAGCCAGCACATTCGAAACCCAAGAAGAACCGATGTTTCACTTTGAATCTGTAGGCAGAGAAAGACCGATGTCCTAGCTCAAGTCGGTCAGGCAGGAGGAGTTCCCTCTTACTTATGGGAAGGTCACCTCTTTTGTTCTGTTCAGGCCTTCAGCTGACTGGATGAAACCTACCCACATAGGGGAAGGCAATCTGCTTTACTCAGGCTCCTGATTCACATGTTAATCTCATCCACAGATACTCTCACAGACACATCCAGAATAATGTTTAATCAAATATCTGGGAACCCCATGGCCCAGTCCAGTTGACATGTAAAGTTAACATTACAATATCCAGTGTCCATCTTAACTTTTGTTTGTCCAAGATTTTCTTTACTCCCACTTTCTGTCAACCCATTGCAAGATAGCATCATAGTCCATTTCTTCAGTCTCCTGTTTTCTACTGGGGGAAGCCTCTTTATGTACCAATGGTGATCTTTCTATACTAATTTTAGACAGTGATCTAGACTGACCCCTTTTGGGCATTTCTTCATACAAGCAAGAATGAGTACATATGCAGATGAGAGATGGTAGAGAGACTTTAGTATCTATTATGCCCCCTGGACTCAGTGGTTGAAGGATAGAGGGTCTTAGCTTTCCACAGTGAGTCCCACCACGTCTTCTGTGTTTTGTAGATATTACTTGCCCATAGAAGGAACTCAATATTTGTTTGTTCAGTAAAAAAATCAGCAGATGGAAAGTTAAAAAAAATATTCTGGTATGTGATAGGAGAGATTGTTCTGTGCTGAAGCAAGATATACCACTAAATCAGAACCCTCTCCTGATATCAGTTAAATTAATAAGAAGCAGTCATACTGGAAGGTTACCTCCTGAAAGTATTGTACTGGCAATATACTGTTTATTTTTAATGAAATACTCTTTCTTCTTGGCTTCTGTGATACCAAGCAAGTTCAACTGGCACAGAAGTTTATGCAGTAACAACTTTCCATCCTCAGGCCCCAACTTTTACCTCTTTTTCTAACTATCAAATTTCTCTCCCCACTGGTAAACACATGGTTCTTTTACATATACATACAGAATATAGTTTTACATACATATAAAAGGTATTTTATATTACTAGCCAATGTAAGTGAATGTGTATATACAATATATTATACCCAAAGTATTTCTTTGTTTTTTTTTAACTTATATTTCTCTTACGAGTGAGGTTAAGTATTGAACAGATATTTAAAAGCTATAAGCTTTTAAACAGAATAGGCATATTGCTGATACCAGTATTTGACAACCGCCTTGTTTTTTCAGATAAGAAAACTGAAGCACAGAGACCATAAGGCATCAGCCTATGGTCATTCACTTCGTGGTAGTCAGGTCGGAGGTCACACCAAGGCCCTCTGGCTACTGATAATCTCTGTACTAGGCTGCTTTTCAGTAAACTCTTGAATGAATGAAAGAAAGAACACATACTGTTGACTTTTGAACTTGAATCTAAACAAAACCTATGTTGAACTTTAAGTCTGTAATCTAAGAACTATCAAACTTAAACTTGTTACAAAAGGAGATGATGAGCACAACCACTTTCTTTGGTATGGAGAGTATCACAGTGAGAGCCTTGCCTCTGGAGCCACACTTAAATTAACCATGTGACCTTGGGCAAAGAGGAGGCTTATCTTTCTTTAAAACAATCTAGTAACAAGTGAAAACGAGCAAAACCAAACGCACAAATCTAAACTGTTTATTATGTAGAAGATTTCTAATGTTTTATATTTGTGCTTTATTTTTATTTTTAATGTTTGTTTTTTTTAATCATAGGAGAAGCTATTGTCCAGATCTCTTCAGAGGGGTGAAGATCTTCAGTTTGATCAGGTATGACAATTTTGGGAGAATTTTTTTTTCCCCTGGAAATAGTGTTCATCCTAATAGTCTGGCCCAAATGTATTCAATATTAAGGAATTCCTTAATTTCTATATATCCTTGTATGCTTAATTCATTCTAGATTTGATAGTTTTTTTAAATAAGTAGTATAATGAGCTGTGATTAGTTTCACTTCATTTAGCATTTTACAGCTTTTCATTGTTAATCTCTTTAATGTACCTTTCACATTTTTCATTTTCAGTTACATCCCTCAGTCTTTCCTTCTGTATCAATTGCCACACTTTTTACATAATAATATTTTACCTTTTAACATTTATTTATTTTTCTGTGGGGCTCTCAATCTGCATGTAGAATGCCGGTGTCTAACAACTCTTGTGCTGATCTTCTAATGCTAATTCTTCCTCTTGCTTGGATTAAATGTTGGATCAATTTTGTTATAAGTATTTAAATATATGGTGGTTATTTTTAAAAACCAGTAATTTAAATTAGCTTTCTTTACTATCTAGTACTCCTGGGACACTTTACCCAAAATTATATATCTCAGAAATAGAGTTTAATGTTCATATCAGGCTAATTGACTAAATAAAGAAGAGTGGTTAGAATTACTTAGTGGAGACTTACCAAAATACTGTGTTCCTGGATCCACTCCAGTTCTGCCAAAGCAGAATCACTGAGGGTGGTGCTCTGGCCCCTGTATGTACAACAGCTTCCTAGGTGATTCTGATACATACATTTAGTAAATAGCCACTGGTCTAAGAAGAAACCATAAATAGGGCAGTAAGACCTCTGTTACAATAAGACTATAATAAGATCACCTTATACAGTGCTTTTCAAGTCTCATGCCACTACAAAAGTTATTTAGATTATTCACATCTTGAATCCATGTCACTAATCAATCCATAATCAGGATTTGAAATCTGATTAAACAACATTTTAAGGACAATTTCCATTTTTATTGTAAATGATTAATAAACTATAAATGATTGTGCCTCATAGCTTGATTTTTTTTTGTAAGGGTGCTCACAATAAAAAGCTCTGTGTGGTATAAACTGTTTTGTATTTATTTACAATAGTTGATGGGTTTTTATTGTTCCTTCTTTAGATATTGCAAGGGATTTCTTCTGAGTGATAGTGTTCATTGTTAATGAAATATAGGTTTTTTAAAAGTATGGTTAAATAAAATTAGAACCTTGTTTATACCTTAGTTTTCTGTATTAGAAACTATTTACCTGTCAAATTATGATAATGTACAATAAAAGGATTATTAAAGGAGAGTACAAGTAATGAAAATGAGAACAGCCAACAGAATCAAATAAACTGTTTCATTCTTTTTTCTGGATGAAGTTTTATGCAGAATATGAAATAACAGGAAAATTAAATGTTCAATTTACAGAGGTATCAATTTATCTTCTTCAATAACTAACTCCTGCTCTAGTCATGGAACTAAAAGAGACCTTGAATATCCTGCAACCCATACTTTTTAAAATAAGTTAACAAAGTGAAGCATATTTAATTATATACTGATTTCAGAATATTAATTTTATGAGAAATGGGTTGAATCACATACAGAAATTTTTGTGAAGAGAGAAAATTGTTCTTGGGATCCTCAAGGTAAAGAGTGACCTTAGGGACTGCTGATGGTAGCCTGTGCAGACAAGTTGGATTCATTCATGAAAAGAATCTGTGATGTTTACCTAGAATTCAGATCATTTCAAGAATGCCCCAAATTTAGTAACATTTGTTCATCACAGTACACTTATCATTTATGTTGTCCTTTTATGTAGTCTAAGCCTTACACACTGTTTACATGTTTCTAACATGCTAATTTGCAGATAGCAGAGTAATTATAATTCTCCTCTTTGTCATAGCATAGTAAATTGGAGCTTTCCCCACAGTTCTTACATAATGTAGTCTTTGTTTCTGTCTTTTCATCCATGTAGTGGCAATATTTTAGAATCATTTGTTCACATGAACACATAGGAGTTGCCAGGGCAGAAAGTACATGTTATTTGTAATGCTTCCCCCAAAGATATCTGTGTATTTAATCAGGGATGTTACTAATGGGCATGTTTTTACATGTGCGAGTGGCATATGGAGGCAGGGAAAAGGTTGAAAGCCATTGAGCTAAACCACGTGGATTTGGATAAAGTTTAATAGTGGGTGAAACTTAGCCAACTTTATTACTTGGCTAAACCCTTGACCCTTGCTTTAATTTTAAAGCACATTTATTGCATTGAGTTACTGTGTTTATTCATTTCTAAATGATAGCTAATAGAACTTAAGAGTGTGGTACATTCAGTGTTACAATTTATTTTCTGGTAATATCTTGTGTTTTCAGTTGATAAGCTCTATGAGCTCAGTAGCAGAGCACTGTCTCCCTTCCTTACTTCGCACCTTGTTTGACTGGTACAGACGCCAAAATGGAACGGAAGATGAATCTTATGAATATAGGCCTCGGTCTAGCACAAAGTCTAAGGGGTAAGTGCTTTATTTTACACTGTTTCACCTGGAATTAACACACTTCCAATGAAGGGGTGATATTATCAACTGAAGGTTGTTATTGTTTGATTCCTAAGCAAACTGCGTTGATTACTTTTGTTACAAAGATGGTAGTAAGGGAGAAGGATAGTTCACACATAAACTGTAAATCAAGAGAAGGTACCAGTTAAACTAGATGTAGCCCTACAGTACTCATACTGGGTATCATGCAAAAATTAGTAATACAAAAACCTATTTAGGAGTGCCATTTCAGCAGTTCAGTGAGGAGCTTTTAATAGTCATAAAGTTAAGAAAATATTCAAAGAAGTTCCTGTTCATATGGTTTATGAAGGGAGGCAATTATTGTAATACAGGAAGACTGCCAAAACCCTGTGTTATAATAGTACTATGATACTGTTCTTGGAGCTCAATTCCTAGAACTTGTTTTCTTCTCCTTCAAATTTCCCAGGATGATCTTGTCATGCATGTAAGAGCCACGTGTGTTCAGGTGATTGTCCATGGTTTAGTGTTGGACTTCAGTAGATGCCACTTGTGATTTTTCAACTTAAATTTGTGAGAAGGATACCTTGTACTGTATTTTCATGTTGAAAAGTTAATACTTTTGTTTCAGTTCTTAACAAAATACTAGTAATCAAATATGGAACAATGCTACATTTTCTAAATGAAATTTAAAATACTTTTCTTCTTCTTACTAATTCTTTTAGGTTAAGTTTAAATGCTAACAGATATAATAGTGAACTCTGAATAAACACCCCGTATATAAAAAGGGAAAGAACATAAAAACATGTTTTTGCATATGTTGGATTATTAAAAAGCTTCAGACCAGGCACTGTGACTTATGCTTGTAATCTGCTTTAGGAGGCTCAGGCAGGAGGATCACTTGAACCCAGGAATTTGAGACCAGTCTGGGCAATATAGGGAGATCCCTTCTCTAGAAAAAATAAAATTAGCTGGGCATGGTGGCGCTTGCCTGTAGTCTAGCTACTTGGGGTGGGAGGATCACATGAACCCAGGAGGTTGAAGCTGCGGTGGGCCATGTTTGCAGCATTGCACTCCAGCCTGGGTGACAGAACGAGACCCTGTCTCAAACCAAAAAGACAAAAATAAAAAACAAAAAGCTTCATATTAACAATTGCTGTAGCACATTTTACATAGTAGGAAAACAGTAAGCGACATGAGCTACTAACTAACAGGTATTTTTAAAGTCATAATCTTAATGCAGTACTAATTTTGGATTCTTGTTTCAGGGATGAACAGCAACGTGAAAGAGATTATCTTCTTGAAAGGAGGGACTTAGCAGTAGACTTCATTTTTTGTTTAGTTTTAGTTGAAGTTCTAAAGCAGGTAAGCTCTTTTATTTCTGCAAAGTCTGTATTCCTTATTCTTTGCTTACTGTGCCTTCGTGTTTCAGTTACTTTAAGATGCTGTGTCTAGAATTTTAGCCCACATAAATTAAATTCCTGTAATTTCATTATACTTCTTTCAGTTGCCTGGGGCTTTCCTGCCCTGTACCTATCTGTTATCTCCTCTATTTTTTACCTTTGTATGCTTATCCAAGATATAAAATCTTGTTAGCAAAATGGAGCTGAATGGAAATTGTGTTAATATTGACCTTTAGCTGTAAATGTAGTTTGCCTGCCATTCAGCTACTTCAGTCCCTTATTCCACTTTATTTCTCCTCTAAGCCCCCAAGCCTGCATTCCAACATGTAATAATTGTGCACTTTTAGTAGAGGCATGGGGTGATTTGATAAGGGTACTGAATTGTCATGTGCAAATGTTTTTCAGTCAAGTGAGAATACTTCAGATAATAAGTTAGGAATGTTTATTCATTCAATGAGTATTAGAATGCCTACTGTGTGCTGGCACTGTTTTAGGCAATAAACTCATGAGCTTGCACTTGAATGGGATAGATACACAGTAAAGATATGAATATATAATATAGTGTCAGGTATAGTCTTAATATTTTTATTACTCCAGATCAGTATAAATGCCTGTGCTGAATTTGAAAGCTTTTTTTTTTTTTTTTTTTAAAGATCATGGTCTTTAAAGTTATATCATTCAAGGATGATCCATGTATTTCCAGGCACGAACATTGTATTCTTTTGAAACAAGTTAGGAAGCCTAAAGGTCAGAGTCATATTTTGGATATGACACATTTGGACAGGGAGTTTTGTTTTTGTTACATAGAAAGGAATATGTGACAAACAGCAAATACAAGATATAAAATTAATTGACAGTCTGTTTTTCTCATAGTATAAAAGTACTTGAATTATATAATCAGTTTTATTTAGCTTTTATTTTTACAAGGAATATGAAAAGACAGTTCTTTGGTACTCTGAAATCTGCAAATAAACATAATTTTAAATATGTAAAACAGAAGAGTTAATTAAAGGTTAAATCACTTTAATATATGCATTTCATAAACGTTTTTTGGTAGAGGTAGGAAAGAAATCTCCTCTGGGAGTTGTGCTAACAAGCCAAATTTGACTTCTGTGATCTCTTGGTTTAACTGAGATACTAAGACCTTAAGGCAGCAGTCACTAGGATAGGAAGAGCTAAGGACTGGATATGGCCACAGCCCAGCAATGGACTCTGACTACTGCTCATTGTGATTTATCCCTGGTGTATCTTGTGTGCTAAATGTATTTCATTTAAGTGGATTGGTAACCAGTATTTGTACTTTTTTGCTTAAACAGTATAGGGTTTCTTCCTCCAGCCAGAGAAATGGCAGACTCCCTACATTAGCATTCAGGAACCCCAGTGACCTGGCCCCATTGTGCCTTCCTCCTTCGTTCATTTCCCATGGCATCCTTTTCTTAGATGTCAGTCTCGCTCCTCATCCTAAAGTTGCCCAATTGCACTGGCTTCAGAACTACAATTCACAGGCAACCCTGTGGAGGCATTTTTCCCATCTCTTCCCCCTCATCCTCCCTGTCCTCTTCCCCTCCTTGTTGCCTTTGTAGCCCTCCTCCTCCTCTTTTAACACAGTCCAGATAGGTCTTCATGTAGGGGAAAAAAAAGAAAAAAAAAGACCTATAAACATAACACTTTTTTTAGTAGTGGGGACCCCATCTCTACAAAATATAAAAAAATTAAAAAATTATCTGGGTGTGGTGGTATGTGCCTGTAGGCATAGCTACTCTGGAGGCTGAGGCAGGAGGATCACCTGAGCCTAGGGATTTGAGGTTACAGTTAGCTATGACTGCACCACTGTACTCCAGCCTGGGTGACAGTGCAAGACCCTGTCTCTTTAAAAAAAAAAAAAAAATCTTTTTTTTTTTCTTTGGTGGACTCATTGTTCACATTCACTGCACTGCACAAAATCATTTCTGACCCATGGTTCACATGGACTGAAAGTGAAAAAGAAATACAGTGGCCTTGATAGCTAATCTTTGTCTTTGGATCTGTCACCATATTATTCCAACCTATAGTATCCTTTCTACTTACTTCTTCCCCTCTGTTACTATTATCCCCATACGCTAATTTAAATGCACTCATCAAAAAATATATACATTTATATGTATCTCACCAAGAACATAGATACACTTTATTCATCTAAAATCCTATGTAGGGATTATTCCCGCTGGTAAAAGGCAAGTCTTTGTAGCTTCTCTAATAAAACTAGAGAAAACGATGTAAAAATCAATAGAGCTTGCTGAAATATCACCACTAACTAACCCAATTTTCTTCTGTCAGAATAACATGAGGTTTAATAGATCCAGAGAGTAAACAATGTAATATATCTACAATTTAATAGGACTTTTACTTTTGCCCCATATAATACACCTATATTAAAATGTGATTCAGGTTTATTGTGATGAGGCACACAGTCTACAGAGGATTGAAGTGTTGATAAATGGTTGTTTCAGTCTTGACGAGTAAAATATTCCTTATAGGTTAGACTTTGACCTCATGTATTAGAAATTATTTGTATCTTGAATAATTTGTTTTGTCTGTAATAATCACACGTTTGGAACTCTTCAAAATGTATGAAGGACTCTATCTCTTTTGTGCCAACTGATCATTGTAATAAACCCTGGGAGATGGCCATGGCAAGTACTATTAATATGCCAGCTCTCTTGCTTGCTTTGTAACTTTGGGCAAGTTATTATCCCTGACTCTTCCTTCCTCTATAAAAATGTGTGATATCATTTTTGTAGAATCATAAGAATTAAATATAATAACGCCTAATGCATGGAAAGTCCTCAATACATATTATCTATTATTTTCACTTTACAGGTGAAGAAATGTTCTTAATTGTAGTGATTTGCTGAAGATTATAAAGCAAATTCATTGATTTTACTCCAAATTTTCTCTTTAATGATAAAAATAAACTTAATTCTCATTGGTAAAATATGTGATACATTAGGTGAAATGGCCAGTATTTTTTTTTTTATTATTATACTTTAAGTGCTGGGGTACATGTGCAGCACATGCAGGTTTTTTACATAGGTATACAGGTGCCATGATGGTTTGCTGCACCCATCAACCCATCAGCTACATTAGGTATTTCTCCTAATGCCGTCCCTCCCCTAGCTCCCCACCCGCCGAGAGGCCCCAGTGTGTGATGTTCCTTCCCCTCCCTGTGTCCATGTGTTCTCATTGTTCAACTCCCGTTTATGAGTGAGAATTTGCAGTGTTTGGTTTTCTGTTCTTGTGTTAGTTTGCTGAGAATGATGATTTCCAGCTTCATCCATGTCCCTGCAAAGGACATGAACTCATCCTTTTTTATGGCTGCAGAGTATTCCATGGTGTATATGTGCCACATTTTCTTTCTCCAGTTTATCATTGATGGGCTTTTGGGTTGGTTCCAAGTCTTTGCTATTGTGAATAGTGGAAATGGCCAGTATTTTATAAAATTGAATGAAACTTTTCATTGTAACAAGTTAGCCGAAGAGCTAATGTAAATATGATGAAATTAAGTAGTGGGATTCACCTTGGAAACAAAATTAATTCCAGATAATAGAGGACTAATTTTGCTTTTCTAAAAAAGTCATTAGAATAAATTTGGGGTAATGCCCAACTAAAATAGTATGTTTGTACCAAAGGGCTTAGATCCATGATAAAAGCATGTTTAAACAGCAATATCACATTTATAAAGTTTGAAGCAATACTCTTTTTAATATTGAATTTTAGTCATATGTTCATTCTTTAAAACAAACAAGAAGTTGAGAAACCTAGTTTGTGAGCCATTTCAAGCTCTTGGCTTGGTTTTATTCATATTATTGTGAAGTATCAGAAGGTGGTGATATCTTTTATGTATACGGAGTAGATTATTTGCATTTTCAGACTTAATAGCATTTTAGATATTGATGAGCAGTCCCAAAGGTCCACATGGGAGGTGACTTGTCATTCTGCTAATGTGTGATGTTTACACTCCTTGGTGCTGAGAATTGGTCATTTAGCTAATGATTGGGCTAGTCCAACTTCACACTATCTTAAGCTAGTCTTTTGTTCTTTACTTTCATAATGTGATAAAAGCATTAAACTGGCCGGGCGCGGTGGCTCACGCCTGTAATCCTAGCACTTTGTGAGGCCGAGACGGGTGGATCACGAGGTCAGGAGATCGAGACCATCTTGGCTAACACGGTGAAACCCCGTTTCTACTAAAAATACAAAAAATTAGCCGGGCGTGTTGGCGGGCGCCTGTAGTCCCAGCTACTTGGGAGGCTGAGGCAGGAGAATGGTATGAACCTGGGAGGCGGAGCTTGCAGTGAGCCGAGATCGCGCCACTGCACTCCAACCTGGGAGACACAGTGAGACTCCGTCTCAAAAAAAAAAAAAAAAAAAAAAAAAAAAAGCATTAAACTTTTGGCAGTGGTAGTGGAAATAGCCTTGGAATAAACCTGAGTATTTGTTATTATAGTTTCTCTTTTTTTTTTTTTTTTTTTTTTGAGATGGAGTCTCACTCTGTTGCCCAGGCTAGTGTGCAATGGTTTGATCTTGGCTCACTGCAACCTCTGCCTCCCTGATTCAAGCAGTTCTCCTGCCTCAGCCTCCCGAGAAGCTGAGATTACAGGTGCACGTCACTAAGCCTGGCTAATTTTTGTATTTTTAGAAGAGATGGGGTTTCACCATGTTGGTCAGGCTAGTCACGAACTCCTGACCTCAGGTGATCCGCTTGCCTTGGCCTCCCAAAGTGCAGGGATTACAGGCGTGTGCCATTGCACCCAGCCAGTTACTATAGTTTCTACTAGATTTTCTTGCATATTGAAGTAGAATTAGAGCCGCTTCTAAAATCACACCGATGGCAAGATCTTAGAAATTCTTGTTGCTAAAGATGGAGATATTACTCCATGAAAGTAGAACGTTTTCTTTGTGACCCGAAATGAGATTCTTTTCTCTTTCTTCTTTGGAAATTCAGTTTGAGAATTTTTTTTTTAAACTACTGAAAATAAGGGGAGAAATAGGGACTTTCAGGATGTCTGTGTTCTGATAATGTTCATTCTTAAAGTAAAATTTTTAGAACTTATGTATTTTTTATCACACCTCGAACTCTGTCTTACCAGAACTTATGTATTTTTAATTAAAATTAAAGATAAGATGTATTTCTTCTTTTACTTCTCTGTGTTTCTCTTTCTTTCCTGGCAGTAATATGATAAGACCAAAGTTTTCTTGCTGATTTGTTTTATTTATTCAAATGCCTTTTTTTTTTTTTTTTGGTTGGAGTCACTCTCTGTCACCCATGCAGGAGTACAGTGGGGCAATTTCAGCTCATTGCAACCTCCACCTCTTGGGTTTAAGCAATTCTCCTGCCTCAGCCTCCCGAGTAGCTGGGATTATAGGCATGTGCTACCACGCCTGGCTAATTTTTATATTTTTAGTAGAGACGAGGTTTCACCATGTTGGCCAGGCTGGTCTGGAACTCCTGACCTCAGATGATCCACCCGCCTCAGCCTCCCAGAGTGCTGGGATTACAGGCGTGAGCCACTGTGCCCAGCCTCAAATGCATTTACATATATCAGAATCTAGGGACATAGTATATTCTAGAGAAGTACACAGCAACCTCTGAACTTCATTTCCCTCATCTGTAAAGTAGGAGGTATACCTGTGTCTTGTAAGACTGTTAACAAGTGTTATAAACATAGAAAATGTTGATGGTGGTAGTAGGGTGGCAACAAAGAGCACATAGCATGGCTGAGTGTTGTCGTTAGCTGTCATTGTTAAACTTCAGTCATAACTGAAGCAAATATAGTAGTCTCCCTTTATTCTCAGGGGATATGTTCCAGCACTCCTAGTTGGTACCTGATATTATGGATAATATCAAACCCTGTATATACAGGTTGAGCATCCCTAATCTGAAATGTCCCCAAATCCAAAACTTTTTGAGCACCAACATGACACTACAAGTGGAAAATTATACACCTGACCTCATGTGATGGGTTGCAGTCAAACACAGTCAAAACTTTGTTTCATGCACAAAATTATTTAACATATTTTATAAAATTACCTTCAAGCTATGTGTATAAGGTGTATATGAAACAAACAACATTTTGTGATTAGATTTGGGTCTTATCCCCAAGATAGTTCATTATGTATATGTGAATATTCCAAAATTTAAGAAAATCAGAAATCCAAAACACTTCTGGTCCCAAGCATTTCAAATAGGGGATACTAAGCCTGTATTATGTTTCTTCATATACATACATACTCATAATAAAGTTTAATTCATAAACCAGGCACAGTAAAAGATTTACAACAATAACTAATAATAAAATAGAACAGTTGGCCGGGTGCGGTGGCTCACGCCTGTAATCCCAGCACTTTGGGAGGCCAAGGCAAGTGGATCACGAGGTCAGGAGATTGAGACCATCTTGGTTAACAGGGTGAAACCCTGTCTCTACTAAAAATACAAAAAAAAAAAAAAAAATTAGCCAGGCATGGTGGCAGGCGCCTGTAGTCCCAGCTACTTGGGAGGCTGAGGCAGGAGAATGGCGTGAACCCAAGAGGTGGAGCTTGCAGTGAGCAGAGATCGTGCCACTGCACTCTATCCAGCCTGGGTGACAGAGCGAGACTGTCTCAAAAATAAATAAATAAAAATAGAACAGTTGTAACAATATACTGTAATAAAACTGTATGCATGTGGTGTCACACACACACACACACACACACACACACGTGCACACACAGTCTTAGTATTTTCAAACCATGGTTGACCTTGGGTAAACCACAGAAAGCAAAACCGTAGATACACAAGAATTACTGTATAGGGGAGGAAAAAACTTTTTGCTCTGCCTTCTTGGATTTAGCGCCTGGGGCTCTACAAACTGAACTGACAAGAGAAAGATTACCAGGGTCAAAAGGTTTATTACGAATGCACATGGATGCCTCGAAGAAAATATGCAAAGATCCAAGAATTAATACACTTTTTTTTTTTCAAAGATTCAGGTACAGACTGGAATATATACCATTTTAACAAAGAGTGATAAGTTGTAGAGTAGTGACAAGACAAAGGAAAAAGGTTTGGGCTTCTAGAAACAATAAAATTGTGGGAAGGTAAATATATGCAGAAAACTAATGGAATGTAATGGTTATTTAGTAAGGATTGTAGAGGAAACTGTTCCTGCATCTGCTGTTTCTCAATTGCCTTTAGCTCAAAATAATCTGCATGCCAATAATATATTGTGGGGTGACATACCTGATCTCCTTCACTAGATTGTATGCTGCTTTGCAACAATATATACAGAACCTCACTTTTTTACATTCTCTCTACTATTTGGTATTTTCAGACTTAATCTTTTTCCCATCAAGTAGGTATAAAATGATATCTTGAAGATTTTCATTCTCCTTATGATTAGTGAAATCAAGCATCTCTTTGTCAAAGCACAAAACCAGAAAATTAGAAAATATTACTAAAAGTTATTTCATGTAAATATATAAAAATACAGTTACTTCAAATTGTTTTATAGATTCATTGCAGCTCTAATAAAAATCCTAACAGTTTTTATAGAACTTGAAAAGGTGACTCTAGATGGAATATGGAAGAACAATGGGCCAAGAATAGCCAAGCTATCTCTGAAGAAAAGTAAGGAGAGGACCTGCACTACTAGATATGAGAACTTATTATTAAGCTTTAGTAATTAAAAAGATGGTATGATTTTGGTATAGACACATACAAATTGATTGATAGAACAAAATGGAGAGCTCAAAAATAGACCCACACAGTCAGGGCCTTCATATCTGTGAGTTCTATATCCATGAATTCAGCCAACCTTGGATCAAAAATATAAAAATACCCCATAAATATATACATCTGGTAGGTACACACAAAAATTAAAAATTAAAACAATATATATAAATAAAAGTAACAATACAATAATAAAAAATAATAGGAAATACAGTATAACAACTATTTATGTAACATTTACATTGTGTTACATACTATAAGTAATCTAGATAGAGATGATTTAAAGTGTACGGGAGGATGTATGTAGTGTTATATGCAAATACTACACCATTTTATATCAGGAACTTGAGCATCTGCAGATTTTGGTATCACGGGGGTCCTGGAACCAATGCACCATATATACTGAAGGATGACTGTGTAGAACTAGAATATGTGTTAGCAATGACTTGTAAACTCTTTAACCCAGCAGTTCCTTCTTTCAGAGTCTTTCCTGTGGAACTCTACAAGTATATAATGTTAAATGCACAAGATGTTTATTGTAGTACTACTTGAATATTGAAAATCTGAATTGAAATGTTCATTAATAGGGGGCTCCTCAAATTGTGATATATACATATCAAATTGTGATATATACATATTGAGTGTATATATGTATACATATTGAGTGTATACATATATACATATATACATATTTCAATATATACAATATATTGAACATATATATAATATATGTATATATACAATATATAATACATGTATATAATATATGTATATAATATATATGTATATAATATATGTATATAATATATAATATAATATATGTATATATACAATATATACATATATACTATATATACATATTTCAATATGTATATAGGTATACATATTGAGTATATGGTTTATATATACATATCAAATTGTGATATATACATATTGAGTGGCTGTTAGAAAGTATAAGGAGGCGCTCTAAATACTGACATGGAAAGATACATTATTTGGTTAAGTAAAACTAAGGAATGCACGCATGCATGTGAGGATGTGTAGGAAAAAGTCTGGAAGGATGTACATGAAGTTGTTAATAGTGATTATATGTGGTGGAGGAGTAGGGCTTTTATTACTGGTTTAAATGTTTAAAATTTGTTTTACATAATAGGAACTAGCATATACTCTTTTAGAGTTGAAATGAGACTATTTAAATGTCGGGTTTTTAATAATAAGTCTATAAATAGTTTAAGATTGTTAGAAAAGATAGTGTCCCTTGTGACCATTTTCATGATAGTTCAAAATTGAGTTATATTAAATGTAGGGCTGACTCATTACAAAGGTGCTTTTCTGTAAGTGTTACAGGGAGGTGTACATGTCTTTTTAGTTTGCTGACAGTAAATATTAAGCAGTAATAACAACTATTGCTTTTCCCACTGCATAGTCCATAGTTCAGTGATTTGTGATTATGAAGCTAATATTCTTAAATTTAGAGCTTGTGAAATTTGATGAGTAACCAAATTCTTAGAGAAAACGAGATTCTCAGAAAAAAGGAAGATTGACAGATTAGTAATAATCCCATGAACATTAAGATTGATTATTGATTTAATTAGTTGAATTGATGAGAATACTCATAAAAAACCAATAATTTAACTCTTACTTGATAATTTTTTTAAATTCTAGATTCCTGTTCATCCTGTACCCGATCCCTTAGTTCATGAAGTTCTAAACTTAGCTTTTAAGCACTTTAAACATAAGGAAGGGTAAGTAAAATACTAACTTGGGATTGTTGCCTTTTTTTGCAATCCAGGTCTAGACTATTTTAAGTCTTACTGATCATTTGTTTGAGAGTTCAAGGCAATTCTTATCTTCCTTTTTTTTTTTCTTGAGGCAAGGTCTCACTTTCACCCAGCCTGGAGTGCAGAGATGCAATCATGGCTCACTGCAGCCTTGACCTCCTGGGCTCAAGTGATCCTCCCAACTCAGCCTCCTGAGTAGCTAGGACTACAGGTGCACGCCACCACACTCAGCTAATTTTTGTATTTTTTTGTAGAAACAGAGTTTTGCCATGTTTCCCAGGCTGGACTTGAACTCCTGGGCTCCAAGCAATCCACCTGCCTTGGCCTCCCAAAGTGCTGGGATTATAGGTGTGAGCCACTGCACCCAGCCCCCATTTCTTTTAAATCCACAGAAAATGCTGATAAGAAAGATTTTGTGAAAATAATTCTTAGTACTACAGATTGGATATGTAAGAACCAGAAGGTTAAATATAGTAAAGTAAAATTGAAGATAGAATAAAATTAGTATTGCTTTTATCATATAAATGAATATTCAGAGAAAATTATACAATACTCTGATAAGGAATTTTCATATGTATTAGGAAAGAGAGTTTGTAGAAAAATTTAATGAAATGTTATGTTTGTTCTTTTGTTATTTTAGATATTCAGGAACCAACACTGGGAATGTGCATATTATTGCTGATTTATATGCAGAGGTGATAGGGGTTCTTGCCCAATCAAAGTAAGTTTTGTAAATCACCCATTTAGATTTTCTTTGCATTTTAGAATGCTTCATTACCAATGAATACAATAGATACTGATAGTTCGAAATCCACCATTTTCCATAGCACTAAGTCAGCTCCACCTTTTATTACTTTACTGCTCTGTTTCTCAGAAGCTCTTTAACACTCATACCTCAATTTCACCACTTGTTTTAATTTTATTTGGGGTTTTCTATAAATGTCTGAATCGAACAAATCAGAAATTGCCAACCATATTTAGGACACTATCTTTTTCCCTATTTTTAACAATTCTGTTAGAATCTTTTTAAAGAACTCTTTACAGAGCTAATAATTATTTTCCAAGTGAGAACTTTTATTCCTCAGCAATGCAGTGTTTTCTAATCATATTTGTTTTAATGCTAAACAGAGTTTGAATTGGTAAGAGACACCAAAAAGGAAAGATGAAAGATACTAGATTACTCAATTAAAACTGTTAATTCATTAAGAGTTATACACATTGAGTTGCACTGAACCATCACTTTAGTAAACAGCAAAATATATTTGTTATTAGCAACTTGTGGTTACTGTAACAATTATGGAAGATTTTGGATTTCCTTTGTTACTACTGGGAAATTTATAAGGAAAAAAGTATCAAATTATATTTTCTTAGATGTGTTTGAAAGAGTCTTTGGCCCTGAAATCATCATATAACAAACAACCTTTCTAAATTCTAAGAAGGCAAGTACAATTATTGTTAATGTTTAAGTAGTTTGCATTTTAATATTAAGTGAAATATTTTATTTAGCATATTTTTAAAATTTTTAATATACTAGGAACCCTTGTATAGCAAATGCTATGGAACTTAGAACATGGTTTGAGTATTTTAAATGATTTAGATATAGATGATAATTTTTTAATACCTTATGGTTTGAGTATTTTAAATGATTTAGACATCAACAATAATATCTTAATATCTCGCATGGAATTAAATTGACACAAAAACATAGATATGAGCAGTGATGTATTTCTCTTTATGACAGTTTGTTTATGTTATTTTTATTTTTGTCAAAACTGAGTTTCTGTCTCAGGAATATAGACCAGAAATTCTAAATAATATATTAGCAAGTTGGATCCAGGAGAACACTCCATCATGGCTACGTTAACTCTAGATGGCAAGGATAGTAAGTCCAAACAGCCAGTAAATGTATGAAATGGTACTCAGCCTCACCTGCTAGTTGTAGGAGAAATGCCACTTTAGAGCAATACTAAGATGTTTTCTGCTCATGCATGTAATAAACATGGGAGAAAACGTGAAAGGATCCACTTTGAGTTAGGCTGATAGCACCTAAGGGGGCAGGTGGTGGGGTTGAGTGGGAGTGGGGAAGAGAAGGAGATAAAGGCTGGAGGTATATTTGAATCTTGGTGTATGTATTTTCTTGGTTTGTAGTGACTAATAATTTTTGTAAGTAGCTTAACAAAAGGAAAAAATCCTTGGATTCTAATATTTCAATGGAAAGACTTTATCCATTTTACAAAAATTTTCTTAATGAAGTGCTAAAGAATATAGTCATGAAAAATGGTATCATATTCTCCAAGATTAAAATAAAAAAAGATGTTATATTTCAGTCATGTATCCATATTTTGTTAATTTTTTTTTGTTCTTCTCACTGTAGTCAGTGACCACTGGAAAGCATGTTTTGAGGTTATTTTAACTTTAAGGAACTGGCTTCCCCAAGTAACATTATCAGTAAAGTCTTTAGTTGTTTCATAATATATAGGGGGGAAGGGGATAATTAAGTATAATTGATTAATAAACTATTAGATGTCCTTTTCAAATGTAAGTGAAGAAAAGCTTACTAGCTTTAACAATTGTGATTTGAATCCAGGATGATGCTCACATTTCAAAAGCCTTTTGGCAGTGTAATGATGTATTGATTTTAAGTGATAATTAGTACTGTATGATTGATTGGCTTATCTCTGTGAACAAATTTATAGTCTCCAATATGCTCTCCATATAACTAATTGCAGACTTTATATAAAAAGAGCCTTAAAAGTTGGAGACACTGATTTACATGGTGGCGTTTTGTGGGTTGGTTATTTGATATTATTCTATTATGGTTATTAATTAAATGGTAATGGTGGTGTCTTGATAATATTATAGGAATAAAGAAATCCTATTATTTCTCCTTCAGAAACTTTTAATTTAATTTTAAAAGAAATGAACAGCAAATTTAGAGTAGCAATTTTTATTTTCCTCTGTGTGCCTTTCTGGCAATTGTAATGAAGGTAGAGAAAGGAGATGATATTTAGGTAGCATACCTTTTGATTTTTACCCTTAAATATCATGTGGAAATTAGTGTTTTTAATTCAAATCAAATGATGTCTCCACGTATATTAAAGGTTTCAGGCTGTAAGGAAGAAGTTTGTGACAGAATTAAAAGAACTGCGACAAAAGGAACAAAGCCCACATGTGGTACAAAGTGTCATCAGCTTAATAATGGGAATGAAATTTTTTCGAGTAAAAATGTATCCTGTAGAAGATTTTGAAGCATCATTTCAATTTATGCAGGTGATATACCTTCTAAATGACAGTAAATAGAGCAAGCCTAACAGTCCTTGCTCTTCATGACTTTTTAAAAGAAACAAAATACACGTAAATTAATGGCATCATTTTTAGTCTCTTATTCCATGTGTTAAGTTGTTCTAAGTGTAAATTAATTTTTTTTTTTTCCTTGAGACAGAGTCTCACTCTGTCACCCAGGCTGGAGTGCAGTGGCATGATCTCGGCTCACTGCAACCTCCACCTTCCTGATTGAAGCGATTCTCCTGCCTCAGGCACCCGAGTAGTTGGGATTACAGGCGCCTGCCACCAGGCCCGGCTAATTTTTTTTTTTTTTTTTTTTTTTTTTCTTTAGTAGAGACGGGATTTCACCATGTTGGCCAGGCTGGTCTCCAACTCCTCACCTCAGGTGATCTGCCCGCCTCAGCCTCCCAAAGTGGTGGGATTACAGGTGTGAGCCACCGCACCCAGCCAGCTTTGTTTTTTGACTTGAAGATGCATTGACCTTAGTTTTTTGGTAAAATGACAGAGTGTTCACAAAATGATGTGATATTACAAATTCTTTAACCTTTCCTCTTTTGTTAATCTAAGTATATACCTCTTTCCCTTTAAGGAATGTGCTCAGTATTTCTTAGAAGTGAAAGATAAAGATATAAAACATGCACTTGCTGGTTTATTTGTGGAGATTCTTATCCCTGTAGCTGCTGTAAGTATTTTTCTTATTTTCATACCATTTGTGTGTTATACAAGAACCTTATCAACCTTATACTTTTATTTTTTGTCCTAAAAATACTTACATGACAATAAGCTGTGGCCATGGGAAGGCTCGTCTCATTTGCTCCCTGTTGCTCAGAGGTCTCTTCCTTTTGTTGATCATACAATGTTTTAGAGATCGTTTCATGTATTTTGTTTTTTGGTTGTTGCAGATGGTAGGGGAAATCCAGCTCCATCTTGGCTAGAAATGGAGATTAATTACATTCTTTTTGTTCAGATTTTATTCTAATTAAAATCTCAAAAATGAAGAAATGTATTACATGTTGAAAAATTGAACTGTTTTGGCTTTCATTTTTAAACATTGAATTCACTTACTTGTGACCTATGGGCTTATATGAATTGGTTTGTAGTATTCAGGTCCTACCTTTAGAGCATGTTTTGAAAAGGTGAACAGAGAATTGTTTTAAAAGTTAAGAATTTGAAATATTAATGAGAGTGATTGACGTGTTTTTTAAAACCTGTTTTGCATTGAAGATTTTTAAAAATGGGGACACACAAAACTCATAAATTAAAGGTTTGCAAGTGGTTTATTTGAGTTACACAGCCCCCGTTTCCTCCCACCCAGTTTTTAGCCATATGAATTGGGCTCATTTTATAAAAAAGAAAACAGGCTATCATGTATAAGTCATGTCAGTTTTAGTCTTTTATTAGATATGCACTTTGATTTCTTTTCCTGTAAGTTGTTTGAATTACTGTTTATCCCTTCCAAATGATCATTTGTACTTCACCCTTTGTTTGATCATCCTTTTTTTTTCTCCCAGATGGCTGAGATTAGGTTTTAGTTTTTAAGGCAGTTCGTCAAAAGGAGCAGGTTGTAGGAAGAGAGGCACTTGACAATGGTCCATTATCATCGTGTTGCCTGATTCTTTTATACCATATTTGCTTTTGTGTCCAGGTTTATTAGCCTGCTAGGACAGCCGTAATAAAGTACTGCAAACTGGATAGCTTAACAACAGAAATGTATATTGTCTCATATTTACGGAGGCTAGAGTGTGAGATCAAAGTGCCAGCAGGTTGGTTCCTTCTAAGAGCTGTGAGGAGGAACCTGCTCCATGCCCCTTGCTTAGCCTCTTGTGTGCACTGAAAATCTTTTGTGTTTCTTGGCTTGTAGAAGCATGGTTCTGAATCCTGCCTTCATTGTCACATGGCATTCTCCTTGAGTGTATGTCTGTGTCCAAATTTCCCCTTTTTAAAAGGACACCAGTCATGTGGATTAGGGTCTTCCCGATCCTAACTTAATTAATGTGATCTGCAATGACCTATTTCCTAATGAAGTCACCTTCTGATGTCTGTGGGGTTAGGACTTCAACATGAATTTTGGGGGGATATGATTCAACCCATAATACTAGGCCTTTGCACATGCAGCTCCTTCTGCCTGGAACATTCATGCCTCTCTAGTAACCTCCCTCCCCTCTTTCTCTGGCTGGCTTCTCTTTCTTTACTCATTTACTTATTGAGTGCTTTCTGTTTGTCAGGTCTTCCTCTATGCACAAGGGAACACAACAATGAGTATGATAGGAAAGACTCCCTAGTACCGTAGATTTTAATTGCTAGTGCAGAAAATAGAAAATAAACTAGTGTATAAAATAGGTAGTATGTCAGATTGTGGAGAGTAATGTGAAGAAATGTAAACAGGGTAGGGGGCATAGGATTGCCAAAGGGGTGAGGGAGTTGAAATTTTAAAAAGAGTATGATTAGGGAAGACCACCACATCGAAAGAGTTGGTAGCAATTGAGCAAAATCTAAAGGAATGAGACAGTAAGACTTCCTGTGTCTGTGGGAAGAGCTTCTTGGGCAGCAGGCCCCAGCGTAGACATCCTAAGGCAAGAAATTCTTTGATGCGTTCTAGGAACAGCAAGGAAGCTCCAAAGGCTGGGTCCCCATGCACATGGTCAGAGGGTGGGAGATAAGGCCAGCAAGGTTAAATGGGAGGCTTTAGCACTATTTCTGTTAAGAGATGTTGGATGCAGCTTAGATGTTACTTCCTTGTTGAGTTTTTCCATAGGGGCCCCTTTTGAGTGCTCCAAGAGCACAGAGAATTTGCTCTCAGTGGACCTGTTATACTGTGTCCTCTTAGCCTGTATTCCCACTTTGTTCACTCAGGGCTGGGACTAGGTTTATCTTATGTACTTAACATTTGGTCACTTGGCACATTGTAGTACTTCAGTGAGAGTCTCAGTGAATTATTAACCAATTTCAAACCTTACAGAAAGTTCTTGTATTCTTTGTATAGTTTAATCTAACATCTGTATCATTTTCTTTGTTTGCATTATCTTTTTACTAGGCTGTTAAAAATGAAGTGAATGTTCCCTGTTTGAAAAATTTTGTGGAGATGCTTTATCAGACTACTTTTGAACTGAGCTCGAGAAAGAAGCATTCATTGGTATTAAGAAACATTTCAAACCTTTTCATATTTAATTGGGATTTTTAGTAATTGATTTATGAATTCAGTGGAAATTTAAGAGAATGGTAAAATCTGAAATTGTAAAATCCCTGAAGTGCAATACAAGGGCAAGTTTTACATACGTATGTTTTGCGTGGCTCTATTTAAATGTTCTGTTCTTAATTTTACTAGCTCTGCATTTGTTGAGTTGTTCAGACTTCCTTCTAGGTAGTCATGCATTGCTTAATGATGGAAATATGTTCTAAGAAATGTGTCGTTAGGCTATTTCATTGTGCAAACATCATTGAATGTACTTACACAAACCTAAATAGTATAGCCTACTACACACCTAGGCTATATGGTATAGCTTATTGCTCCCAGACTACAAACCTGTACAGCATGTTACTGTACTGTGGGCAGTTGTAACAGAATAATATTTGTGTATCTAAACACGAGAAGGTACAGTAAAAATATGTTGTAACCTCAGGGGATCACTGTCATAAAGTGATTTTAGCAGCTGTTTTCTGTCTAATTACGTCTTTTCTAGTCAGAGATTGAAGGCATTTTTTTCTACCTGTCTATTTCACATAACTTTTACGTAGCTTGGAGAAAGTTTGGAGAATTGGTGAAATATTTGACCTTCTAAACTAGAGATACAGTAATTCTAAACATGGATTGTGCCAGGCATTGAACTAAGTACTTTGTACTTTTTTTTTTCTTACTTTAAGCTTCACAACCCTATAAGATATTTGTGATTATTGTCCTCTACTTTATGTGTTTGGAAAGTGAGGCTTAGAGTACCTAATGTAGCCATCGTGAAGTTACACATTTGACAAACAGAAAGCTAACATTTTAATGCCATCTGTCATCTGATCCCAGGGACTAGTCATAACCACAAAATGGATGAGAGGCTAATGGGTTGAGGGAGAACTAATAGCATATTCTAACTCAGAGAGGTATGATCAGTCAAGGAATTTTCCTCGTAGAAAATTTACTCTTTATCTTTCTGTGTTAGATTATTCTATGAGATTATATTTCTTATTACGAATTGGAAAACTGCTTAAAAGATTTGTTTCCTTGCTTATGAGAATAAATGAAATATAAAATTTAAAAGTCCAGTGCTTTTCGATGAAAAATGTTAATTCTGTCTTTTCCCCGTCTCCTATAGGCTTTATATCCACTAATTACCTGCCTTTTATGTGTCAGTCAGAAACAATTTTTTTTAAATAACTGGCATATTTTCCTACAGAACTGTTTGTCACATTTAAAGGTAAGATGTAATCACACTTCTGATATGTAAATACTGACTGGTATATTTTGTTTATGCATATAAATTGAACAGTGCATAATGAAACTTTTGTTACTATTGGTATACTTGAATAGCAACACTTTGCCACATTCCTTTTCTTATACCTACTGTATTTCTTCTATAGGGAATCATGTATAGATATGAGTAAACTTTTGATTGAAAATTTAGTTTGTCCTAATGAATGCAAGATTATTGTACATTTTTAGTGATATTTATATTATCTTAAATCTAGGAATATTTGTTAATTCTTTTAGAATTATAGAGTATTAATCTCACAAAACCTTCTAGATACTTATTTTGTCTTTTGAGAAAATCAGTAATGTTGGTTTAAGTCTGAACAATATGAGAAAAAGCTTTGATAATATCACTAAAATCACATTTAAGTATGCCCGGCCATATCTAAAAGTTGGTACTGGATCTGCACAGATGTAAAAGCTCCTGAAATGATTCTGACTTGAATGAAAGGGTACTTGTCATTAACACTATTTGGCACATCCATATTCAGCCTCTCTTAGTCCTGAAAACAAAACTGTGAGAGATAGAAGGATCATTTTCTTCCCAGGATGCTCTGCTAGCAGGATCCTCTTTTCTTCTTTGGGTAGGAACACAATTCTGACAGTGTGGGAATATTCTTCAGCTGCATGTCATGCGAATGCTTGATTTGAATATTCTTTTGATATATACTTAGATGAGCCTATTTGAATATTTGCTTGCAAGTTATAGAAATATTGCAGACATGACATTCCATTTCCTGGTATTCCTCTAAGTTAGACTTGAGACTGAAAACCTTATACTTTGAAGATAATGGAACCGAGGCAGATAGAGAAAGTGACTTGTCTCTGGGTATGCAGCTCGTTGTGCTATTGTAGGAATAGGACTGGATCTTCTTTCATATTTCAGGAATGATCCACTGGATGTTATCCTGTACGTCTTTTTCATGATTTTATGTATAATTTTCAAAACTGCCTCAGTTTCTTAGGTATACGGAATATATACTACTTTGAGAAATGTTTTTGTCTATTTTCCTTCTAGATAAACGTTGATATTACTCATGTTTGGATGAGAATTTATATGCCTTATTTGACTATTTATGAAAATTCCCAGGACCAAATCAAACTGATTGAACTCTTTATGTCATGCAACCAGGAAATAAATTTTATTTAATTAATTACATTATACTTATTTCTGTTCTTATTTTTGGTAATTTGTACAGATATAGGGACCAAAAGAGAATTGATCATTTTTCTGGATAGTATGATTTTTCATACGTTCATTAAAATATTTTTAAGATATGCATTTAAATGTTTCTGGAAGGCTGCTTTGTTTCATGACAGTTCATACTTTTCTGTTGCTTGTTGGAATTTTTATATATATACGTTTCACCTAACATATTTGCAATACTTCGCAGTACCTTAACTTTTTTTTGTCTTAAGGCTTTCATTTAAATGCTCTGTTTTCTTTGAACCCTTACCTCCTGTTAAATATTTCTGGCATATTGTTCATTTTCATTAATGGCTATGTCAATCTGCCAGGCTAAAGGAGATAAGAGCCACTTAGCATGAGTATTTGGAATATAATTGTCTTGGCCATTAACCCTTAACTTACATTAAGGCTCTATTCAGCAGAAATTTTATGAATTGGCTCCTATTTATTAAGTCTTAGATAATGTGGCTGCTCTGCATAGTTGAGGTAAGGAGTTGAGCCTTGAAGGAAAAACTATGCTAGTTATCTGTTGTAACAGTTATTTATTTTATGTATAGGGAAAATTGATCCAAGATAAAGGCCTTACCTAAACTATTTTGAGATCCATTTAATCTCTTGATACTAAAAACCTAAACAATTTCCTTTTATTAGACCTATACCTTTTTTTTTTTGAGATGAAGTCTCGCTCTGTCACCCAGGCTGGAGTGCAGTGGAATGATCTCGGCTCACTGCAGGCTTCACCTCCCGGACTCAAGCGATTCTCCTGCCTCACCCTACTGAGTAGCTGGGATTACAGGCATCTGCCACCACCGCCGGCTGATTTTTTATTTTTAGTACAGACGGGGTTTCACCATATTGGCCAGGCTGGTCTCAAACTCCTGACCTCAAGTTATTCACCCGCCTCAGCCTCCCAAAGTGCTGGAATTACAGGTGTGAACCACTGCTCCCAGCCTAGACCCATACTTCTTATGACTGGTTTTTATTACTTTTTATTGGATGCTACATCCTCTAAGTACAGAATCTCATTTGATTTTTACTGTACATGAGGCTGAAAGAAGATAAACAAGTAACCCGTGTTTCGGGAGCCAGCATGGATTTGTGTCCATATTCACATAGTTCCATAGCTCTTGCTCTTCTAGTCCACCATTTTACTTCTGAAGGTAGTATAAGGAATGTTGTTGGATATAAGCACTGAATATTTTAAGAAAACATGTTAGCAATAATTTGAGGATATTAAAAAGGCATTACTCTCTAGTCATAAGAATAAATATGATGAATTTCAAGGCACTTTATGATATTGCACAGTTTTAAAAAATTACCATACTAGTTTTTAAAGTTGATGACCATGAAAAATGAGCTTTATCTCTATATGCCCATAAATAGCTTGTGACAGTGTCACGTTATTTTCACTGAAAAGTTAAATCTTTAATTTTTGTCCCAAACAGAATTTGGTATTCTCCCATTCCTATATCTATATCAATTTAGGTGCTTGTGTGAAAAGTGATTTTAAAGTTTCTGGAGAATTATTAAGAGAGATAGGTGAATAATAAGAGTAGTTATCATAGAAAATAATTTGGAGATTTTTTTCAACAATCTATACTTACATTCATTTAAAAATTTAAAGTTGAACTGAAATACAGTGCTTTAAGAAGAATTCTAAGAAAAATTAGGTAGTTAAAACTTTGTTTTCTCTCAGTTGGAATATTATAGGTGTATCTTACATGATGCCCAAATCGTGAGATTTTTTTTTTTTCTTAGTGTTTCTGGCCACTGTCTTGGACATTTCAAATTTCTTCTAAATAGAGACCTTGGTGAAGAGCTGTCTTGTTTTGTGCTTATTTTCATCTAACATGCATGTGCTGCATCTCATGTTTATGTTTGCTGTCTCACATTGCTTTATTTAGATGCCATCTAACAACAGTATCAGAAAACAAATAGAAACACTCCAGGTGAGTTGTGTCGACATTACAAAGTAAAATACTGCTTTATTTCCTTTAAGCGTGGCATTTGTTTTTCCTTTTCCCATTGTTGCATTGCATGTCTAATGTATTTATTCCAACCTGCTTCTAGTATTTTAAGAGAAGAGTAGCACACAGCAGAAACATTCTTCAGAAGGTTTAATATCAGTGTGGCCCCAAGAAGATGAATTTAAGAAATAGAACTGACACTGAATGCTGATTCTTCACCAAAAGTCACAATTTTAAAATATTCTGTTTAACATACATTATCTAGCTGTTATAAATGAAAATGTTTTAAAAATTTCCAGTGAAATTAAGGAGACAGTAGCTTAGATTTTGAATATAGTTTGTTGTTGTTGTTGCTGTTATTTTTAATTTTTGTGGGTACATAGTAGATGTATATATTTATGGGATACATGAGATGTTTTGATACAGGCATGCACTGTGAAGTAAGCACACCATGGAGAATGGGTATTCATCCCCTCAAGCATTTATCCTTTGAGTTACAAAGAATCCAAGTCTACTCTTTAAGTTAATGGAATACAGTACTGACAAATTAATTTTTAAAAGTTTATCCTATTGATTTGGGTTTGTTTTTTGTTTTTTGTTTTAATTTTTTCAGAGAGAGGGTCTGACTAGCCCAGGCTAGACTCCAACTCCTGAGTTCAAGCTGAGACTACAGGCATGCACCACCATGCCTGGCTTTACTGATTTTGGTTTTAAACAAATCATTTTTTTAGTTCACAGTAGAAAAAAAGAGAAGAAACATTAAAATGATTGTTGCCAAAGACTATATTTGACTGACATACCAAAATTTTGTTTTATATTAAGTTCATTAGATTTTTATTTGTGTAATTGTTCAAATTAGATTGAATATCTTTGTTTAAAGCTCAGATAAATTTAGGATGATTTTATTATTCAGACATATAGCAGCATTGTAGCAGCTGAAAAAATAATAATTGATTTTTGTCACTTCTCACCTTGCCTTTTTGGTCATTGCGTGAATGCCAGCTTTGTTTGAAAATCAAGTTTTTTCATGCCAGATACCTCATCACTTAAGATAATCCAAATACTTTTATATTTAATCATTCATATGAGAACAGTTTTTATGTAGAATAGGACTTAAATATCTTTAATGTATAATTTTTAATAATATTTTGAAAATACAATTTAACAATATGAAAGTGTTATTTCATGTGTACCTAAAAACTAATGGGACTTATTTAAGACTTTATTTTTTTTAGAGCAGTTTTAGGTTCACAGTAAAATTGAGAGGAGGGTACCGAGATTTCCTGTGGGTAAATTTCCCTACCCACACTCATACCTAGCTTCCCCCGTAATCAGCATCCCCCTTCAGAGTGATACATTTGTTAAAACTGGTAAACATACATTGACACATCTTTATCACACAAAGCCCACAGCTTACATTAGAGTTTACTCTTGGTGTGTTGTACATTCTATGGGTTTGGACAAATGTATAATGACATGTATCTACCATTATAGTATCATGCAGAGTATTTTCACTGCCCTAAAAATCCTTCATGCTTTGCCTATTCATTTCTCTCTACCTCCCTAACTCCTGGCTGAACTATTTTGACATCTGATATCTTATATTTAAATGATAGAAAAGAAAATTATGTTTTCTCAAAGACATTACTACAAAATGCTTGGTTGTTATATTTGTAGTATACATTATATGTTACTTTAGTTACATTACTAACAAACATAATTGGAAATTGCTGGGGGAGTATATTTGAAATTTGGGATCATTATGGATCTGGCAGTGGAGACAGGGATTGATACTGCGAGTCTAATGAGCACAGTAACTGATCCTCCATTTTTAATTATATCAAATCTTTATCCAAATAGATGTGCAAAAATCTAAAATGTAAATTCACAACAATCAGTACATCCTAAAACTAATCAACGGATGTATAAAGAGTTTCTCCGTAAAAAAAAAAAAAGGAGATTATTAGCTACATTTCAAAATTATTGGTCATTTGAGAACTTTATTTTTTATAACAGCTAGAATGAAGAAAAAGTTTGCTGATCAAATTGTAATTGAAATGGAATAACTGATTCTAAATAATAATAATTTAAATAATGTCCTTATTCTAAATAAAAATTATAACACTTAATAGTCAATGAACGTTTAATACATGCCAGGTACTGTTCCAAGTGCTTTACAGATATTAACTTTACCTCTGAGGTAGGTACCATATGTTCTCCATTTTAGAGATGAGGAAATTGTGACTCAGAATCATATAACAATGCCCAAGGATGGAGCTTGGATTTAGTCCCTGTTTTTCCCAGTTTTAGAGTCCACGCTCTTAACTCCCTATTCACTCGTAAGGATATACACTTCATAATATTTTGCATTATTTCGTAAATGCAAATGACTGTAATACCATTTGGTGTTCTGAATTTTAACTATATATGGGCTACAAATGAATTCTGCCAAAAATGAGTGATCCTTTTTCAGTCATTATGTCAGTATTGGAGTGTGAACTGTTCATCATCAAGTAAGTTTGTTTGTATAATTTTAGAATTCTTAGAAATACTAGTATAATTTTATTTAATAAGTAAAATTTAGTAAATAAAATTTTAGCATTTTGAAAGTGTAAGAAAGGGCTCAATTTCCAAATTTATGGTTACTTTTGAGCCATATATTTACCCTATACCAAATATGTACCTGGTATTTAAACCTATTTTAGACTGAATACAAAAAAGATTGGCTTTTAGTTGTTGACAGAGAATATGTTTGCTGTTAAGTGATTGCAAGTATTATAATAAGTTTATTCTCTTTTGTTTTAAAACAGAATAAAGATCCGAAAATGTCTCGAGTTGCACTGGAATCTTTGTATAGATTATTGTGGGTTTATGTAATTAGAATAAAATGTGAAAGCAACACTGTAACTCAAAGGTGAGTATCTTTGCTTTAAAGTGCATTAAAAATAAATTCTTGTTTTTAAAAAAACACACTATTGGGAATTTTAGTAAACATTATACTTTGTGGGTGGAATATGAATTCTGTCAATATATTATGAAGAATAGGAAGAATTTTTTGCTAATATGCTGTTGATGTTATGATCTCACTATGACTAGATCTTTTTCCCTGTAGTCGTCTTATGAGCATAGTGTCAGCACTTTTTCCAAAAGGCTCACGAAGTGTGGTTCCTCGTGACACACCTCTCAATATATTTGTGAAGATTATTCAGTTCATTGCTCAGGTGAGTGCTTCATCTCATAGTATGTATGTATATAAATTGTTAGAGTAATCTATTGTAATCACTTGGAGCTTTGAAATTTTTTATGCATCTAAAAACATAGTAATACAACATTGAATAAGTTTATTTCATTAATCTACACACTTGGAAAGAAAACCCACAGGTGGCAGCACTTTGAATTGAAGAGGGATAAACAACATATCTCATAATCCTAATGTTAGTGCATTTACTAATTACCTTCTGAGTATCTTCAAGGATTTCTTAGAAAATTATTTTCATAGTCTACATTAATCTAGATTCTTAGGTACTGATAATAGATTCCACTGTAGCTAGTTAAACCCAAAGGGACCTCGAAAGGAATATAGATAGCTCAGAGAATTTATAGTAGGGCTGAAGAAATGAATTCTAGTCTGAACGACAAAGAGGAAACTGCTACCTTGGCCAAAATAAAACAGCCACCAGACAAGGAAGTCACCACATGTGGGTATGCTTCAGAATCATGCTGCATCTGCTACGGTCCTCACCAGTAAAATAGATTCATTTCTCCCTGTCTTCCTCCTCCTCTTTACATATCCCAGTTCCCAAAGAGACTCACATGAGTGTATCACTTGGCAGGGTTTAAATTATATCCTCAAGCTTTTTGTTAAATGGGATCCTGGGAAGTACAAGTTTAGCTTTCTAGCCTCTGCAGTAAAGGAAGGATTATTAGAGGGGGATTAAATGGGTGTTAATGAGCCAATACAAGGTTTTGGTCACATTTCCTTTTGGGACATCCATCTTGGAGAAACATAGGTAAGGTTATCTCGTCAACATGGGAAAATGCTGTGATTCCAGAATATTGATTGCATTCTCTTTCAACTGAAACTGTAACAATCTAGATGATCCATAATTCAATTATTTTTGACAGTGAAGAAATAAAGAATATTTAAATAGAATTAGTACATTGTTATTTACTAGAGTACAAAAGTAATGGTAATTCGATAAGTATAAGGGTATCAGTAAGATTAATAAAAGCAAATTGTGCTTTAGATCAAGTGTTCAAAAAACTTGTGACATTAGGTTGAATCTCTTCTTTTTTTCCAGAATTGTACCCACTCCCTTGAATTAGTTACCTTCCTCCAGCACTCCACCAGAATTATAAAACTCCTTTCAAACAGCAGTTAATCTAATTAGTTAACTTCCCCCCACCCCCCGGGAGATTTCCTTCCTAGAGCCCCATTCTTCCTGACCCAGTATGAACTCACTGCTGTCTAGGCCTGCTGCCTGGCTATTGTCTTGGGACTTCCTTTCATTGTCACCCTGGGAATTCTTTCACTTTGATTTTAATATGATTTTGGTGAATGAATGTTTAAAACTTTATTCTGTTGGTTTGGGTATTAAACAAATCATTTGATAATTAAATAATATACTTATAATCATGTATTTTGACCTTAATTCATATGTATTTTTCTTCTGTTCAGCTGTGAACTTTTTAAGGGCACAAACCTGTCTTGTTGTCATTGTATATTATATTTATAATTCTTAGCATGATACCTAACACATAGTAGCAAGTTATAAGGATTTTTTTTTTTTTAAGGAACGCTTGGATTTTGCAATGAAAGAAATAATATTTGATCTTCTCAGTGTTGGAAAATCTACTAAAACTTTCACCATTAATCCAGAGGTAAAAAAATTATAATGTAATAATATAAAATCCTAGATTTTTTTTTTAAGAGCATGATTTCTGGAATCAGAACTCTTAGGTTCAAATCCCAGCTCTACTTCTAATAGTAGCTGTGATCCAGGACAAGTTACTTAACCTTTCTAATAGCTGGCCGAATGGTTTAATAATAGTGTTTGTTTGTTTGTTTGTTTGAGACAGAGTTTTGCTCTTGTTGCCCAGGCTGGAGTGAAATAATGGTGTTTAAGCGTGGTAGAAAATAATAAATAGGCCGGGCACGGTGGCTCATGCCTGTAATCCCAGCACTTTGGGAGGCTGAGGCGGGCAGATCACCTGAGGCTGGCAGATCACCTGAGGCTGGCAGTTTGAGACCAGCCTGACCCCAACATGGAGAAACCCCATCTCTCCTAAAAATACAAAATTAGCCGGGAGTGGTGGCACATGCCTGTAATCCCAGCTACTAGGGAGGCTGAGGCAGGAGAATCGCTTGAACCTGGGAGGCAGAGGTTGCGGTGAGTCGAGATCAAGCCATTGCACTCCAGCCTGGGCAATAAGAGCGAAACTCTGTCTCAAAAAATGAATAAAGAAAGGAAAATTTTATCAGGTTAGTCAGCTCAGCTGGCTCCTGGAAGTTATAATGAGCCCAGGTTTTTTTTTTTTTGGTTGTTTTTTTTTTTACTTCACATTGTTTATATTTAAGGTGTTCTTCAATAAATCTCATTCATTCAACATTTATTGAGCACCTGAAATGTGCCAGGCACTGTTCTAGGTGTTATAGAAAAAACAAAAATTTGTTTCCCCCATGCCAAAAAAAATCAACATTAAAAAAGTGAATGTTATATCCTGCTTCCATGGTCTCATTATTCACTAGTAAACTCTAATTCATTCTTTAGACATTAGATTTTCAGGATTTTTCAAAATATTTCATAAATTAATTCTTTGTTGGAATCTAATTACATTTGAGGATATAAAAAGGCAAAATAGGTGTTATCTGTTTATTTTCTTATTTATTTTAAATTACTATCTTGATCCTATACATAGTCAAATCCTAAGGTATGTGTTTATGTGGTTAACAAATGAGTTGGAAAGATAATGCAGCTTTTCATTTGTAATATTTTTAAGATAGTTTAATAATTATTTCCAGATTTTGGAAGTGGGCAAACATGATTGTTTGTATAGCTGACATACTTAACTTGTTGGGGGTACATGTATCCCAGTGGGTGTAGAAGGTAGTTCACTGGAATACAGGAAAAAAATAAAGCTCTTATTTATATATTTTTTGGTTTCTACCGACAAAAATGGTTTCCAGCAACAAAAATTATGAAACAAAAGATATTTTCTTGAACATCCATTTTAAGAAAATATTCACTCTATTGAATAAATTTATTTCTGAAAGTAAGTTTTTTTCTTCCTGAAGTTCTCATACTAGGTATGAGTAAAAAAAATCAGTTCTGCTGGGTTTTTTTCTGTGGGGGAGGTGGTTGTTATTTATTAGGTTTACTTTGTTAGGATTATCTTGGATCTGTATTTTCTTTTCTTGGATCTGTATTTTCTTTTCAAGGACTTTTGTAAGAGCTCATGTAGTTAAAGCTAGATAAAATTATCCATTAGCCCATTTAATCAAATACATGCAAATTGCAATACACTGAAAGAATGTATAAGTGAAGCTACATTGTGGAGCTTTTCTGCGTCTTTCAAGGTGTCGTCTTTGACTATGTGACATGTGACTATCTGATACTTAGACTAAGGGAGGGCACCAGTACTATGTCGTATATAAAGAAGAGTGAAGCTTAAACTTTTAATCTTACTTAGATAAAATATATATATATATATATATATATATATATATAAGAGCTTTATTTTCTTCCCGTATTCCATTGAACTACCTTGCATACCCACTGGGATGCGTGTACCCCACTTGAGAGACCACTGGTGTAGATCAGAGATAATGACAGCTTGGGCTTGGATTGTAGTGGTGCAGATAGAGGAGCATTCACTGAGAAAAAAACATTAAGAAGGAATCAAATCTGGGGGCAAGGTCATGCATTTGGTTTGAACATGTCTAACATGAGGCATCCAGGTAGAGGCATCCAAGTAAGAGATGTCAGATGGGTCTGAGGGTCTGAGTTCAGAGAGAGGCCAGGCTTAAAATTTGTGGGTGATCTGGTATGGGTGGTAAATGAAGCCATGTAAGTATATGCAGTTGTTTTGGGAGGTAATACATGATGATAGGAGAAGGCAGCCCAGGAGAACGTTGCCTTGAAGCAGTCTAACATTTAATACCCAGGTCAGGGAGGCCAAACCTGAAATGCAGATAAAGATGACACAGCCAGAAGTGGAACATAGATACCAAAGGAAGGGAGTGTTTCAGGAGGGAAAGGGTGCTTGACCTTGTCCATGTTGCTGGGAAATCAAGTAGCATACTATAAATAGGCCCACTGTTTTGAGCAATATGGTAACTGATGAGTGAGAATGGCTTCAGGGAAGTATTTGGGGAAAGTTTCTTCCATTAAGATAGCAGTATATTTAAGAGAAAGGGGATATATTCAGTTGAAAGGAAAATGTTGAAGATGCAAGAAAGAAAACGTGTATGTAATTGGTGCTGTAATGTTTCCAAACATGCAAGAACAGATGGGATTCCAACAACTAAGAAGACTGTCACTCCCTCACTATACCAAGAGCAAAAGGGAGGGAGAAGAGGTGCAGGTATAAGTAAATTAGTGTGATTTGTAATTGAGAGATTGAGGAAAGTTGGTGATTTTTTTTCTTCTGTGAAGTAGAAGACAAGTCATTTGCCTAGAAAGGGGAGGGGACGGGACCATAGAAGGATAGGAGAGTTGAGGAAGAGGATTGCTATAAGCCTTAGAGACAATAAGGAAGCTGGTCGACCTCAGAAGTGAGTGAGTGGCATTTGGGAATTTGATATTAAAGCAAATTCTAATGCCTGTGCTAGTTAAAAATGTTGGACAGAAAGGTTAGTGTTCCTTCTATCTTCCTTCCTTCCACCCCCCAACTCTGATGTTACTGATGAAATATTTCTAACATGCAAAAAAGGTAATTTATGATACTCATCTCTTCCTTTTGCATTTTTTTCCTTTGAAGAGAATGAACATAGGTCTCAGAGTCTTCCTTGTAATAGCAGACAGTTTGCAGCAGAAAGATGGTGAACCACCCATGCCAACAACAGGAGTTATTCTTCCCTCAGGAAATACTCTTCGTGTAAAGAAAATATTTCTCAATAAAACCTTGACAGATGAAGAAGCAAAAGTCATAGGTTAGTTTAATTGAAATTAAATGTTGCTTTGTAATACAGTTTCATATTCTTTTATAAAAGTCTGATCAAATATAAAATGTATATAAATTTGCCTAATATGGTTTTTCTAGTATATACAGCCATACAAAATGAATACTTCTGGGTTTTTTTTGTTTTTTGTTTTTGTTTTTGTTTTTGAGACAGAGTCTCACTTTGTTGCCCAGGCTGGAGGGCATGGTGCAGTCTTGGCTGACTGTAAGCTCTACCTCCTGAGTTCAAGTGATTTTCATGCCTCAGCCTCCCAAGTCGCTGGGACCACAGGCGTGCATCACCACACCTGGCTAATTTTTGTATTTTTAGTAGAGATGGGGTTTTGCCACCTTGACCAGGCTGGTCTTGAACTCCTGACCCCAAGTGATTTCACTCGCCTCAGCCTCCCAAAGTGCTGGGATTACAGACGTGAGCCACCATGCTCAGCCCACAGTGAATACGTTTTTTTGATAATAGTCATGAGTCTTCATGTTAAGAGTTTTCCAGTTAAATCTTTATCACAGGATCCTATTCACTGCATTCTGTCCTTTCTTCAACTTAGTTTTAGTCCTCTGCATAATTTTCACATAATTTCTCCAATTAGTCCAATATACTGAAGCTGATCATCAGGGAGAAGAATATGTCACAGTTGAAACCCCTTTTGTGGCAACAATAAGCTAATCATTTAAAGATTAATAGGCTTTTATTACAGAAAGTAAGTATTCTTTATCTAATTTCAGATATTTTATAACTGTGAAGTTTTTTCCCCTAGGAATGTCAGTTTACTATCCTCAAGTAAGAAAAGCATTAGATAGCATCCTCAGACATTTGGACAAAGAAGTTGGGAGACCAATGTGTATGACCAGTGTGCAGATGTCTAATAAGGAGCCTGAAGACATGATTACGTATGTAGTAAATTATGTGCCTTCATTGCTATTTCAGTTTTCCTAAGACAGTGTGGATGGTTCTTGCTTACCTGTCTCCTTACTTGGTCTTTGGAGTTCTTCCATGTTTCTATCTGCTGCAGTTTTCAATACAGTGATTCCTTCCACACACTCAGTTTTATTCCTTAAAGTGCTGTCAAACTGGTATAGATAGCAAAACTCACTCTAGATCCCAGTCTGGTGTGTTGTCAATGACAAGGCCCTACACTTACTCTGTGAGCAAAATATGAATCCTAGGTACCCCGGATGTATGTGGGCATGATTGGTTTATTATGTCAAATAAATGCTTTCACTGCCAAAGCCCTAGTTTAAAAAAAAAAAAAAAAAATCCTGAAAATCTGAACTCTGATTATTTTTGACTCCTAGGAACTAAGGGGCATAGAGAGGAATAACATATGAGCAGTTTTTTTCGAAACACTACCTCATCCCACCCCACCCCAAGGGCCTTGTCATTATTTGTCATCTCTGCATCTTTTTTTCTTATTGTTAGGGACTTCCTCCTCAGGAAACTGTATGTTATGGCAATAGCTTACTTTATTTGCTAGAAAACATCTACATATTCTCTGTAAGGGAGGAGATTCTTCTGGATATTAATATTTGCATTATAGGTCTTAGAATACCAAATTTGGTATTTAATCTCAATTTATTTAATATACAATTATTATGTACTACTATATGCTAATATCTCTGAGAGTTTCTTTAATGTGAAGTTTTTTGCCAATGTTACTTCCTCTGGGAAATCTTGTTTTTCACCACAACCACTTCCCTCATTTAGTAAGTTTTTGCTTTCACCCAGTTCCTCTGACACCTATATAGTGTATTTCTTCTGTAACTGCATTAACTTTCTATTCTATTTCAGTGTGCTTTAATTTAGGATCTTTGAGATAGAGAGCACCCTCTCGGTGACTAGGAGAAAAGCAAGATAGCAATAAAGATTTTATTACTTACAGGTGGGTGGGGGACACTGCACATGTGGAGGCCACACTCATGGAGGTCAGGAAGCATGTGTAGAGAGAGAGAGAAAGAGGCCCATGGGCCAATGCCTTTTTTGGGTTGAGGGTGTTTTCCAAACAGTTACCTATGGGGAATTCTAATTGGTGGATTGAAAGCAAGCACGCATGAGTTCAGGAGATCATGCTGTGCCTGAGAGGTGGTCACTGCAGCACATCTGCATAGTCCATGTGGGGTACGCAGGTCAGTGGGGCCAGTCAAGTAGCCTGCATCTAGGTATCCATATGGAGGTGATTACCAGGAAGAAGTTGTGTAAGACAGATACCTGAATCAACCACATTAAAGAACTGGGGGATGGAGTGGGGTGTAGAACTGGAAACTGTCTCAAGGGTGACTGAGCCCTATTTCTGGTATGAGAAAGTCAAACTTATATTTAATATGGGTGTCAAAGCAACATAAAATTATAAGAACACACTACACAGTGATGTTACTTTTTCTTTCTTTGTGGTACTTCCTCTTTGTTAGCCAATACCCTCTTTTGATTATCTATTTCTGTAAAATGTCATGTGGGTTATCCTGGGAGACCAGGAGGCAACACCATTGCACACTTTGCTGTCTGTGTATGAACTGAATAACAGATGCACCTTGACCAATCACTGACAGCCTTGATGGAAAATGACAGTGATTATGATGTGCATGGTGCTTTATGGACCAAAGAGCGAAAGCAAAGTTTGTTTATGCCATTACTTAATGTATGGTAGCTTAAATTTGAACTGCCTTTTTGGGGACTGGTATTATTTAACTAAAGTGTGGTAACTGAAATTCATGCATTTTGAAACCATGTAAAAAGAGGACTGACTATATGAAATCTCTAGGTAGTGAGTCCATTGCCACTATAACAAATACCCAAGGCCAGGCGCGGTGACTCATGCCTGTAATCCCAGCACTTTGGGAGGCCGAGGCGTATGTATCACCTGAGGTCAGGAGTTCAAGACCAGCCTGACCAACATGGTGAAACCCCATCTGTACTAAAAATACAAAAAATTAGCTGGGCGTGGTGGCAGGCGCCTGTAATCCCAGCTACTCGGGAGGCTGAGGCAGGAGAATCGCCTGAACCCGGGAGGCGGAGGTTACAGTGAGCTGAGATCACGCCATTGCACTCCAGTCTGGGCAACAAGAGCGAAACTCCATCTCAAAAAAAAAATAAAAAATAAAAATAAAACCCAAAACACTGAGAATATCCAAATTCTTTTCTACATAAGGATTATTTTATTAGGCCAACTGAAGAACAATTTAGATGAAAGAAATTTAAAAGGCCTCACCTTCAAATACAGACCAGAATAAAAACCAGTATATTAAGAGGTTAGACATTTAAAATAAATAAAATTATTGAATAACTAGAAGAAAATATAGTAAAATTAAATTGTATTAAGCCTCTAGAGGTACCAGGATTTTCAAAAACTTGGCTCATTTTATTACATAGAAATTTTAAGTATGTGTATTTATGTGTGTGTGTCACATACAGGACAAGAACAAACAATATAAACACCTATGTATGAGATGAATGTTTCTAAGACCTTTGTTAGTGGAAGATACTAAGTGAAAACAATGTGGCTAATTTTATAGGCCCCTCAAAATAACCAGTATTTAGTTATTTAATGATATCAGTGCTATTTATTTTAATATTATTTGTGGGAGGCTAAATATTAAATATTTAATCTTAAATATTAATAAGATTAATTATAAATAATCTGTTTAAATATTTGTTATGTAATAATGGTTGTAATGCTTGTTGTCTAGTTACTGAAAACCTTTTTGTTTGCTGGTTTTATTTTGAATTATTTCTGTATTCTTTTATCCATATATAGGCTAATAATTATCTACAGGATTTATGTGCATTTTTAAAATATTAAATACATTGAACTTTAGGGGAGGACTCGCACTTTCTGTAGTTATTTTTCCAAGTTTGATTTCATTGTCTAGCATATGTAATATGTTTCTTATTAAATCCTGTTGTATTTTTCAGGGGGGAAAGAAAACCCAAGATTGATTTGTTTAGAACTTGTATTGCTGCGATTCCAAGGTTGATTCCTGACGGTATGAGCAGAACTGACCTGATTGAATTGTTAGCAAGGTAAATGAGAATTACTGTTTGCTATATTGTTTTATGTCTTCTGCTCCTTTATATTTCTAATATACCTTTGTTACTGTTATCACTAAAAAGGCGATGTTAAAGACATTTCTAATCCTTTATCTGATTTACTTTCTAAACTTCCATTTTGTCTTTTTTTGTTGTTGTTAAACACATTTTCCTCACTGATTTTTAACTTCTCAAATTCTTCTAGATTCCCCCCACAAATCCTATCTTTCAGTTCCCTATTTTTCCATCTAGTATTCTTTCCTGGGATTTCTGTAACACATTATCCCTTAACATATGGGCATTATCAGTGTATGATAATTCCCAGTTAGGCAATTAATTATTGTGTTTACTCTTACAGTCATTTCTTTAGTATCTCTAGTGGTAATCAGGTCTCATTTGTGCTTTTTTTTCCCCCTATGGCAGAACTGTGGCATTTAAGTTTTTCTCTCTCTTCTATTAGGCATGTCATAGCTCTGTAAAATGAGTAAATAACCTGACAACCAAACTTAAATACTAGCTCCTAATTCTAAGTTGAGACGATAGCCTGTTGAAAAACTGCTTTGTTGATGTAGTTAGGGATTCCCTAGATAAGGGATCAGCACATTTTTCTGGAAAGTACCAGATAGTATTTTAGGGTTTTGCAGATCATTATGATCTTTGTAATGGGTCCAATTATACAGTTAGATAGAAGTAAGACCTAGTGTTCATAGATCAGTAGAGTGACTATAGTTTACAATAATCTGTTGTACATTTCAAAATAGCTAGAAAGGAATAATTTAAAGGTTTCTAACATAAAGAAAAGACAAGTATTTATGGTGATAGATATCCTCATTGCACTGATTTGATCTTTACAAATTATTTGAATGCACTAGATTATCACATCTACCACAAAAGTATGTACAACTGTTGTGTATCAATAAAACAAGCAAACACATACTCATCTCTGCCATTATAGTACAAAAGCAGCCATAGACAATAGAGTGCGCATGACTGCGTTCCAATAAGCATCTGGCTGGATTTAGCCCTTGAGCCACAGTTTGCCAGCCCCTGTCCTAGATGAAAAAAACAAATACAATGACTATAGCAGAGCAGCAATATTTGACTATGTTGAAAGGTGTTTACTTGTGGCTGGGCATTTATCACTTAGGTGTAAGTTAAATTCATAATAAATAAACAATTAAAGACTGTTCCAGCAATCCTTTCTCCCCACTTCCCTAGCTTTTCACACACCCTGGCACTACATTATCCTCAACTGTTGCCTGTTGTGATCAGAGATTTTATGTCTCCTGTGATGATTGTGAAAGAAAGGGGTTACTTTGCATTATATAAATTTGTTCCCTTCGCACAGTCTCCTAATTTTTTTGTGAATTAGATTGTAGAGTTACAAAGTTCATGCCAGCATTGGAAATAAGAAACATTAATTATTTATGATACTATTCCTTGGGAGAGCAGTAAACAACTACTGTTCAATTCTGCTCTTACTCCTCCTATTTCAACATAACTCATCTACATCTTTGTGGATGTTGATCCACAAGAGTAGATCTCCCATCTTTTCCACCAAAATGAAACTGTAACTATGAGGGCCAGGGATGGGAAAGCCTAGTAAAAGAGCAGACAGCTGAATAGTGAATGACAATTTGCTTTGCTGTTCACTTTGCTTCTTTCTCCTATGATATTTGTTTACTAATAATTTACCTCAATGGAAAGGAAGATCCCAGGGTCTATTCTATTCTCTCCTCTCTTCTTATCATTTGGAATTGTGCTGTCTAAATCTTATTTACTTTACCATAAAGGAAGCAAACAAACAAAACAAAGGTGCATTGTAAATGTGCAGACCTGTATCCTGTCCCTAAGGAAAGTTAATTAATTCCCCTGCCTTTAATTAACCAAGCTTTATTGTTTTCTGCTCTGTACAATGAGCAGTTAACTCACACATGTATACCCTGTATCACACAGATAGGAGTAAGATAGATATTTACATATTCATGGATTTAAGGAATGTTGAAATAACCTTTAAAGTCAACATCATTGAGGACTGTCACTCTCTTCTCCCATATTGTATCTCCTGGTGCCGCTATTAGAGACAGAATACTGGGCTAGAGATGCTTCATTTGACCCTGTTTATTTCTCATGTGCTGATGGAACTGCTGCTGCTTTGTTGCTTACTCCTCAGTCTGTCTAGCTATAATACTTCTCTTTAGTCTCATTGTCAGTTGAAAGTTGGCTTCGTGATGACTAGAACTGAGTTCAGCAGGGTGAATACTTATATCTCCTTTCTCCTAAACCACACAACTTTCTGCCTCTGTTGTGGATAACTCCATTTTTCCAGCTTCCCAAGCATATAATTGTGTTTAATATTACGTACTTACCTTATTCATTCAGACTATTTCTAACTCTGATACATTTGTCTTTGTAGTCAATTACTAGCATAATTCTCTTCAGACCCAAATCAGAAACTCTTTATTCATATAATATTATTATATAATGGTGGCTTCCACTACTGTAGCCATTTTTTTAAAAGAATTTCTTGTTTATCATTCTCTTTTATGTTATGGTAAACTTCTGTAACTAAAATTATATTCAAAGCCCCATATTGTTTTGATGTATTTAAAAGCAGATTGTATATAGCATCTCCTAATTTGTTTAGACTTAAACTCTCTTTAGGAACTTATGTGCAGAGTCAACACATTTTTTTTTTTCTTTTTTTTTTGAGATGATGTCTTGCTCTGTTGCCCAGGCTGGAGTGCAGTGGCACAATCTCGGCTCATTGCAACCTCTGCCTCCCGGGTTCAAGCAATTCTCCTGCCTCGGCCTCCTGAGTAGCTGGGATTACAGGCGTGCACCACCACGCCTGGTTAATGTTTTTGTATTTTTAATAGAGACGGGATTTCATCATGTTGGCCAGGCTGGTCTCGAACTCCCGACCTCAAGTGATTCACCTGCCCTGGCCTCCCAAAGTACTGGGATTATAAGTGTGAGCCACTGAGCTCAGCCTTATTTTTTTTTTTTCTAGGCATGTACCATTTATAATATTACTCCTAAATTTACTCTCATTCTGACCTTCAATAATTATTGTGTTGCATTGATTCCATCTTCATTTGTTGTATATCCTTCTTCACAATCAGCCATCCTGTATTCAACTGTAACTTCAGTGTGTATAAAGAATAATTGAGTGGTGGCTCACGCCCGTAATCCCAGCACTTTGGGAGGCCGAGGCGGGCAGATCATGAGGTCAGGAGATCCAGACCATCCTGGCTAAGACGGTGAAACCCCGTCTCTACTAAAAATACAAAAAATTAGCTGGGTGTGGTGGCGGGCACCTGCATTCCCAGCTACTTGGGAGGCTGAGGCAGGAGAATGGCGTGAACCCAGAAGACAGTGCTTGCAATGAGCCGAGATCATGCCGCTGCACTCCAGCCTGGGTGACAGAGCGAGATTCTGTCTCAAAAAAAAAAAAAGAATGATTGAGATAAATCGTGTCCTTGCCAGTGATAGTAAAGATTAAATAAATGTGACGATAGTGCTAAGATAGCATATGATTAGATATCATTTTTGATTGATTATAAGATAACAATACAGTATTTTAAGGATTAAAGGATTTTAAATGGAATTCTAATGTCATTTGTATCAAACTTATTATTCAGATTATAGTAAAAACACCAACTAATGGGAATAGATTCATATGTGAATTTAAGCAAATGAGAGTATAAACTAGCATAAAGTTGAATATAGCATGAAAAAGTGATCATTGGTTGCTATCTTCATATTTCTTACAAAACAACTAAGAGGACATTTATTTTAAGGTCATAGTTTTAAGTTTCAGATGATAAAACTAATTGAAAGGTATTGAAGTTTGCTAATGGAATTTTGTTCTTGGTAGGCTCACAATTCATATGGATGAAGAACTGCGTGCTCTGGCTTTCAATACTCTGCAGGCACTAATGCTTGATTTTCCAGATTGGCGGGAGGATGTTCTTTCAGGATTTGTTTATTTTATTGTTCGTGAAGTGACTGATGTCCATCCCACACTTCTTGATAATGCCGTAAAGATGTTGGTACAATTAATAAATCAGTGGAAACAAGCAGCCCAAATGCATAATAAAAACCAGGACACTCAGGTACCAGATTCTTTTCTATTGTCCTTTTGTATGTGGTCAGTGCTAAATGACCAATAATGGTTTTAATACAGATTTACTTTATCAAACACTAAAAGTATTATTAGTTCTATTCACTCTCAATGTGTTCCTAATCCCTTAAACTGAACTTTCCCATAGTTCCTGTAGTGAATATATAGTGTTTATGTGTCTAACTTTTCTAATCTTCTTCTTTGGGTTTTTAATGAGCATAGAAATTAGAGATAATTCCAGCTCACTTTTAGGTTGTTTCCAATATATTTAAAGCCAGTACAATAAATTTTTGGTAGTCTTCCATTTGGGTTATTTGATTGTTTTATCCATGTCACCAGTCCCTGTTTCACATAGACAGTAACTGTGCTCCTTAACCATAAAAGATGCTCAAATCATTGATTTATGATAATGTGTAAATCATAGAACCTTGAAATTTTAGACCCGAGCCATTGAAGCCACCCTAGCTTCTCAACCTTTAATGAGCATGCAAATCAACAGGGCCCTAAGAAAGAGTTTCAGGAGTTTCTTAGAAGCTCTCAGGTATTGCCAGGCTGCTGGTCCACACTCTGAGTGTGAAAGATACACTACAATCCCCTCATTTTCCACATAGAAATCAGATGAAGAGCAACTGTCAGTTCCAAGGTTACAAAATAGTCAGAGAATGGTAGAAGTTAGGTACAGAATTCATATTTAGACTGCCAGTGAAATGTTTTCACTGTGCACACTATTCCATTTTTATAAAATACATGCGATTTACATTGCTTGAGCTGAGGCAGACCGGTAGTCATAATCACTATGATTTGCTTTATTTTTTATTAACTGTTTTTCGGAAATGTCTGTGCATATATTTTTATATTTTGTTTTTAACTTCTGTTTTTCAAGCATGGTGTAGCTAATGGAGCTTCTCATCCCCCTCCTCTGGAAAGGAGCCCATATTCCAATGTATTCCATGTGGTTGAAGGCTTTGCGCTTGTCATTCTCTGTAGCAGTCGACCTGCCACTAGGAGACTAGCCGTCAGTGTCCTTAGAGAAATACGGGCTTTATTTGCACTTCTGGAAATACCTAAGGTAAGATTTAGGTATTTCATTCAGTTATCTATTGAAAGTACTTAAAAACCATCTCTTTGTCCATCCTTATCCCATGTAGGTAGGTTACTACCATGGGTCTAAACTAACCTACCGTTCTCAATTGGGAGGCCGAGTCGGGCGGATCACGAGATCAGGAGATCGAGACCATCCTGGCTAACACGGTGGTCTCTACTAAAAATATAAAAAAAAAATTAGCCGGGCGTGGTGGCGGGCGCCTGTAGTCCAGCTACTCGGGAGGCTGAGGAGAATGGCGTGAACCCAGGAGGCGGAGTTTGCAGTGAGCCGAGATGGCGCTGCTGCACTCCAGCCTGGGTGACAGAGCGAGACTCCGTCTCAAAAAAAAAAAAAAAAAAATAGTGCTGAAGTGAATTTTTAGTGTTTACTTGGGTTTGGCTACTTTGCTTAAACATTCCTAATTTTTTTAGACATATGATGTCTTTTTTACAGGGTGATGATGAATTAGCCATAGATGTGATGGACAGGCTAAGCCCATCCATTCTTGAGAGCTTCATACATCTCACTGGGGCTGATCAGGTAACTATAGTGACTTCATTCTACCCAATCTTGTTTTGAGACTTATGACAGACACATATGTATACATGTACATGTGCATACATAAAATAACTTCCTTAACAAATGTAATGAGTTAGAAAGTATTTTTGAAAAGTAGAAAATGCTTAAGAGTAGTACTTAAAAAGTGACATTCATTTATACTTGGTTAAGTACTCTTCTACATAGAAATAAAAATTATTTTATGTTTGTAAAATTCTCATCCTTCCAATCTAAGAAGTTTCTGTTAAATGGAATCTTTATGCTACCGTTTGCTCTTTATTATGGCATATAATATTCGTGAGATAGAAATACTTGTGAAAATGCTACGGGAAAAAAATGGTGATACTCAAAGCAAAAACTTACACCCTGCTTTTTTGGCAACTGTTTTTTGTGTATCACATAAGTTTAAGTATAGTGGATTAAGTACATAGTGTTTTATACCAATGTCATATGTAATTTGACTCATTAAAATGGAGAGAAACACTTTGTCCACAAACATATTACTAACAAAGTTTATGCAAACTTTCTTGCTTGGTCTTGGTTGGGTAAAAGGTCATATATTAAGATTCCAAAGTTGATGTAAGAATAGCTATAAAACCTTACTATTTAAAAATATTTCCTCCTATTTTAGAATACATGGTCAAGAGGTTAATGCATAACATTAAGAGCTTGCGGCATAACACCTGATTCTTATAATTCATGAGTTATATGTAGCCAAGGGAGGTAATAAGGTTTTATAAGCCTAAGAGATTATTAGAAATCTGTACAATTCCCCCCCGCCATGATGCTACCATGATGCTAAACTTTTTAAAAAACTAATTTTTAATTTTTATTTATTTTTAAATAGATACAATTGTACATATTTATGCGGTGCAATTTGATGTTTCCATACATGTCTATATTGTATAATGACCCAATCAGGGTAGTTAGTGTATCCATCATCTCATGTGTTTATCATTTATTTGTGGTAAGAACCTTTAAAAGCCTCTCTTCTAGTTATTTTATGAAAGGATCTATACAATTCAAAACATTTTGTTTTAGATATTAACCATAAATTATGAATTATTCCAAAAAGAGAGTAATGGATGACTTGTTTCTTGTGCCTAAAGCAGTGCTTAATATACTTTTCTTTGAACATAAATGTTTATCTCTTCAGTATAAGAGTTCAAATATTGAACAAGTATTTAAGAATATATACCTCTGGAGAAGAGCTCATTTTTGAGTCTGTTCCACACATACATAGATACAGGTCAACATGAAAGTTAATGGTTCACTCTTTAGTTCTCTGGCAGCTTTTGGTATACGATGAAATTTGGATATTTATTTAAGAATTACTTAAATAGTGGTCCTGAACTTCTTTGGTTTATAGTCCTCTTGAGAATAATGAAAACAGTGGAATCCCTCTCCAAAAAAAAGACATGTATGCACATACAGAAACTTTACATGCAGTTTCAGGAATTCTCTACTCCCTTCAACCTACCATGGACTTTATATTATCTTGTTTTAGAAACTACTAATACACCACTTTCAGTTTAAAGCAATTTATATGGTAAAATTTCAAAGTTATTGAAATGTGTAATAATCAATTTTTTCCTCTCCATATAGACTACTTTGCTCTATTGCCCTAGCTCGATAGATTTACAAACTTTAGCAGAATGGAACTCTTCTCCTATTAGCCACCAGTTTGATGTGATTAGTCCATCACATATATGGATATTTGCACATGTGACCCAAGGCCAAGACCCATGGATTATAAGTCTCTCCAGTTTTTTAAAGCAAGAAAATCTTCCTAAACACTGCTCTACAGCTGTGAGCTATGCTTGGATGTTTGCATACACAAGACTTCAGTTGTTGTCCCCTCAGGTCGATATAAAGTAAGTTATTTTCCTAGTGTAAATTTAAAAATGTATAGACTGTCAGCTTTCATATGTATTTATTTGAAAAATTCAAAAGTATTACAGATTGGAAGGCCCATAAATAATATGTGATACTGCATTGATGTCTTAAGGAGGGAGAAGAATGTTGTCAAGGACATAGTCTCATAACTTCTTCATCCTTTTCATGTAATACAGTCTCACCAAATTTTAATTATTAATTTACTTAATAACACTGTACTTGGTACATAGTTGTGTCCATCGAATCTGTGTTAAGGGAAAAAATTGGGAAAGAATCTAAGGATGAGTATGGATGTAGACACAGAAGTTTGTAGATAAAGGGTGAGAAGCAGAGCGAAACTCAGCTCAGTGGCCTTACTTTTCCCGATGACAGTGTAAGGAAGGCCACCTTCTGGTGGGGAGTGGTAATAACACACTGAGTAGGAGATTTGAGGATGTTGGTAAAGATTTGGAATAACTGATGATGAAATGGAGAGTTGACCAAGGTCATTATAAATTTCAGTTAGTTTTTGTTTTGTTTTGTTTTTTTGCTCTTAAATACAGAGGAGAATTTTTGAATCTGGGTTTGGGTTCCTGATTTCTCCTTACAGAGTACACCACTGATCACATTGAATGGAATGAGTCCTCTCAGCATATAACTTGCCCATGTAAACCCAGCATCTGGATTGACCTATCACTGGAGGCCTACATTAAAGGCTCTTCAAACCTGACTTCACTCTGTACCTTTTTTCTTACTTTCTATCAATACTTTCAAAGTTGGAACCAAATTATCCCCTCAGAGTTCATTAAGTGTGGTTGATAGTTTCCATTTTGTGAGCTTTTGTTCACATGAGCGTAGGATACCTTTTTTTTTTTAATTTTTGCATATCCGTATCTAATATAGTTCAAATTCAATCTTATTTTTTAAAATCTCTTAAACTTCCTACCCAGAGTAGTCCTTCTTACTTTTGGATTTGAATATATATATATGTATATATATTTCTACATATACATGCTAATTGTATATATATGTTCTCAGGTATTGTGTATTGGATTTCTTTTTTGTTTTGTGTTTTGTTTTTTGTTTTTTTTTTAAAGAGGCAGGGTCTCACTCTGTCACTTAGGCTGGAATGCAGAGGTGTAATCATAGCTCATTGCAATGTCGAACTTCTGGGCTCAAGCAGTCCTCCCACTTCAGCCTCCCAAAGTGCTGGGATTATAGCTATGAGCCACCACACCTGGTCTGGATGTTACTTTTTAAATAAAGATTGACATTTGCCACCTTGCATACCATTTATGACCTTAAGTAGCCTTCCCTAATTACCATATTTTAAATTATAACCCCATATCCTACCAGCATTCTTTATCTCCCTTTTCTGCTCTATTTTTCTTCATCAAACTTAGCACCATCTGACATTGTTTTATTTATTTCTTTATTGTATGTCTCCCATGGCCTGCATGAGGGCAGTGATTTTTTTGACAGTTTTTTTGACTGATACGTTACCAGTGCTTAGATCGTTTTCTAACATACTAGGACATTGTTCTATGATGCTCTTGCTGAATTAACAAAGTGATGTGTTTGCATTACTTACCTTAACATATTACAAAACTAGTTGAAGGCAAGGATTATATATTTGTATTTTTCCTCTTTCGTTTTGCTCTCAGTTCTTAATTCTAACATAATTTCGGTATTTGGAAAGATTTATGGAATTGTTTCAAAATATTTTATTGATGTAATCTTTCAAGACAGAAATTTGGCAGAAGCCTTGAAAATATGTATCTTCTTTGACTCTGTGATTTCATTTTCAAGAATTACCTAAGAAAATAATTAACCATATATTCAAATGTATAGTATTGTGTATAATAGGGAAAAATTGCTATTAGCTAAAATGTCAAACAACAAAACTTTGGTTATATAAAATATGATACTTTATATTGATATAGCATATAGTTAATCAAAATAATGTCACAGAAGTATATTAATTTACATAGAGAGGTGAAAAATACGTAAGTCTAAAAGGTAGATACAAAATAAAATAAACATTTAATTCGTATAAATTAAAAGAGATGTATTCATGCACTTATAGTTCATGTATATGAATTAAAGATATATAGAATATGCAGTGTTTATTTTCATGTGGGATTAAAGGTGATTTTGATTTTGTTTTCTTTCTACATTGAGTATGCATAGTAAGTTATAAAATATGGCCCAATAAAATATTAACTTTTATCACAGGAGTAATAATGTTAAAATGATCTGGTAACATATTTTAATTTTTAATCCATTACTTTATTCATTGATATCAGTCCACAAAAACAGTACTAGTAATAAAAACCTTATGCTAACCATCTCTCTAATTAGCATTAGGCCAGGCATGGTGGCTCACCCCTGTAATCCCAGCACTTTGGAAAGCCAAGGCAGGTAGATCATCTGAGCTCAGGAGTTAGAGACCATCCTGGGCAACATGACGAAACCTCATCTCTACCAAAAATACAAAACATTTGCTGGGCGTGATGGCACACACCTGTAGTCCCAGCTACTCTGGAGGCTGAGGTGGGAGGATCACTTGAGCCTGAGAGGTGGGGAGGTTGCAGTGAGCCAAGATTATGCCAGTTGCACTCCGGCCTGGGTGACAGAGTGACACTCTGTCTCAAAAAAAAAAAAAAAGAAATTTAGCATTAGTTAAAATAAACTTTTAAAAACGTGTTGTGTTATTCATATCTGCCTATTTTTCTTTTTTTTTCCTTAGTAGCCCCATCAATGCTAAGAAAGTAAATACCACCACAAGCAGTGACTCATACATTGGCCTGTGGAGAAACTATCTGATCCTTTGCTGCAGTGCAGCAACATCGTCATCTTCCACATCTGCAGGTTCTGTGAGATGTTCTCCTCCTGAGACGCTGGCGTCTACCCCAGATAGCGGCTATAGCATTGATTCTAAAGTAAGTTTCTCAGATCCACTGTTGGATATATGAAATCTGAATGGCCCCATAAAAATAAGATTTTAAAATTTCTTTTTATGGACAATAAAGTAACTCAGTTGAAAATGTGTTACTTACTTGCAAAAAGGAAAATACCTCAAGAAAGCCCATCATTGCTTTTATGGATTCCTAGTTGGAATCAATAATACGTACATAGTTTTCCATTGGAAAGAAAGACCCGTGCTCATTCAGTTTATCATACTCAACATTTTTAAAGAAATTGTCATACCTATTTTCCCATATTCTAGTTTTTATAGTTCTCACACTTCTCAGAACCCAAAAGGAATCATTTAAATAATTAAACGCCTTTCTAGAATTTCCCTAAATTACGTAGTGATCTAAAGGGTACTTGATAAGAACAGTGGTTTAGTTTTCATGAAAATGACAAAACTTAAGACCAGCGTGTCTGACTTTAGCACTGATGACTATTTTAGAAGTCATTTTGTTTTCTTCATGTTCATGGACCAAAAGGTACAGAGTATCTGATGAAGGGAGTCAGCCTATTATATGATCATGAGTGTCTGTAAGAAATTAGGAGCCCCAAGTTCTGTTAATGAACTTGCATTAAGCCATTGGACAAGCTATTTAACCTTTTAAGTTATGTACACCCCAGGTGAAATTTGAGGTATCATTCATAGTAAAGTTTCACCTGTCCATTTATCCTTGACATAAGACTACTGAAATCTCAGATTATCTAATTGGACATAGTATCATTAGTGGCTGTTACAAATACGATATTTTTTTTCCAGATTATTGGCATCCCATCCCCTTCATCCTTGTTTAAGCACATAGTTCCAATGATGCGTTCTGAGAGCATGGAAATCACAGAATCCCTTGTTCTAGGTCTTGGCAGGACCAACCCAGGAGCTTTTAGGTAACTATGTTCGTACATTTTTTCTATGTCCTAAAAGAATAAATGTGCTACTTAGAAGGTGTGGTAGGGTCCTTAGAAGGTGTGGTAGGGTCAAGCAGAGTGCTTGACCGCATACCAGGCCTGACTTTCACCAATTAACTAGCCATGTAACATTTAACATGGATTAACATTAAAATCCAAACATTAACATTTATTGGAAGCTTTATTTCCTCATTTTGATTGAGCAGATTAAAACTTACCTATATGTTCTAGAAATAATGAAATGCCATATAAATATTTAATATTTTACTACTATATTTATTTATGTAGTCATTCTTTTAATGTGTAATCTTGCTCTAGTAGTTAAAACTCCAGTTTTCCCCCTTCTTATCCAAGAGAATTAGAGTATCTTTCAAAAAGTATTTACATAGATGTTTGATATCATTCGTGATGTTTTTTATATTAATGAAGCAAATTCTTCAGTTTTGCCTGAAGTTCTGCCTTGTCTCCTGGGCACAGAATTTATTCTTTTGAGAATTTCCTCAATTAATATGAGAATGGTATCTGATGTTTTGTCTCCAAGATAGCCTATACAACCAGGGAATAGGTTAATACTCTGGTTTCGCTTCAGATTGTATAAATCTTTTGCCTTTTGCTAAAGATTTCCATAGAGAGGAACATTTAAATAAAAATAAGTAAAAAAGAATAGGTTAATAAATTGTAATATATCTATAGGTATGGGATAGCATTTCTTATAAATGAAGTTTTGGAAAAAGATTTTAAGACAGATAAAGACACTTTTCTGCTAATTGAAAAAAATAGGATTTAAAAGTGATCTCAACTTAAAATAATTAAATTCTCATAATTAGAAACAATTCAGAGACACTTTTAAAGGTCAGCAGTTTTCGATACATGATTAAATTGTGGATGATTTTTTTCTTCTTATGTTTTTTCAGATTTTCCCAATCTTAAAATAAGCACATTTTCAATTTAAAATCAAAATATAAATAAAGAGAAATTTATCATTTTTACAAAGTTCATACCCTTTGACCCATTAATTTAATTTGTAAAATTAATCCTAAGGGGATAGAAACGAAAACAGTGAAAAATGTACAAAGTTGTTCACAGAGGCAATATTTTTAGTAAGAGAAAATTAGATAAAATAAAATGATTCATTAATAAATGAAAATGTCTAGGAAAATTATGGTACCCCACCCTATGTTCGAATATCATGAATTAATTATTGGCATATAAAATTAACTATGTTAGTGTAAGAAAAGAAAAATAGGCCAGGCGCGGTGGCTCACACCTGTAATCCCAACACTTTGGGAGGCTGAGGCGGGCAAATCGCCTGAGGTCGGGAGTTTGAGACCAGCCTGACCAACATGGAGAAACCCTGTTTCTACTAAAAATACAAAAAATTAGCCAGGCATAGTGGTGCATGCCTGTAATCCCAGCTACTCAGGAGGCTGAGGCAGGAGAATCACTTGAATCCGGGAGGCGTAAGTTGCAGTGAGCCGAGATCACGCCATTGCACTCCAGCCTGGGCAACAAGAGCGAAACTCCATCTCAAAAAATAAAAAAGGATACCATTTTATATAAAACAGTTTCAACTAAGTAAAACGTATGTGGATTGCAAACTGATTGAATAAAAATATTGGTAGTATTCCCTCTATAAATTAAAATAAGAGGCCTATACCATTTTTTTTCTGGTTTCCAAATAGTCTATAATATAATGTGTTATTTTATAAACCAAATAAAAAAATAGACATTGTGTTTAAAACAGTAGGATTGGAATTAACACTTGTCAGTTTACATCATGTTTTTACATATTTACCTGTGTCAGATTATATCTGTGTAGCTATTAATAGAATATGTACCATTTTTCTTCCAGGGAACTAATAGAGGAATTACATCCCATAATTAAAGAAGCACTCGAAAGAAGGCCAGAGGTGAGCTGTGTTCTGCAGCCTTGTATTAGTGAACATTCATTTTTCTGCCATATTTACATGTTATATCAAAAGTTAGAAATTACGAAGACTATCTAGTGTATTCTTCTTTTTAAGATGCAGACACTTCCCCTCCCCGCAGAAGATCTTATGCAGAAACCCATTATGTAAAACGGATGAAAAATTGCTTTAACTTAAGTGAGGGCAGAAAATAGGGTCTAGAATGGAGTTGGCAAACTTTTTCTGCAAAGGACCGGATGGTAAATATTTTCGGCTTTACAGGCCATACTGTCTCTACTCAGCCCTGCCTTTGTAGCATGAAAGCGTTCGTAAACTACATAAAAAAAGGAGTGTGGCTGTTTGCCAGTAAAACAGTAAAAAATTTGCAGCGACAGGTAGCAGTGGGCCAGATTTGGCCCATGGGATGTAGTTTCACAAGACTGAGCCTAGATTCCCAAATCTACAGGTTCTGAGCAGCTTTCAGAAACTATAGGTCCAGTGGGACAGATGGTTATGAAAACCTTAATTCTAACAATTTATTACGCACTCAAGTAAAATCATAGAGAAGAGATTCTAAGAACTACAGAGAAGAAAGCCTGGGACTCTGGTTGCAGGGTAAGGAAGGCATTATAGATGAAGTGCTGATATTTCAGATGAATTTTGAAGCACGTTCCTCAGTGGACAAACAAGGGAAAAAGGTATTCTAGGCAAAGAACAGCATTTGCAAACTTTACAAAGAATTTTGAAATTGCAAATTTTTCTGTGTAGTTATATTATGGGGGAAGTGATTGAATATTAGGCTGGATAGCAAGATGAGAAATATCTCATGAAAAACTACTAGCTTTAGCTTTAACCAGTAGAACAGTAGTTCCTGTGCCTGTGGCATCTGAGAGTTACCTGGGGAGCTTGCTAAAAATTTTAGACTCCTGGGTCTATTGAATGAGAATCCCTGGAATAGGGTCCAGAAGTCTGTTTTTGTAAAGCATCTTAGATGAGTCTGCTGTAGAACATTGTTTGGGAATCAGTGCTGTTAATGTTGGGGATGCCCTGAGGAATTTAAGCAGGAGAGGGAGATGGTGATAATCCCTGCAGTTTAGGGACTTTGAAACATCATCTGCAATTCCTCATTCTCCTTTAATTCAGCACTGTAGGGTCATGATAGTATTCCTATTTTGTCATTGATTTGATTTTTGTTTCAGAATGATCAGTTTGGTTACAGTGCTGGATGACTTGTTAGAGAAATGTGAGATTGAAACAAAACAAAATAGCAGTATTTATTCTTCTGAATTTCAGAAGGAATGCTATTAAACACATGCAGTGATGTGCCTTGAATGTGAGTTATAGTTGAAGAGCTTTAGACTCACACTGTTTCTGTGAAGACAAAATGAAAACAGGCCAACCAAACTGCAAAAGCCAGTTGCAGAAATCTTCAAAGACTGATAAGAAATCATCCTGTTTCAAATGAATTGCTGTCAACTTTAGAAAGAGCCAAGAGAAAAGTAAATGTAATTGATTAGTCATTAGTAAATTATCATGCACCTGGAAGGCAGAAAAATTGGGTCATGGACAAGAAAGTGAAATTTCAACTAGTAAATATGGTTTTAATTTGCTCTGTAATATGAAAATTACATCACAAATGAAATAATGACCTATAGTAGAAGGTGATATAGGTGATTGATATCTCTTACATGACTTTCTGCTAGAAGCAGAATCACGTTGAAATGTTACAGCTATTATTCTGGGCATTATTCTAGTTCTTTGGACCTAGTAATACAAACATATTTATTCATATCATAATGAGTAAAGAAGTTTTTCTTGTATTTGTTTATATTTTTTGTGCCAAAATTGTTGTGTAGAAAACTGTGGCATGAGCAAAATCTTAAGTCCTTTTTAGGATTGTTTTCCCTATACTTCTGTCATATTTTTGGGAGGGTATTAGGGATTCCTTATAATTCCATGATAACAGTTTACTAATTGCTTCAATTCCAAAACTGTCTGATTAGCAAATAACCTAAAAATGTAGTATTTTACTTCCCCTGACACACAGGGGTTGTCACCATGTAAGATGTCATGTGACCTTATTTGACTCATTCATTTCAAACTGTTCACTCATACCTCTTTGAGGCAGTAGCTACCAGAGTACCCACAGTCTACACTGTACAAGCAAAATAACTTCAATGAGCCCAGAACCTCTCTCTGAGGCAGTCACATTATTCTTTCCAAGTTACACCAGCAGGATTTTAATTAATGTGTTTGTATCTTTGGAATAGAATATGAAACGGCGCAGGCGTCGAGACATTTTACGAGTACAACTGGTACGAATATTTGAACTGCTGGCAGATGCTGGTGTCATTAGTCACAGGTCAGTATTGGATTCACATTGTTAAAACTCTGGAATGATCCTAGAGAACGTAATCTCTTTTCGCTCATGAAATGTATAAAAACAGAAAAGCACCATTGCAACAAGAAAACCTGTATGTATCACTGTGAAAATTATTTAACAAATAAATATGCATTCGATACACTGACCAGTAGCTAAAAATGTATTGAAAAATCTACTACCAGAATTGGATTGCTTCTGGCAAAAAATGGATATAATGTTCCTATGATTTTGATATTTGTTGGAACCTAGTTATCTTGGCAAGTGGACAGTGGTAGCTTTTTCTGTCACAAAGGAAAAAAGATTTTCCTTTTTCTTACCTCATTTTAAAGATGTTTTTCTTCTGAGCTTGAAAAAATAATATATTCACAGGCTAAACATTGTAAAGCTTACAAATTTATTCAAATGAACTTGCTATCTATCCTGCCAGGGAAAATTATGAAATCTTACAAATATAATTCATAACTGTTTTCCACCATTCACAGATAAAACCATGAAACCTGGAGATATTGCCGCAGTAAAGGCATCTTCACACTAAGCCCAGCCCCTTGAGGAAAATTCCATCAGCTGAATGTTGAAAAATAACTATTTCCTTAGGAGGATAATGGTGTTACCTGACCGTTGAAGGAGAAATATAATAGATGTGACCATATCCAAAAAGGTCACTGAAAAGATATCTTAAGGAAAAAAAAATGGACTAGGTGCAGTGGCTCACGCCTGTAATCCCAGCATTTTGGGAGGCTGAGATGGGTGGATCACTTGAGCCCAGGGGTTGGAGACCAGCCTAGGCAACATAGCAAAATCCCATCTCTATAAAAAACGCAAACAATCAGCCAGGAATAGTGGCAGACACCAGTAGTCCCAGATACCTGGAAGGCTGAGGTGGAAGGATCACCTGAGCCCAGGACATTGAGGTTACAGTGAGCCTTGACCATGCCACTGCACTGCAGCCTGGGAAAAGAGCGAGACTTTGTCTTGAAACAAAAAGGAAAAAAAAGAAGTATTATTAATCCAACAAGTGTAGTAACTATGATAACTGCACAGCATTATTCCTTTAGCATTTCTCCCAATTATTTATTTTACCGAACACCTTTCATATGTAGCATTGAATGCTTTTGACAAATACTTTCAAAATAGATTTTTAATCAGAGTATTTAAACCATTGATTTACTTTTCTTTCTTAATAAAAAGCAAATAAAAAAAAGAAATATTGGCCGATGCAGTGGCTCACACCTGTAATCCCAGCACTTTGGGAGGCCAAGGAGGGCGGATCACCTGAGGTCAGACTATCCTGGCCAACATGGCGAAACCCCGTCTCTACCAAAAATACAAAAATTAGCTGGGCACGGTGATGCGTGCCTGTAGTCTCAGCTACTCGGGAGGCTGAGGCAGGAGAATCACTCAAACCCAGGAGGTGGAGGTTGCTGTGAGCCAAGATAGTGCCATTGCACTTCAGCCTGGGTGAGAAGAGTGAAACTCCGCCTCAAAAGAAAAAAAAAGAAAGAAAGAAATACTATTCTCTTTTCTTTCCTCCACAAAAAATAAGAGTTAAAGTTAGGAAAAGTGAAATTGAAACTTGTGGGCTTGATGCAAAAAATTAACAACCTGATACACATCTGAATCTTCTTTGGTTGCTTTAATTGTAGCATTCGTAGAAGAATCTTTGAATGGTTCTATTTTGGGGACTGCAAAATTTTGCTGTATTTAAAATTACCAAAAACTATATGACTATTAAGCAATAATGATTTTTGAACCCAGTTGTGTATTTTGTTTTGAAGTATTTTTTAAAGAGTTATTAATAGAAAGTTATTGCTATTCTGGATTTTTAAATTTTCATGGCTACGGAAAAAAATGAATTCTGAATGCCAAGAAGACAGGGAGCTTTGTTTTGTTCACCTAGTGGATTTCATGTGCCTGACACATAGAAGGTAATGAATATTTGTTAGATTAATGAAGATTTTATTCTGGTACAGGTTGTAGTCCACTAAATCAGTTTCCTATCCACTAGTAGGTCATGATCCAGAGCTTGAAAAACACTCATTTAAGGAATAAAGGAAAAAATTTGAAAAACACTTATTTAAGGAATAAAGGTCATACATTGATTCATTCAATACATATTTATTGTTGTAGACTGATCTAGTTAATATACTGTAGTACCATTGCCACTCCTAACTCTTGTTTTCATGGGTTTAGGGTATTTATTCCGAAGTTACTCATAACTAGTAAAAAAAAAATTACCTTTAAAATAATATATATTAGAAGTAATTTTCAAACATAATAAGAAAAAGCTGACCTAAACAAATGCATATGTAATAGCTAATCATTTATATAGCACTTATTGTTTACTAGGCCTTTTCGTATATAGCAGTTCATTTACATCCTTACTAAAACACTCTGGAGTAGATACTGGATATATGCTTAATGATTGGTGAAACAAGACAGGAATCCAGGACTTCTGACTCTAACCAAATACTCCATCAGTCAGTCAGTGGTTGCCAGGCGCAGACATAGATCCCTTGCCTCAAAGAAAACCTCATTGCAGATACATCTTTCTTCCTTGAGACAGGCTCTTGCTCTGTCACCAAGGCGGGAATGCAGTGACTAGATCACAGGTCTCCCAGGCTCAAACAATCCTCCCACTTTAGCCTCCCGAGTAGCTGGGACTACAGGCGTGCACCACCATGCCCGGCAAATTTTTGTATTTTTTGTAGAGATGGGGTTTCACCATGTTGCACAGGCTGGTGTCAATCTCTTGGACTCAGTGATCCACCCACCTTGGCTTCCCAAAGTGCTGGCATTACAGGTGTGAGCCACCGCGCCCAGCACATTGCAGATATTCTTAAAGGCAATTTCATAGGTATAGAAAGGTTTTGAAACCCAGTACTCTACCCTATTCTTACAAGAATTCTCTTAGATTTTTGCATCCCTGATAATACCTATCCCAGAATGTTACTAAGTGACTAATAGATATTTAATTATGCTGAAGGCACAATATGAATAGACATGGCAGCTATGAATAAATAGAACTAGTCTTTCCTCTTTCTACTTTTCTAAACTGATCCTCCCCATTTCATATGCCTCCTGTCTCTGTATTTAGAAATCTGTGTGTTTCACAGAGAGGAAACAACATTTAGCACTGAGTTGATTTAAGTTAGATATGGAGTTGAATAATATAAATTGCAATAGCAGTTCCTAGATTAAGAAGCACCATCTATTTTCATATTAAAGTAAGCAAAATCATATTCATTTAATTTTCATATATTAAGTTGCGTGCTGCCATGAGCATGCAAAATTAACATGTATTATTCTGATTTTGAGTATTAAGAATTTTTTATTTAAATCATAAAGTCCCATTTACTTCATCTTTTGTTTTCTTCAATATTTTCAGTGCAAGTGGTGGCCTTGATAATGAAACACATTTTCTCAACAACACTTTATTGGAATATGTAGATTTAACTAGACAACTCCTGGAAGCAGAAAATGAAAAAGACTCTGACACACTGAAGGATATACGATGCCATTTTAGTGCCTTAGTGGCGAATATTATTCAGAATGTTCCAGGTATTATTTTCAGTTTCTTAAAGCATTATTGAGTATTAAGGAACCGTCATATTTTTTCTTTCCTTGAGGTTTAATAATCTAAGTTGATAAAGTAACGTATGAACATACTGGAAAAATATGTCAGCATAACCTGGATGGCTGGAGTTTGTTTTCCCTTTGAATTATTGTCACTGATTAGAAATAAAAAAGCAACCCAGCATAGAATTTCAGTAATAATCAGGATACTGACACAAAAACCTGGAGAAATCAATAGAATAAGCTCTTTAGGATAGCCTTGTTTTAGATGCAATAAGCAGAGTGCAGTGTCTCATGATAATTGAGAATAAAATTAAGAAGATACTTTTGAATAATGGGAAAAGAGTATAGGCCATAAATACAAAATGTAACAAGGATACCGTGTTACTGATTTACCAGATATGTTCCAATTATTGAGTAGGGTCTATATCGACAGATACTGGTTTAGATACTAGGAAGATTAATATACACAATTACATTTTTAAAAGTTAAATTATTTACAACTGTAAGAAGTAATGTGACTAGCCTTTGGCATACACTATAAGTGTTTCTTTTTCTCTTTGAAAAATTAAAGTCACATTGTTATTTTGAATAGTATATACAGACAGTGGATACCTAAAGAACATGGGTTGTATTTTATAACAGGGTCATTAAGCACTTAATTACATATGTCAATTTCAACTGTAGGAGCCTTGTTTTCATCTTTGAAAGGAAAATGACACTGTCAAAGGAAAAGAGCATATTTTTTTCGAAATTTTCTGATCTGAAGCTCACTAATATAAAGATGTGGTTTAGTCTATTACTAAACACTTTTTTACAACTTCCACATTGGTTTATTGTGATACTGCTGAGTTTCTTCAAGAAGGATAGATGTAGAGAAATTATATAGTAGAATTTCAAAATGGGGGAAAAAAATCCTTGGAGATCATTTAAACCAGTGGTTTTCAAACTTTGGTGTTTCTCAAAGCCCTGAGGTTCTCTGATGCCATCCGCAGAAAGCAGCAGAATGTGTTTGGACACTAGGCCTGAACTGCCCTTTTATCTGTTTTATATACTGAGATTACATGTAAGCTTCCTTTAGCAGGAAAAGGCAGCTTTCCTGCTGAAAAAAAAAAATAGAAAGTTTGAAAACACGTATCTCGTCCAAAGCCCTTACTTACCAGTGAACCAAGATACAGAGGTGTGTCTGTGTTAAAATCTTGGCCAATCTTACCATATAGCCAGTGATAGCCCAGGGAGAAATGGACTCCTGGCCCCACCTCTGTGCCAGCCTTCATGTGCCATTGAGCCTGCCATGGAATTTCTGCTTGCAGAGATGCTCTATGTCATGTAATGCTGGGACAGGGTGACACAGACTGCAACTTTGTTTCTGTGATTTGCATATATATAAATGATCCCTGCTACCGCGGAGGTTTTTGATAGTTTAAAATGAAAACTTCTGCTTTCTTTTTTACACTATTACACATTCAATAACATGTTGGTATAAAAGTTAAAGCAAAAAGAAATGGAAATAAATGTTTTCTATCTTTTTTTATTCACAGTGCACCAGAGAAGAAGTATTTTTCCTCAACAGAGCCTTCGTCACAGTCTATTTATGCTGTTCAGTCACTGGGCAGGTCCTTTTAGCATCATGTTTACGCCCTTGGACAGATACAGTGATAGAAATATGCAAATTAATAGACATCAATACTGTGCGTTAAAGGTATTTACTTAGAAACCTGATTTCTTTTTTCTTAAGAGCAGAGTTAAGTATTTTTAAGTCTCTCAGTCACTAGTATTAAAAAGAGGATCTGAGAGTATTAAAATGTTTTTCTGCCATATTCAAAACTTATACCATAAGTTATATTTAAATACATAAAATACAATGAAAAACAGTTCCAGAATCTACTCAAATTTGATCACCATTATCTTAAAGAACTTAGGATTACTTGAAAGAAATGCCTTTTTTCCCTTACTTAATTACTTTTTCTTGGTCTTTTTATCTTCCCTTCCAGTACTGTTCAAACTCCATGTCTAATTTGGTATCATATTTACTTACTCATAATAAATTTCTCAGTTTTAAAAAATAATTTGTAAAGAAAAAAGATTAAAGTATTGTGACTAGATAAGTATTTTGCCTCTTCTCATTAAGCAACCAACATTTAACCTCTTAAATTTGTTAAATGTAATTCTAATATTATTATTTGAAGGCTATGTCTGCTGTACTGTGTTGTGGCCCTGTTGCAGATAATGTAGGACTTTCATCAGATGGCTATTTGTACAAATGGTTGGATAACATTTTGGATTCTCTGGACAAAAAGGTAATTATGACAATTTCCTTAAAGGTTCATAATAAGTTGTCATTGTATTATTTGCAGTTAATGTATGTTGCACTAAAAACAAGTCTTTTAAAAAAATAAGATAGGTTAGGATCATATGCAAAAAGCATATTATATAAAGTTAAATAGGATCCCATAATGTAAAAACGTTCCAATTCTTATGTATCATTAATTTGAATAATTTTCATTTCCCTTTTTATATTATAGGATTAATACAGTGGTATGTGTCTCTCAACAGGGTTCTAAGTCAATAAATAAAATACCAGCATAGAACATATTGAGCTGCATGGGAAAAATATGTTATTTGCTATGTTTCATTTCGTTTTTTTAACCACTTTCCATTTAATCATTCCTCCTTGCCCTCCACACTCTGCCTTCCTTACTCTCATATTGTACATATACAGACTTCACAATTTAAAATAGGACTTACATTTTTTCCCCTCAGAACAGTTTTTCTATTGGGTTATCAAAAACAAGAATAAAGCTTGATAAAAATAATTGGAGAGGTTAATGACTCATTTTTCTGAAAGCACCTAATCACTATTCATATTCATTAACTGCCTTCAGGGCTCTGTTGGAAGACAAAATCATACTAGAGAGGCTCGCGTAAAAAGCGAGAGGCCAAATTCAGTTCATCTGTGTGGTTTTTTCTGCTGGCTGAATAAAATGAGAGGGAGGTGAACAAAAGGAGATGGAATTTTTCTATTAATTACAATGAATATATGCACTATATTACTTTAGTAAGAACTATAGGGAAATAGACAAAAAATATATAACGTTCTCTCTCGGGCAATTTCACAACCTTTACCTAGGTTCACCAGCTGGGCTGTGAAGCAGTTACGTTGTTACTGGAGCTGAACCCTGATCAGAGCAACCTGATGTACTGGGCTGTGGACCGCTGCTACACGGGCTCCGGGAGGGTGGCGGCCGGCTGCTTTAAAGCCATTGCTAATGTTTTCCAGAACAGGTACTTTAGATACAGGTTTTTTGTTTCATTTTGTTCTGTTTTCTTAAAGAAAAGTTTTTCTTTTGAATTCAAAAATAGGAAGACACCAGTTTAGTTGTCCTTCAGTATCTGTGGGGGATTGGTTCCAGGACCCCTCTCAGATCCCAAAATCCATGGATGCTCTAGCCTTCTATATAAAATGCTGTAGTATTTGTATTTACTCTATGCAAATCCTCCCGTATACTCCTTTTTTTTTTTTTTTAGACATGGTCTCGCTGTCACCCAGGCTAGAGTGCAGTGGCATGATCATAGTTCACTGTAACCTCAAACTCCTAGGCTCAAGTGATCCTCCCACCTCAACCTCCCGAGTAGCCAGGACTGTAGGCTCCCACTACCATGCCTGGCTAATTTTTAAATTCTTTGTAGCGACGAGGTCTCACTACGTATGTTGCCCAGGATGGTCTTGAACTCCTGGCCTCTCACTTTGGCTTCCCAAAGTGCTGGGATTTCAGGCATGACCTGCCGCGCTTGGCCTTTCCCTCATATTTTTGATCCACAGAGGGTTGACTGTATTTTCTTTTCTTAAGCTCAAATGCAGCCGTGTCTAACCCTTTGAATGTGAGGACCTTTTTGCTTATCTGTGGTGGTGGATATTACAAAAATTATGCATGGATTTTTTTTTTTTTTTTAGTTCATCAGCTGTTTTTAGTGTATTTTATGTGTGACACAAGACAATTCTTCTGATATGGCCCAGGGAAGCCAAAAGGTTGAACACGTGTGCTCTAATGGAATTTAACCAAAATAAGGACAATTATCACCATGCATCTGTTGTTGTACCTATTGCCTTGAAAAAACCAAGTCTCCTCATAGGCTTAGAAGATAGATGCCTATAAGCCTTGCCCTTTGCATATCATATTTATTAAATGGTGCAAAAGCCTCTAAACATTGTTATTTACTTAATATGTAAAATTTATTCCTAGGGATTATCAATGTGACACAGTGATGCTTCTAAATCTGATACTGTTTAAAGCAGCTGATTCTTCTAGAAGTATCTATGAAGTTGCTATGCAACTTTTACAGGTTTGTAAACATGTGAATTTAAATATTTTTTTACTCAGGATTTAATGAAGCCCAATAATTTAGTCTTGCTATTAAAGCATACTGATAATAGTATTTAGCTTTATTTATAGTAAAGAAGTTATGGTATCAAGGCCTAATTATTATTAGAAGTATAAGACAAAGATAATATAGATATTTAAATTTATAAGTAATGCAGACTATTCCTAAGTGTATTGTAGAAGGATTATTTATGATAATGTGTGTGTATGTGTATGAAGGTACTTATAAATATGTGTCCATGTAAGTATTTCTGTTCAGCAGATGAGAACAATGTGTGTCCAAATTTTTTTGGAGAGCCATGTGAAAAATAATTAGCTCTTTTTATCATATTCTCATGTAAATTTTCTTTATTAGGTTGAGGAGAAATAACTTAGAAAGTTAACTTACCAAACACGGATATATTGTTAGTATGCAATACTTAACTAATTCATAATAGGGCAAGATTCTTCCATCTTAACCAAGGGCTAAGAATAGGATTCAAGTAGGTGCTTTTTCCAAAGGCTCTGAAGTGGTTCTGATGCCAGTAGATCCATCTTAGGAATTATACCCTAATGCCTTTGTTAATTAAGAGGAAAGTTCAGCAGTACAGCTCTTTAAATAGTGTAATGTCGAAAGGTCCTCCTTGAAGGGTTTTTTTTTTTCACTTATGCATATATTGTACTACCATATTTTTGTGCGAGAAAAGTGGTAAATCTTTTTCAAGTAATCGTATATTAAGTTGCTGGAGTTATTTTCAGACTGTGTTACTAACCTGGATCATTGGCATTAAATACGAGGAATGTAAATTCTTTTAGTGAGAAAGAGTTTTTGTTTGTTTTGTTTCATTTTGTTTTTGAGATAGGGTCTCACTCTGTCACCCAGGCTAGAGTACAGTGGCACAGTCATGGCTCACTGCTGCCTCTACCTCCTGAGCTCAAGTGACCCTCCACCCTCAGCCTCCTGAGTAGCTGGGACCACAGGCACACACCACCACATCTGGCTAATTTTTTAATTTTTTTGTAGAGATGAGGTCCTGCTATGTTGGCCAGGCTAGTCTGGAACTCCTGGCCTCAAGTGATCCTCCCACCTCTGCCTTCCAAAGTATTGAGATTACAGGCATAAGCCACTCCACTCAGCTGGGGAGAAGAGTTTTTTTAAAAATTATAAAATTATAGTTAAACTTTAGAGAACCCATAAAATCTTAACCTAAGTTGATGGAATCACATTCCTATAGATTCTGGAACCGAAGATGTTTCGCTATGCTCACAAATTGGAGGTTCAGAGAACAGATGGAGTACTCAGCCAGCTGTCTCCTCTACCACATCTCTATTCTGTTTCATATTATCAGTTGTCCGAGGAACTAGCAAGGGCGTATCCTGAGCTAACTCTCGCCATATTCTCAGGTATGATCAATGAACTGGTTAGTAGTTTCTATTTGTCAATCATTTCTTCAGAAACAATTTTTAGAAAATTATAAATTTATTAAATTACAGGTTAAATCAAAACCAGACATGTCTTTACATAGGAAATATTTTTTTCTTCAATAAGAACTCTTAATTCTGATCAGTCACAATATTTAGGTTTTTCTATCAACGGCGTCCTTATAGGGTTTTATACCTGACCTTCCCTTCGCTCCCTACTCCATCAAAAAGAAAAAAATACAAGAGGGACGACTTTTCACATGTGACTTAAAAGTATTTCTTAGTAGACATAGGACTTCTTGAATACATTGTATTTTGTGTATTGGCATATGTTTAATAATAAAAATAGGCAGGGATAAAGTTATAGGCAGTTTTCCGTGAGCGAAACCCCTAACCATAGGAGCAGGTGGTACAGTGCCTCGAGCAAAACTCTTTCTAGTCTCCCACATGTTGCTTGTCGCCTACATCAAGATCTTGTTCCAGTGTAAGTACTGGCCATGCTCCAACACTGGGATCTGGGAGATTGCAGAGTTCTGCTGTGGGTCCTTTATTTCATTTGGGCTCAAGAGATAGTGGACTTAGCTGGCTTGGGATCTTTGCACAGCACCTATTTTAGCAATAGAAATAGTTTATTTCCCATCCCTAATTGACCTGAGTGGGAGAAAAAAGCAATAACAACAACTTAAATTCTCATAACATTTAGTTCTTGAAAGCAGTTGACCTGTTTGGTTTGCCCTGGTAGTTGGTAGCAATGCCTCTTCCTTTTTCCCAACCCCCGCATCCGTGACAGCCCTTCCAAGATGAATATGAGTGATCATCAACACAAAATAGCGGCCGCCGTGAACACAGATTTTGTGGCTGCTGAGCTGCTGCTAGAGGCTTTTGCACAGAAAGTAGAGGAGTCCAGCTGGGTCTCAAGAGATCATGTAACTGTTTAGAATGTCATGTCATCGCCTAGGATGTGTGCTGGTACAGGTGTCCACCATGCCCACACCCCCACCACCTTGTCATTCTTCCTTCAGTTCTCTCTTCAGACACTCTTGTCCTTAGCATCAGCTAATTTTAACTCCTTTGCTTAAGATAGTTCATTCTAAACCAAAACAGCCTCTCAACCTGACAAATTCCATAGCTAACCTACATTTTCACTTTCACTGTTTCTAAGGCAAGACAAACACAATATTCATTCAGAATTTTACTGCACAGATACAGGTATCAGCATAAACTTTGCCACTTTAAAATTTGAGGGCCCTGATCCTTTCTTTCTCCAGATTCAATGCAATGGTCTCTAAATGTTGTCAGCTCTGAGGCCCTTCCCATTCTTGCTCCTCACATCCTTTCCCTCCTTCACACCTGCTCCTAACCCCTTCCTCACCCCTGTGCCTTGCCTCGAGTATATACACTCACTATTCCATATTCTCAGTCCTCCTGCATGCCTTAGATCTTCACAGATGGCCTTCACACTCCACTAGTATCAATTTCCTTTCTGTAGCCTCACCAGGTACCTTCCAAGTGCTCAGTCTAGTCACTGGCTAATAGTCTTCAGTCTGTTTGCTACTTTCCACAGCAATTGGTGTTAGCCATCTTATATTTCTTTAAGCTCTGATCTCACTTAATTTCCAAAAACTTAATATTTCCTGCTTTTTCTTCTACCGTTGAGTATTCCTTTTCTGTCTCTTTTGGTAGATTCTTGCCTTCCGTCCCTTTTTTTCTGTTTTTTATTTTTGAGACAGAGTCTCTCTCTCTCCCTCTCCCCCACCCCCTATCCCCCTCCCCCTCTTCCTCTCTCCCTCCCTCCCTCCCTCCCTCTTCCTCTCTCCCTCCCTTCCCCCCACAAAGCCATCATCTTCCCTCAACCTCCCCAGTAGCTGGGACTACAGGTGTGCGGCACCACACCTGGCTTTTTTTTTTTTTTTTTTTTTTTGGAGAGAGAGGATCTGGCTGTTACCCAGTCTGGTCTCCAACTCCTGGCCCAGGGGATCCTCCCACCCCAGCCTCTCAAAATACTTAGGATTACAGACATGAGCCACCGCACCCAGCCCCATATCTTAAGTGTTAGTGTTACTAGGGTACCGTCTCGGGCCCCCACCTCCTATCATCTCATCTCCCTCCAGGAAGTCAAACCACACCGTGACCCCTATACCCACAGACAGACTCTTCCTTCCATAGTCAGGATCTCTTCATTCAACTACTTTCTGAGCTCCATGTCTTTTATACCAGAGGTAATAAAATTGATGTCTTGATAGAATCTTTGTAGAAGGTTAAGGTTGAGCATAATTGCATGCCAGGACTGAGCACTTCATTGGCATTATATTGGATTTGCACAATAACTTCATGAGGCAACTAGTTTTGTTACTTTCTTTTTACCGAATAAGAAATCAAGGATCAGAGGTTGATAGGTTAGCCCTAGGTCAGGCTATCTATATGTGGTAGATCTGTGGGATTCAAACCCAGGGTTGTGCAATTCCAGAGCCAAGTTCTAAAACACTTCTCTTAATGAGTAAGTAAGTACAGGGTCTAGCATGGAAAGAGAGGAGCAAAGGAGAAAGAAGATTTTTGTTTATGGTGATTTATGGAAATTAAACAACGTATAAAAGGCTCACGGGCTTTGGAATTGTCCTTGTGGTTTGAATCTTGGCCATTTGGTAATTGTTCAGCAAATTACTCTGACTCCGCCCACCTCACAGGTTTGTCATGAGCATTAAAGGATCTGAATGTAAAAGTAACAGGCACATCATAGGCATCTCCCCTATATAGAACCAAAATTTGTGAGGTTCCTAATGGGTCAATTTAAAATTAATCTGTGTATAAAGATGTTCTTTTATCTTTTGATTACGTTTTTGTTCATTGTGATAAAAAAGCATAAAATTTGCCATCTTAATCATTTTCAAGTATGCAGTTAAGTTCCAGAATTGTTTAGTGTATTCACATTGTTGTGAAATAGACCTCTAGAACTTTTTCATCCTGCAGAACTGAAAAGTCTATACCCACTAAACAACAATCCTGCTTTTCCCTCTGCCCCCAAGCTCTGGTAATCAGAATTCTACTTTGTGTTTCTATGGATTTGACTACTTTAGGTACTCCATATATGTGGAATCATACATATATGTTGATTTGTATTTTTGTTTGTGATTGGCTTATTTCAGGTAACATAATGTCATCAAGCTTCAGCCCCGTTGTGGCATATGACAGGATTTCTTTCCTGTTTTCCCTTTTTTAAGGGTGCATAATATTCCACTATATGTATATACATTTGGTTTATTCATTCATCTGTCAATGGACATTTAGGTTGCTTCCACCTACCTCTTGGCTATTGTGAATTGTGCTGTTAATGAACATGGATGTACAAATATTTGTTTGAGTTTCTGCTTTCAATTTTTTTCAATGTATACTCAGAAGTGGGGTTGCTGGATCATATGATAGTTCTATTTTTATTTTTTTGAGGAACCATCATACTGTTTCCCAGAAAGTATGCACCATTTTACAATGCCACCAACAGTGCACAAACATTTATTTTAACTGCCAAAAGTATTTTGTATAAAATGTATGTGATTTATGTTAGCTGTTAATTTTATGATGTCGTTGAGGTGAAATTTGCTAAAAGGAAAAACAATACTCATAATTGTTAAGTGTAATGAGTAAAATGAATAAAATCTGGCTTCTGAAATCTGTTGGAATTAATTACGGGTCAGAGGAAGCTGAAATTACATCAGTTATCTTTGACTTGTTTTCAATTTCAGAGATAAGCCAGAGAATCCAGACAGCTCACCCTGCTGGGCGGCAGGTGATGCTGCACTACCTGCTACCATGGATGAACAACATCGAGCTGGTGGACTTAAAACCTCTCCCCACAGCAAGGCGACATGATGAAGATGAAGATGATTCCTTAAAAGACCGAGAACTTATGGTGACTAGTAGGCGCTGGTTACGGGGAGAAGGATGGGGATCTCCACAAGCCACTGCAATGGTTTTGAACAATCTGATGTATATGACAGCAAAGGTAAAATGAGTTTTGTATTTATAATTGCTGCACAGAATTATTGAGTGAGTAGATGTGGTTAGAAACAGATGAAGAGGTTCCATAATCCTGTGATAACCAAACAAATATCTTTCTTTAAAAAAGACTCATTAGATATGAATTTTTTTTACTAAAACCATATATGATTAATTATATTTATGTTTAGATTTGTTGGAAGAAATTATTGTTTCTGTAAAGTGTGGAAACGATTAAAGCTATCTGTACAAAACATTTTTTAATATTTCATGGTATGACAAGTTTGGTTTTTATAATAGGCAGTCATGACTGAAGTATCTTTTGTGCATATTGCATCTAGTATGGCGATGAACTGGCCTGGTCGGAGGTGGAGAATGTGTGGACCACACTTGCAGATGGCTGGCCCAAAAACCTGAAAATAATTTTGCACTTTTTGATCAGCATTTGTGGGGTGAATAGCGAACCAAGCCTCTTGCCTTACGTATGTATTCAAGTTCATTTAATTTTAAAATATATGTATATATTTACTAGTATCTTGTGATGTCAGAGTATGGGCAGCAGTTGCCCAGGAGAGGCAAGGCAAGGCAAGGGCCGGGATGAAGACAGTCAGGAAATAGCACATGGATTTATTCACTGATTCAGTTAGCAAATGTTATCTATCATTATGACAGGCCAGGTGCTCTTCTGGGTATTACAATCTGATGGGTAATACAGAATTTATTTGTTGAAGCTACATCTGATTTATTTAATGAATAAATCAGTAAGCTAATAAAGTATAGTGTGATAAAGGCTATAAAAAAATTGCAGAGTTCTGAGAGTAAAAAACCTAGGAACCACAGCTGTCTGGAAGGATTCAAGATGACACTTGAGAGAAAGTGATATTGAAGCTGAAACCACACACTGGGGATGTTTCTAGTTTCTGCTAGGCAGAGCTGGCATTTAGATATGAGAACAGGATGGTGAGTGTGAGCTCAGTGCACGTAGGATTGTCCTTCAGGCTGCTGGAAGCAAGGGAAAGCATGGTAAGAGATATGAAACGAAGAAGATAACATCTTTGCCTTCCAGGGGAGAAAGGAACATCCAGATCTGCCCAAGTCAAGAGGACACATTTGATATGAAACTATGAAACCTGAGGGTTAAATGGACACACATGCTCACATGTCTTTGTAGATGCAGATATAGATATCTATCCCGTGGCAGCATCCCCCAAAAGTGTGGTCCACGGAAGACTAGTCCTACAGAATGTTATCTAAAAGTTCTTACAGGCCAGGCGCAGTGGCTCATGCCTATAATTCCAGCACTTTGGGAGGCCGAGGCAGGCGGATCACCTGAGGTCAGGAGTCCGAGGCCAGCCTGGCCAACATGGTAAAACACCATCTCTACTAAAAATCCAAAAATTAGCCGGGTGTGGTGGCGCATGCCTGTAATCCCAGCTACTCAGGAGGCTGAGGCAGGAGAATTGCTTGAGCCCAGGAGGCAGAGGTTGCAGTGAGCCAAGATTGCACCACTGCACTCCAGCCTGGGCAGCAGAGTGAGACTCCATCTCAAAAATAAAATAAAAATAAATAAATAAATAAAAGTTCTACAGATTCTATTTTAAACAAACCACTTGATAGCTTTGCTTTACTCAGCATTCCCCAAGTTCACTTGGTCACTGAAAGCATCATTGCCAAGGTGTACCACAGGCATAGTGCCTTTGAGAAGTGCTTAGAGAACTGTAGGTGTATGGTACAAGACAACGTTACCGCACGTTACCTCTCTGACTGTGTCTCCTATATTCTGTCTGGTGCTCCCACCCTTCAGCTGCGCTGGCCCCCTTTGCTTCCACCTCTCTCACCAGGCATTCCCTCCTCGGGGCCCTCACACTCACTTGCCTTCTCTTCCCCAGTTAGCCACGTTACTCACTCCTCACCTCTTTCAGGTCCTCCTTCAGGTGGCAGTGCCCACTGGGACTTCTGCTGCCCATCCTGTCTAAAACTGCAAATGCACCACCTCCACACACACACTCCATTTCCTTTCCCTTCTTCATTGATCTTTCTGGCACTTAATCATCACCAAACACATGATATATTTTACCTATTTACCTCATTAATTTTGCATCAACCAGTAGATTGTAGGCTCCTTAAGAATGGTAGTTTTTGTCTATTTGATTCACTGCTAAATTTCCATTTAGTGTAGTGCCTGGCACATAGAAGGTGCCCATTAATTGGATGAACGAATGGGGGAGTTAGAGTCAGTACTAGAAAAAGCATGGGATTATACTTTTAAGAGGCCAAATGAAAATTTGGGGAATAGCCATTTTCCAGGAATTTAAAAGGAGCCATTTTTTAAATGTCAATAATAATTTATTGGTTATTATTTTTTAAGCACTTATTATGGGTGCTTATTATAGGCATGGTAAAAGCACTTCATCCACATTATTTAAATCTCAGAATCTATGAGTTTGGTGAGATCACTGCAGTTTTACAGAGGAAAAAACAGGGCAGAGAGAACGGTAATTTCCTCAAGTTCTCACTCTTGTCACTTAATAGATCTAGAATTCCAACCCAGATCTGATGGTGAAGTCAGTATAAGCTTCCTGGAGAAAGGAGTAGAGTTAAGGTGGGGGATGGGGCTTGAAGACTTGATAGGATTAGGGTTGGGAGTGTCAACTCGGAGATCCACAGTCAGGCGGAAGGAACCCACAAAGGCAGGAATGCACACAGCATGCTCAGAGGAGATCGAACCTGAAAATAGAGAGAATTAGCAAGTAGTGCCCATTGGATGGAGTAAAGAGCCATACCTAGAAGGTTATCACTGGGTAACCATGATAAGAGTTTTGGCCTGGTGCTGTGGCTCACGCCTGTAATCCCAGCACTTTGGGAGGCCAAGGCAGGAGGATCACCTGAGGTCAGGAGTTCGAGACCAGCCTGGCCAACATGATGAAACCCCATCTGTACTAAAACTACGAAAATTATCTGGGTGTGGCGGCAGGCACCTGTAATCCCACCTACTCGGAGGCTGACGCAGGGGGAATTGCTTGAACCGGGGAGGCAGAGGTGGCAGTGAGCCACGATGGTGCCACTGCACTCTAGCCTGGGCGACAGAGCGAGACTCCGTCTCAAAAAAAAAAAAAAGAATTTGGTTGGGATATAATAAATCATGTTTTAAGATTCATCCAGGGGTCATATAAAGCAGTGCTTTTCATATGTCTGTAAAAATACGAATCATTCTGATTCTGGAGGTGGGGTGGGCCTGAGATTCTCTATTTCTAGCAAACTCCAGATGATGATGCCTGTCTTGCTAGGATCACATTTTGAGTAGTAAGGATTAAAATAGGGAGAAAAAGAGATAGGCTGATCAGTTATGAAGTTATTTCAGTAATATACATTACTAAAACATATGTATATACTACTGAAAAGTTTTTCTACTTATACTGTGTTACTAGCCATTTTTAAAGTGCATTATAAACCTTAACTCATTTAATCTTCCTAATAGCTATATGAAGTAGGTGCTATTACTACCCCCATTTTGCAGATGAGAAAACTGAGAGCAACTTTCCAATGATAGAGTTAGTAAGTGGTATATCCACATTCCAAACCAGGCAATGTAGTTGGAGTTCTAATTTAGTTCTAGTTCTTTGCTCTTAATGACTACTCTGGTTGACTATAGGGAATGGGGAAGGCGGAATAAAAGATAAACCCTGGGTTTGGAGGCTGGCTAACTAAAAATCAGAGGAAAATCTTAGGATGTTATTACCTGTGTTTCCATTAAAAGAGAAATTTTTACAGAAAAGTATTTTTTTGTTTTTTTTTTTTTTTTTTTTTAAAGTAAAGAAAGTGCATAAAGTGGAAACCACTAAACCGCTAAACATACTCAGTTCACCCTAATTAGATCTAATGCTGAGAGTTAGAGGGAGGACAGTATTGATAAAGCTGATTAATGTCTTATTGTTGATCAGTGCTAATTTTGATTTAGATTGTGTTTATTCATCTACCACTTAAAGTTGAACTTACTCTGATAAAGTTTGTCTCAGGAGAAATTAATGAGATAAAAACTTTGCTTTTTCTTTTCTGAACGATTTCTTTTGTGACAGGTGAAGAAGGTCATTGTATATTTAGGTAGAGATAAAACAATGCAGTTGCTAGAAGAGCTGGTGAGTGAGCTTCAGCTGACCGATCCTGTCAGTTCAGGGGTCACTCACATGGATAATCCCCCGTATTATCGCATCACTTCCAGCTATAAAATCCCTTCTGTCACCTCAGGTGAGAAATTTGTTAAAACCGATTGCTGTGTGAGATGATAGACATCTTCATCTGCTTCACTATGGTAACCATTTTAGGGTCTCTATGTCCCATAACATGTTATGAATCTCAGATATATACAATAAAATTTATTAAAAGAAAAAAACAAATCTTCCTCAGTATTGAAAGAGAAGCTTAACATAATTGTTAAACAAGAGTTTATTGTGTCTTTAAATGTATATATATATACACACCTATATGTATGTGCATATATTAAAATTATTGTAATATTTTGAGTATGAAGAAACTATGTTCCTAATAGAAGAACATCCAATGAAATTCAAAATAGTAAAAAGGCTATTGTAGATGAAATTTCTGTTAAACTCTTTGTTACTCAGTTTACTTTAAATGTTTTCAGCATGCTAATAACATTATCTGTAAAACTAGAAATATTTTAAATTATCTCTTTATAATTTATTTTTTACCATCCATTTTCATCACCTAGTCCTTTTGTTTTATTTTCCAGGAGATGTCTAATAATGCTTCTATTGAATTTTTCATATCGGCTAGAATGTTTTTAATTCTAAAGTTTCATTTAATTATAATTTTTTAAAGTAGCATCCTATTCATGTTTCATAGTTGGACTGTTGTTTCGTATCCAATACAGTTATAAAGTTTTCTCCCAGCAGAAGTCCTCATTTTCTCTACATTGCTGTTTTGTGTTGATAAAACTTTTCTCAAAAGCCTACCAATTCTAGATCTGTCTTTTCATAAAGAGTAGAATATTAAAAAAAATATAAGTTCTATAAGTATATATGGAACTTGTTGTCTGTGTGCTTTGTCGTACCATGATTTCAGTGATGCCAACGTCTGTAGGTCTTTTCTCCTAGATTTATCAGATTCCCTAGAGAAAACTCTTTCTAGTCATTTGCCTGCAGAGGGTGTGTCTGAACACACACACACACACACACACACACACACACACACACACCCCTTTGGACTGTTTATATTTATACACACACATATACACAGGCTTCAAACTTTCTGGAAGCCCAGTGGGGTAAGAAGGATGTTGGGGGGGGTGCAGTCTCAAATTTTAGCATGTGCATTTTCATTTAATGCCCCTGTTCTTTGTAAGGTGCCTCCTCTTTCAGGAGTACATGGCGTGCCCTAGTTCAGGAATCTTCTGATTTACTCTCATCAGAAAAGACTTCTAGAAGTGGGGAAAGACAGCCACCCAGCTGCAAGAGGCAAGAAAGTAGATTTGGGGAACCAGTTACTTCTAAAATAGATTGACTTTCAGCCAGGTTTCCTATTTTTTCGCACCACCTTCAACCCCTGTTTCCAGAGGTTCTCGATGCTACCTTTTGGAAGTTCAGCAATATAAACATGGAAGCTTCTTGGTTTTCACCCACCACCACCTTTGGATTCAGCCTTCTTAACACTTAATTACTTACTGTCCATTTGTATTCTAGCATCCAAAAATTTGTTTGTCTTATGTCCTTTCCCTTTTGGTCATTATGAGTACATTCCTTTTTTTAAATGACTTTGCTCTCATTTTAGTTAAGTTTTGATATCTATAATTTGAGATCTTTTGTTCTTATTGGGTTATTCCAGGTTTGTAGATTCACGAGTACTGCTTTGTCTTTGATTACAGGAACTACTTCCAGTAGCAATACAATGGTAGCTCCCACAGATGGCAATCCTGATAATAAGCCCATTAAAGAGAATATTGAAGAGAGGTAAGTACTTCTCTGTTCTGTATTAGCCTTTCAGTTTGACAGATACTGGTTGTCATCAGAATAAATGATATTTTCTGCATTGAAATGTGGATGTTGCTGTGTTAAAATTCGAGTGAAAAAAATATATTTCCATGCTGGAAACTTTCCACATTGAGAGTTTCAACATTAAAGATGCTAGCCTGCTAGATTTTTTTATATGCTCTAATGTATAAATAGGTGGTATATGGTAAGTCACTTTTTGTATTGCTTAAAGTTTTAGACCTATATAAATGGTATTTACTCCACCTGTTTTGTATGCCAGAATATTATTTTAGGTAGAAATAATTGATTAAAAGTTTAAGCTTTTGGATTATAAGGTGGAAATTAATGTACGTCATAGTAAACTTTTGTTAGTATTTTGTGTACTGTGTCCTTTTTTTTTTTTTATTGAGATGGAGTCTCGCTCTGTTGCCAGACTGGAGTGCAGTGGTGCAATCTCAGCTCAACCTCTGCCTCCCAGGTTCAAGCAATTCTCCTGCCTCAGCCTCCGGAGTAGCTGGGACTACAGGCACACGTCACCACGCTCGGCTAATTTTTGGTATTTTAGTAGACACGGGGTTTCACCATGTTGGCCAGGATGGTCTCGATCTCCTGACCTCATGATCCTCCTGCCTTGGCCTCCCAAAGTGCTGGGATTACAGGCTTGAACCATGGCGTCCGTCCTCCTTTTTTAAACAGAGAAAGTGAAACATAAAGTATAAATACCATTGCACCGTGAACTGTGACTAACTTCAGTGATCATTCCCATAGCTATGTGCACCTGGACATTTACAGTGGACTAAACAGTCATTTGAATCGGCAACATCACAGACTAGAATCCCGATACAGTAGCAGCTCTGGAGGATCTTATGAAGAAGAAAAAAGTAATAAATTCCAAATGTTTTTAATATAACTATAAGGGTGAGGTGTATTGTTAATTACATTAATGTTAATAAATATATATTTTCAGTAAATTGTTTTTAAAAAGCGTATTTAACTGCCACTAGTGGTGTTCCAACATAATCTGAAACATCTTGATTTTAAGAAGCAACGTAATTGGGTGAAATTTTTTTTAAAGCACTGGTTTCCTATAGATAAATCACAAGGAACATAAGAACTGGTTCTCAGGAAGCATCATAGAACAAATACTGGAAACAGGCTGATTTTTTTTAGCAGGATTGCTCCTTCTGCATGGATTCACTTTTTCCTTAAAAGATTCTCCCTTGGCAATTGCAAAGTGAATAATCTACCCAAGTTTCACTATAACGTTAAGGCAGGGTATCATAGAAGCACAGGCTTTCAGACTGGGAAGGGACACTGAAGATGATCTGGTCCAATCTCCTCATTTTGCACATGATGGAACTGAGGTCCAGAGAGGTTAAGTGACTTACCCACGTCACACAGAATTCACATTTCCTGACATTTTTTATTGCACCCCGCAGCCCCACTGTGGTAGAGCAGAGTTCCTTTCAAGATGGAGCTGTGTTGGCCCTATCTCAGGATATTTAGAACTGAATAACTTACCAGAAGGCCCTTTGTTACAAGGCAGCTTCACCAATAATGTGATCTCCTGGCTTGGACATCATTGATGGAATCATGATGAAGTGCTAATATAGTTTTGCTTTGACGTACAGGGTGGAACCTAAATTAATCTCTTTCTCTCTCTCCCTCTCCCTGGTTTGCTTAATTTGATAATATTTGTGCCTAGATTTTCCTAGCAAACATGTTGAAATAGTGGGAAATTTTTTTTATCACTTTCCAATACTATATAAATAGTTGGGATCTTACTAGAGTTTGCTTATATTGGCAGAAATTAGATGGTGTAGAAAATGAGATCATTTTATCTTGATAGGTGATTCAATGCCACTTTATTCTAATTGGCGACTGAAAGTGATGGAGCATAACCAAGGAGAGCCACTGCCCTTCCCACCAGCTGGAGGCTGCTGGTCACCACTGGTGGATTACGTGCCTGAAACGTCATCACCTGGATTACCTCTTCACAGGTGGACTACAGCGTCATTCCTTTTACATATGCACCAAGTTGCTGCTGAACACTGTCGGCTTTCTTTGTGCTATCTGACAACACAGAATGAAAGCAATCTTCTTTATGGAGATACTGCAACACAGATCAATGTGTTTAGATTCTAAGAAATCTAAAAAACTCAGAATTCTAACTTTATAAAATTAATATTATTAAATCTAATTCTGCTGCTGCTTTTCTGGGTGTCTGGCATAGTTACTTGACCTTTCTGGGACCCAGTTACTACATCTGAAAAATATGACTTTCCTATGGTAGGCACTATTATTTTGCATCGAGTTAAATTGAATTCTACTTAGCAAAATCACAATAGAGCAATTACTGCATTCTTTCAAAATGTATTAATGCACCAAACATGTATTGAACACCTACTGTGGCAAGCAGTGTGCTAAGTCTCAAGGTTGAAAGATGAAGAAAATGTGGCTCCTGAGTTCAAGGAACCCTTAGCCCTTATGTTCTGTTCCATCTCTTTAACTTAATGGTTAACGTTTTCTTCAGCTGTATTTGTTTTTCCTCCTTTTTCCTTGATAAGTTGTATTTTTCCATGAAATGTGATATTAAAGTCTTCAAGTAATTTTGTACCAAATTCTCTCTAGGTTTACTGAGATCTAGTAAAACGTTAATGAAACTCTTATTTGTCATAGGTGTAACATAGCAGTGATCCTTTTGACTGATCTCATCATTGATCATAGTGTGAAGGTGGAATGGGGAAGCTACCTCCATCTTCTTCTTCATGCAATTTTTATAGGTAATAAATATTTGGTTCTAATTCTTTCATGTTATATTTTTATGATAATTTAAAAGCAGTATGGTTTTATGACAGTTTTTATGTGTTTCTGTTTCCTGTTATTTTTATGTTATTTCCATGACACTTTTCACTATGATTCCTCTGGTCTCTTGGGGAGTTATGTCTGGCCCCTCTTCTAACCACAAACAAACATGTCTATTACCCCCATTCCTATTCCTATCTTATGGCCTCGCCTGCCCACACACAAACACACATATACTATACCAAGGAAAAATTCTGTGGCTGTGGCAAGAGTCAAATTAACTTAACTCTGGGATTGGAAACTTTCAGAGTGAATGAAAAGTTGAGATAGGTTCTAAGTATTTCCCAAAAGAACTGGGTTGTTGGATAGCCTCATTATTATACCTGAAACTCCATCGTGCCTTCTGTAGCAAACATGTGGGATCTACCATATCTATAATACATTTGATGCTTATAGGATTGGCTTCCTGAAGCAAGTCCAGATAGCCATCTCCTTATAAGTTTTCCTGATGGGCACACTTAATGTTGGTGTATTACATCATTCCTTCAGTTAATCATGTACTTTCTGTTATGTGCTAAGCACACAAAAAACCCTGCCTTTAAAAAAAAAAATTCATTTCCATGAATTTTTTTATGTTATGTAACAGAAATAATTTTTAAGAGATCACTAAATTTTAGACATGAAACACATTTAGCTTACCTTGAGTCTCCCTAGTACTATAAGACAGTAGGCTATTGTAAAAGTATATAAGAACTCTAGGGCAATAAAAAACCATATAATATGTCACCTTCCATGAAATCTTTCATATAATTTCTCCTTTTCTTCAAAATGTGAGTTTGGTAGTAAGAATACTCATTATTTCTCTTTATTGATAATGTTTCTCTACTATCCTTTTTAGGGTTTGACCACTGCCACCCTGAGGTGTATGAACATTGTAAACGCCTGCTTCTGCACTTATTAATAGTAATGGGACCCAATAGTAACATCCGAACTGTTGCTTCTGTCCTTCTCAGGAACAAGGAGTTTAATGAGCCCAGGGTGCTTACAGTCAAACAAGTTGCACACTTAGATTATAATTTCACAGGTATTTGCTTTAAATGTACAATTTGAAAGTAGAATTATACTTTATTAATTTGGAATCCTGCATTAGAGAAAGTCAACTGAATAAAAGTTGAAATACTAGAGAACATTTTAAAAATGTAGTTGTATTATTTTAAGTACCATTTAAATTATTTGCTAATAAAAGAAGGGATTAAATTTAAAATATTTGAGTCTGCATTACCTCGAACGATCTTTATCGAGATTTAACTTAGGAATATGTAAGTTGAAGACATAATGAAACTGCTTAATTTATTGAGGACGAATTACGAAAAAGATGTTGAGCTTGTATTAGATTCCTCTTATTTGCAGGATCTGAAAACTGATAAAGTAAGGCATTTTAAATTTTGTTATTCTCGTGATTATATTTACTGCATTAAAAACATACATTTTGAAGTAGTGAAGTCCAAGTTAATGAGACTTAATATGGTTTATTTCACTGTCAATGTTAATTTTTGTTTTTTACTTTTAAGGTATATTTTCTTATATCCTATAACTAACATTTCTTTCATTCATCAGTACCATCAGGCTAATAACAAGTGATCTAGAAACTTTTTTTTCAAAATTGCAATAAAATTACCTTTTTTTTTTCTAATCATACAGTGTCAGATACAGGGTTCATCAATTTTAAAGTTAGTTAAAACCCTGTTATTTATTTAAAATCCTATAGTTAGGAAACAATTATTAGGAAACTTATTAGCCTTTTAAAACTATGATTAAAAGAAAAATGGAATGAAGTTTACTGCCTTTTTATATTAAGGCACCATTATTCAAAATTCCATAGCTTGTTTGTTTTTAAGGCTTCTCTTACCAATTTGTAAATATGGGCATTAGTAATAACCTTTAACAGTTTTTTAAAAAATGATTGATGCACTATGTGTATTTCAGATAGATGAGCCTTTCTGCAATGGAAATGGATCAAAAATTATAGAAAATTTTCTATAAAAAGTTAAAAATCAGTTCATATTATAGAAATGTGACTGACAAGCGATGTTGACAAAATATGCCAGAATATTAGGAAACTGCCACTTGCAAGTTTCTTCAGCAGATGGCGGCAGAGGACTGCATAGTACATCCAAATTGCTAAGTTTTCAAGCTGTGAAACAATGTTTGCCCCAAAACTTACTTGCTGTAATTTGGTGTTCATGAGGATCAGCAGGAGCACTGATTCACATCACCTTGCACTGACAGATTGCCTCATGTGTCCCATAGAGTCTAAGGAACAACAGTTTAATTCTATAGGTATTTTGTGAGATTCTTTCATGTTTTAGGTATTCATGACGATCTTTCTCTTTCAGCAGGCATTAACGATTTTATACCTGATTACCAGCCCTCCCCTATGACTGACTCAGGGCTTAGCTCAAGTTCTACCTCTTCTAGTATCAGCTTAGGAAATAACAGTGCTGCCATTTCACATCTGCACACCACTATCCTCAATGAGGTTGACATCTCAGTGGAGCAGGATGGAAAAGTCAAAACCCTCATGGAATTCATTACCTCAAGGTAACACTGGCAGCTCTTATCATCCCAGCAGTGTATGTGTTAAGTCATTCTTTCATTGATCAGGTATTATGAGCCATATTTTTGTTGTCTGAAATACCATTGATGTGAAATACACAGGTTTGTATTGCACAGTATTTTGAAAATTAGGATGCAATCAAAGACTCTTTTGTGCCAGTGCAGTTATACCTCAGGACTTTAATCATATCTGGCTATTTAATGGCCAAAGAGAATGAGTATTATCTGAATATATATTTCACTTTTATTAGCTACATTATCATTCAGTCATCAAATATTTATTTATGGTCTACTCTTTGCAAGACACAATAAGTAGAGAGGGAATATAGGTGGGGAGAAAGGGCATGGTATTCCATTGCAAGAACAAAATCACAGGAGCACAAGAAAACCATGTGTTTGGAAATGGTGAGGAATCCACTCTGACTGTAATGCAGAGAAAAGAGAGTTGTTCTAGACAATTATGGAAAGCTTGGGAGAGTTCAAACTGGCGGGCCATGAAGCCCAGGCCATAAGGTTGTAGATTATATTGAAAATCATTAAGCTGGGAGGAGGGTGGGAGGCATCATTTAATAAGTATGTGGAGAAAATCAGCCCCATAACAGCGTGTAGGATGCATTAGAGGTGGAAGGAACCAGAAGCAGTGCGTAGCAGGTTCTCAGGGCACTTTGGGCCTGTGTTAATAAAGAGCTTAACTGAGGTGGTGGCCAAGAACACAAAGACGTTTTGAAGAAAGAATCAAGAGGACATTACTCTGTCCTAAACTTTCCCTGTAGTTTTAGCTAGTAAATTATTCTCATTGCATTTCACCAGCAAATTATTTTCTTTGCATTACAATCTAAATACAGATTATATTTTGACCTGGAACACATAAGCAGTAACCAATATGCTTCACACTTGGCAAAATTTGGCATCTTTTTCTACTACGTCTGAGAGAATTTGACTGGTCTGTTGCTAGACACTGAAATGAGATCTTTCTCTCCTTGCTGTAGATCATTACATATTCATGTGCCTAAGTAGTAGTAGACTGTGACCTATTTATTCAACTACCATCCTTTCTAATTGTAAAGGTGTAATTTAGGCAAGTGTGAGTACAACTGTTAATCACAAGTGAAAATCCAAGGAAATTACATCTGTTCTCTGTTTTCAGAAAAAGAGGGCCCCTTTGGAACCATGAGGATGTTTCTGCCAAGAATCCTAGCATAAAGAGTGCTGAACAGTTAACTACATTTTTGAAACATGTGGTTTCTGTTTTTAAGCAGTCAAGCTCAGGTATCTTTTAAGAAATATTTTAGTTTTAGTGACATTTTAATGTGATGTCAATTTCTGATAATGCTTAGCAAAAAGTTAATAGTTGATATTGTGATACCTCTAAAAGTTTTAGACTTTTAATTTATTAATGATAACAGATCTGTTTTCACTGAAGAAAAATTAAGTTACTACTTAAAAATGAGTGCTATCTATGAAATGCTAGGCTCCTTAGTTTTGTGTTTGATGGCATCATAAAATTACAATACAATTGCGTATTATGAAAAAATACATTAAACGGACGTATATAGAAATTGGAAACTTAAAAAAAATTGTGCTGGTATAGTCTTCAGTAATCTAAAATTCAACACATTCTGAAAATCATAGTCAAATTGTATATGTCTAGAGCAGTGGTTCTCAACTAGGGGACATTTGGCAATGTCTAGAGACAGTGTCACCGTTATGGGTTGGGGGCAAGGGGTTACTACTGGTATCTGGTGGGTTGAGGCCAGAGACACTGCTAAACATCATACCCTGCTCAGGGCAGCCCTTCCAGCAAAGAATTTTCTGGCTTATAAGGTCAGTAGTGCCAAGGTTGAGAAACCCTGGTCTGAAGGATTGCTTCCGTAAAGATTAAAGGGTCATCTAAAATGCAAATGGAGTTTAAGCAAAGAAAAAGCATTGACTTATAAAATGTGAGAGCCAGGAAGTGTGCTAGCTGCTAGCTTTAAGATGATTCACTTCTGATTATAACCCCATTAGTATTCTAAAGAACAAGAACAACCTACTCGTTTCCTTTGCATTCACAGAAGGAATTCATCTGGAACATCATCTTAGTGAAGTTGCTCTGCAAACAGCACTTTCCTGTTCTTCTCGACACTATGCTGGGAGATCCTTTCAGATTTTCAGGGCCCTAAAGCAGCCTCTCACTGCAACTACACTTTCTGATGTTCTCTCCAGACTTGTAGAAACTGTAGGGGATCCAGGAGAAGATGCACAGGTATTTCCTTATATTCTTTCAGCAGTTATTGAGCAGCTACTAGTTGTCAAGGATTTATTGTCCATATAGATTGCTATAGCTAGAGCAAGATAATGGGCATCTAGAATTATAGTCAGATGTTGAGCAGGCAAAGAATTAAGAGACAAAGTTAGTTTTGTAATTAATATCAAATAACCTACTAATTAAATCAACTATTCTAGTGCCTATCAGAAAAAGCTTTACACTCGCCCACTCACACAACACCCCACCCCCAAGATCTTAACCTGGGATGATCACAAGGTAAAAAAGATAGGAAGTTAAATTTAAATGTAAAGTGGAGCATTGAATTTTATGCTTTAAGATAAATGAACTGTTGCACTAGAGAACTTCAGTTTGTACAGATGAATGACTTTATTAACGCTGTTATAAATATCAGGGATACAGTGATCAATGAGACAAAGTTCCTAACATTCTAGAGCTCATATTCTATTGAGGGAAACAAACCTTTAGTCTTCCAATTATACATAACATAATTTATCCTACTGATAATGCTGTGAATATAATAAGATAATAAGATTAAAGGAGAAGGAATTGTTTTACATATGATAATCCATCTGAGAAGGTGATTTTTGAAGAGATACTGAAATGAAGTAGGTTCTGTTTATGATCTGGGGAAGAATATTTCAGGCATAGGAAAATAGGACTAACAGGTGCAAAGGTCCTGAGGCAGAAGCAGTAGGGCTTTTCTGAGGAACATCAAGAAAATTGGTGTCGCTAGAATACATTGCAGGATGTGTTGCAGGAAATTGATGAGGTAGGTAGGTTCAAATCACGTAAGGCCTAGTAAGCCCTGGTAAGAGGCAGGACTTCACTCTGAATTGATGGGAAACTACTCAGACATTTTGAGGGAAGGAAGGTGATGGATGTGATTTCTTTTTTAAAAAACTCATTCTGACATTGGGGTGAAATCTGTAGGGAGGGCAAGAGTGGAGGCAAGAGAGGGCAGGAGGTTAAGAGTCCAGCTGAAATGGTGGTAGCTTAGATTAAGGGAAGTTATGGAGGTAGAGGAAAGTGGTCAGATTTTTAATGTGTATTTTAAAAGTGATATTTTCAGCCAGGCACTGTGGCTCACACCTATAATCCCAGCACTTTGGGAGGCTGAAACGGGTGGATCACCTGAGATCAAGAGTTCGAGACCACCCTGGCCAACATGGCGAAATCTGTCTCTACTAAAAATACAAAAATTAGCTAGGTGTGCAGGCGCATGCCTGTAGTCCCAGCTACTCGGGAGGCTGAGGCAGGAGAATCACTTGAATCCGGGAGGCAGAGGTTGCATTGAGCCAAGATTGCACCACTGCACTCCAGCCTGGGCAATAGAGCAAGACTACGTCTCAAATACAAACAAACAAACAAAAGTAATATTTTCAAGACTTGCTGGTGGATTCAGTTTAGATGTGAAAGAAACAAGGATGGTTCCTAGATTTCTGACCTGAGCAATTTTGAGTAAATTGTGGCACCATTACAATCAATTTATACACCATTGATTGGATGAGTTTGCATCAATCAGCAAGATCATGTTGCTCAAGAGTTTAATCATTTTGTAACATAACATGGAGTTTGTTCTATTTTAAAATCCCATTAGGAAGTCCATTGCAGTTTCTTTATTCCAGAGCATAATTAATTAAAATCTGCCTTTTTCCCCCCAGGGATTTGTGATTGAGCTTCTTCTCACATTGGAATCTGCAATTGATACTTTGGCTGAAACCATGAAGCATTATGATCTTCTTTCTGCCCTTTCTCAGTAAGAATTTAAACCAGGCAACCTAATATAGAGAGAACTTGAATAGCTAACTACATATAGCTATAACTTTTAAAATTCTAATATTGTTAGTAAGCACAATACTGCCCAAATTAGATGGATTACCAGTGGGGAGATGGGCCGCAGACAGTGAGGACTTGTGAAAAATCCAAGTGCTGATTTTAGCAGTGCTGTTCTTCTTCTAATGTGCTGGTTAGAGATCTTTCTAATGCACCACTTCATTCCTGCCACATTCAGGATTCAGCATCCTGTTTCTCCCCCAGCTGTCTGGGAGCCTTAAGGCTCTCCCACCTTTCACATATTGTTCCTTCTCCCTGCAGCAGCCTCTCTCCCCACTTTTTCTACCTTGCAAGCCCAGAATTGACTAGTCCTTCAAGTCCCATCCCAAATGTCACTTCCTAGCTAAGCATTTCTAACTCCTTCAGGGTAGTGCTAATTATTCCATCCTTTGGGTTCTCATAGTGATTTTTTCATATTGTAATAATAGCAATTAGCAGGCTATAAATTTATCCATTTACATATCTATCCCCTCTTTCAAAAGACTTGTCTAATATTCCTTCCTTTTCTATACAGCTGGCAAACATAAAAAGCATTCAGTCAATATTTTCTTAATAAAAATTGGATGTGAGGAAGGAGGAGAAATCGAAAATTTTTGAGCTTAGTTCTTTTGAAAAGAGTGTGTCATTGACAGAAATAGGGACATCAGGACCATCAAGTTTGAGGACAAGACAAATGAAGTCAGCTTTGGACATAATGTATGCCTAAATCTCAGAGCTGAACGTTGTTAGCGATTACTATAGCAGAATTTTCTCAGCAAGTAGAGCCTCCTTTCAACTCAAAGGAAACTGTTAGCCACAAGAGAAAAGATACTGTTGTACATTTTCTTTGAATTTGAAGGGAAAACTGAAATTTGATTCAACAAAGTCAGATATACTGAAAAATGATTTTTCTGGTACCAGTTACTATTTTTCAGTGTTTTCAGAAGTAAAATTAATTTAGCAAAAGAAGTGACTGGGTATGCATTCATCTATTCTTTCTTTTTTTTAAGAACCTCATATCATGATCCTATAATGGGAAACAAGTATGCAGCTAACAGGAAAAGCACTGGACAACTCAATCTAAGCACAAGTCCCATTAATAGTAGCAGTTATTTGGGATATAACAGTAATGCAAGAAGTAACTCTTTGAGATTAAGTTTGATTGGTGACCGACGAGGTGACCGGCGGCGGAGTAACACACTGGATATAATGGATGGACGGATAAACCATAGCAGTAGTTTAGCAAGGACTAGAAGCCTTTCCTCTCTAAGAGAGAAAGGAATGTATGACGTGCAGTCCACTACTGAGCCTACCAACTTGATGGCCACCATTTTTTGGATAGCAGCATCTTTATTAGAATCAGATTATGAATATGAATACCTCCTGGCTCTCAGGCTTCTCAACAAACTGCTTATCCATTTGCCTTTGGATAAATCAGAGAGTCGAGAGAAGATTGAAAATGTACAAAGCAAATTGAAATGGACTAATTTTCCAGGACTTCAGCAGCTCTTCCTTAAGGGTTTTACCTCAGCATCTACACAAGAAATGACCGTGCACCTCCTCAGTAAACTCATTTCTGTCTCCAAACATACATTGGTGGATCCTTCCCAATTGTCAGGTGATGTTAATATAATTGCACCAGCACTTTGCATTTTATGCAGTAAAATGTAAACTAATCATTTGTTTTGAAATCTACTAATTTCTGCTTTTTGCAAATAGTCATAGTTTTTATACGCTAGGTAGCTTAAATTATTTGGTAAAAGCCAAAAAAGAATTAGAAGATCGAATATCCCAGGAAATGAAAAGAAAATGGTTTCTGTGAACCATCTAAAAAAATAACTTTAACTTTTAAAATAATGTGCAATAAAATTGGTTATTGTTTGCTTTTTTTTGTTTTGATAGGCTTTCCTCTTAACATCCTTTGCTTATTGCCTCACTTAATCCAGCATTTTGACAGCCCAACTCAGTTTTGCAAAGAAACAGCTAGTCGAATAGCAAAGGTAAGCAAATGTTATGCTGAAAGGTAACACTATAGGGAAATTATTTTGTAGTCTATGTTAAAGGAGGGGGAAATCTCTTAAAACTCCTTTTATTGTCACTTCCCATATGAATTTTGCATTTAAATTTTTATTTTTATGCACATAAAGGACTTGCATAGTAATGGCGTAAGTTACAACTGCTCAAATGACAGTAAATAAAATTATTTAGTTAGAGTAACACTCCTCTGAGTCTGAGTCTTTTTCTGCTCTTTTTCCATACTTCTGCCTCTCTGTCTGTTTCTCATTCATTCGTTTATTTACTACCAAATATTTACTGAGCACTGGGTTAGATGCTACAAATACATGATAAGCAAAGTAGATAGTGTACTTTATCATGGGGAATGCAGTGAAGTAAATAGACAGTAATCAGAGAGTCTGATTTGGTATTTTATCGGGGCAGGGGGAGGGTGGGGGGCAGAATACTCAAGGAGCACACAAAACAGAAGTCTTCCTAGAGGAAGTGATATCTAAGCTGACTTAGATCACTATCGAAGAATGGATAGGAATAAACCAAAGTAAGGTCCCTGGATGAGAGGCAAAGAGTGGAGTTCAGGGTTTGAAGTTTTCTAGGCAGAAGAAATTACAGATGCAGAGGTTCTGAGGAAGAAGAGGGCATAATATATTTTAGGATTTGGAAAATTCTCTGTCCCTTTTTGTTTGCCTTTTTTCCTCTTAACAGTCTTTCTCTTCATCTTCTCTCTCTACTCCATTCTTTTTTTATTCCTTATTTGGCTCTTTTACCTTCAAAAATCATACTGTTTTAGAAACAGTGGTGTAGCTGTTTGTAAATCATCTGTTAACATTTGTTTAAAAGTATTATGGCTCAATGTTAGAAGAATGTGATTTTGACATTTTATATATTTTTATAAATCATCTGTTAACATTTGTTTAAAAGTGTTATAGCTCTTAACCTTCATGTTAAAAGAATGTGATTTTGACATTTTATATTTTTAATAGTCCCCTCTCAAGAACAATAAGGAACTGTCAAACAGCCTGCCTTTTGCTTAAATATAATTCATAACTTTTTTCAGTCAGTCATTGAGTCTGGAGGAAAAAAGGCTTTTCAGACTGAAAATATAAACAGTTCTAAGAGGGAGTTATATAAATTTACAAGTAGCATACATGTAATAGGAAATTTGGTGAACTGGGGGAGGTGAGTGAATAGCAAGATAAGTAAAAGAACTTGGCTAAAGCACCAGGAGAAAAAAAAAAAGGAAGTTTTTTTCTACAGAAGAGAACAAGCAAATAAAATCCCCAGAAAAAGCTTTTTATGTAAGCAATTTTTTTTAAAAGCTGGGATTTGATTAACAAGTAGCACAGCAAGGGGAAAGAGCAAGCATGCAGGAAGCCAAATAAAACCCCCACCTTTCCATGGCCCAGATTGCAGCACTGCTAAGTACACATTTATCTCCAGGTGCCAGCATAGTAAAGAAAGAAAATACTGGCAACCCAATGAATCCCATTAGCATTAATAAGAGTAAGAACCTTTTCACTGTCTTGATAAATAACATTTAATAAATGATGTGAAAATATTTAATAAAATATGCTCTTAACACCATCCCCAATTAAATTTCTAAATAAATTAGATAGGGAAAGATTCTTAATATAATTATTCTAAAAGCATGTATTTTAAAAGAGCCATTATTTTAGCTAATGGAAACATCTTCGTTTCTTTAATAAAAATGGTGGTGGTAGGAAGTAAGCCAAAAATAAGTCTTTTATTCTTGGTTTTTATTAAACTAATCCAATAGAACATTAAATATCAAGAGAGGGTGAAAATTATGACTATTAGAAATATTGCCTTTTGAAAATGATTACTCGCCTAAAACCAACTGCCTGTATTTGCATTAATAAAGTCTAATCGTAATACAAAATTTATTAAAATAACTTTCATTTTAATATTTTAGTGACACATGATTAGAAAATTTGTGTAAACAAAGTTTTTTTCCCTACCTGAGGGGTTGGAAAGCAAATATAAGGGGGAAAGTGTATATTGGTTTACTTGGGGGTTTCAAGAAAATAAAAGGCATAAATCCCCTAAAAAGGGAAGTAGAAGTATTTAAGAGTGGCAGCTGAAATGTGTTGAATGATTACTGCCTGCTAAATGCTGGGATAACTAAGGAGTGTGGCCTCCTAGCCTGAAGGATGTTACAGCTCCTTGAATATCGAGCTGCTGATATCGTGACCACAGTAGGGCCATGGAAATTCCCAAATATCTTTTATGTTTTTAAGAAATCAGATATGGCCTTCTGTGATTCATAAATTGTTTTTAAGTCTGTTTTCTTCCTGTTGGACAGCACACAAAGGTTCCCTCTCCGTATGCTTTTAGCAACCTGCAGGATGTGAATTAAATTGGTTCCTTAATTATTCTCCCACTTATAACTGTAGAGAGTAATTTTCTGCCATTATGTGCTCCTTCATTATGCAAATATCCCTAGTTCTACTGTTTGTGCCTTTGGAGAGCACAGAATTTCAAAATGAGGCAACACTTAGGACAAATATTTTTCTCTTTAGTGATTCGTTATGGCAAAAATAGTATGCTAAAAAAGTTTGTTATAAAACACACTCTTTTTGGATCGTATTTTAACCTGGCATTTCAAAAATTCCAAAATTAAATCTGTCACTTGTTCTATTATAAAATTGCACAGCAGATATTCCAAGGAATTTTCTCCCTTTTCAAAAAATAAGTTTTTTAAAATCATTCCTTAAAAAAATTATTTAAGAATGTAAGAATTCTCTAAGAATGTTTTATTCTTCAGGAAAGTTTTTTATGTTTTAAAGAATTTAACAACTTGAGAAGTTATAAAATTATGCGATTTTTAATAATATGTTAAATTATTATATTTTGAAATGCAAATAAGAGATACCAACCCATTTTTTCTTTTTCTTTCTGGTGTCTGTTTTATGGGCAAAACACTACTGCATGAAATCAGCTGGTTTTAATGATTGTATAAAATAACTTCCCAGGTACTACTGTGTTAATAGTCTATGCACGACCTTGCATAACCTTTATATTTTGTGCTTGTTCCATGATAATGTCCAAATGATGAATTTGAGGCCCTCCAAGCCTATTAAACATCTTCCGAATTACCAAAATTAGTGATATTCATTTGAAAGTTGAAGATGTATATATTTAAAAGGACAGTTTCTTTACCAAATGCTGTAGGTAGTTGTAAAAATACATACAAAACATCCATAAGATAGAAGAATAAGGAAAAGGAAAACTAAAAGCAGAAATGACAATGAGGTTAGCCTTTTATGACAGATTGGTATGTAAGAGTAGCATGGCCTTTTTCCAGTTCTGCATAGCTCAGGTGTCCCCTGGGAGAGGCCAGGGAACATCCTCACCAATAACCCAGGGAACAAACAGACTAAGAAGTGCATTCAGTCAGTAAAATTCCCCCCAAACATTAGTTGGTTCAGATTCTTTAATATTGTATCAAACAAACATGAGAGTCAGTACATTTTGGAGTAGCCTTTAAAAGATTGGCCGAGGATCTTAGAGCTTTAGGTGATTTCCGGAAGAGCAGTTTGAGGTCCACCATGCAGACTGTCATCCATTGGAGATTCTGGACTCCAGATTTCATCAGAGCCCCAGTGATGTCCTTTGACTGTCACACATGTTGAGGCTGTTTGCAACTGACTGCTCTACTGAGATACCCCGGGCACAGCTGGAGGCTGAAGCATTTCCTCCCAGTCACAGCAGCTCGGAGCCTCCCTGAGAATTCCCTAGTTATATCTGCCTGTGTAGTCACTTGTGCACTGATCCATCCTGGGTTTGACAAAGCAATTCCAAAATGATGTCCCGAGTTCACACCATACATGGTTTCTGCCAGAGACAGTTTACAGATCTTCAGACTGAAGAAGGCCGTACTATTTAGTACCCACAAAGACATTAATCCTCTTTCTGTATTAGCTCTTACTATTCTGTGAAGAATGCCTTGTGCTTTTTTTCTCGTTTCACTTTTCTAACGTATTGAAGTAAAATGCATTAAAACCAATATACATCTAAATTATTTCATTAAGCGAATACATTTAGCATAAAATCAAGTTAAACTTGTGTCTTTATTTTAGGTGAATGAAATAATTTTATTTGTTTTCTAGGTTTGTGCAGAAGAAAAATGCCCAACACTTGTCAATCTGGCACACATGATGAGTTTGTACAGTACACACACGTATTCCAGAGACTGTTCTAACTGGATCAATGTCGTGTGCAGATACCTGCATGACTCCTTCTCAGATACAACATTTAATCTTGTGACTTATCTTGCAGAGGTAAATTTACCAAAAATATTTTCTTATTTACTATATATATATGTGTGTGTGTGTGTGTGTGTGTGTGTGTATGTGTATATATATACACATATATATATTTTAACTACTCTGTGGCACCTTATCAAGTTGATTTATATGCAGAAGCAGCACTGGTATTAACTGATATTCAAATTGTCTGACAGTCAACATAGTTAACAATTTTTTAAGATAAAAATATAAGTTACTTCCTATCAAGTGTAAAAGAAGTTTTTATAAAGGTGGGTTTTTTTTCCATGTCCAGTGTTTATATCCTTATTTACTGTCCTTAAGTGACATGAAACTCAAAATAATATACACTTTACCTAATTAAAAATGGAAAATGGGTTTTTAGTGGTCCTGATCCTAGAGAATGGTTATAATTTTTATTTCTACAAAATTAGGTTTTAGCTTAGAAATCTTTTCTAGAATAATAATTACAGCATACAAAAGTATTTCTTCTGGAAAAGTTTTTAGTTTGATGATACATTTGCTTCCTATCTAAAATATGATTTTGAGACAGCAAAAAATGGATGATAAAGTAGCCCTAGAACAGCACAAAAAGTTAATATCTATTTGATGCCTAAGAAGTAACTTTATACCCAGAAAAGTAAATTACTAAGTAGATAGGCACAAAGAGAAAGTCAAAAGCAAGAGATTCCTAGTCACTAAAAATGTTTGTCAGTTTATAATAAAGTAATACCTACTAAATTAGTTAAGGAAATAAAACACCATGATTTAGATGAAAAGTTATCGTCTAATTCTCCTTTCTGAACCAAGGAAAAATAACAGTAATAGACTCTGCCTTTCACTTTATTAGTCTCTAGATTTCTAATCCACATAACTATAAACTCATAGGCTAAATCTATGTTTTCCAACCTGTCAAATGTAAATATTGAGTTTTTATTCAACCTGATTAAAGTATACTTTAATATTACTTTTAACATTATTTTTAGCTGTTAGAGAAAGGATTGTCCAGTATGCAGCAATCATTACTACAGATTATTTATAGTCTATTGAGTCATATTGACCTGTCTGCAGCCCCAGCCAAGCAGTTTAATCTGGAGATCATAAAGATTATTGGCAAATATGTACAGGTGAGTGACCACAAAACTTACATATAACATTTTTCATCTAAAAATGATTTATAATCACACAATATTGGAAATGCCTTAAATGTCGAAGAATGGGGAAGTGGTTCAACCATAAATCGTGTTTTCAGGATATTTGCAGTATGGAAAATGTTCTCAATGTAAGTGACAAAAACCAGAATCAGAATTAGTATGATTTCTACTTTTCGTATTAACAATTTCTGTAATGTTCTGTAATGACAGGAAGGAATGCATATACACATTGCAGCAGTCAAAACTCTGGAAATTAGGACTGTGACTCATTGGTTGTTTTTGTTTTTGTTTTGAGAAGGAGTCTTGCTCTGTTGCCCAGGCTGGAGTGCAGTGGCGCAGTCTCGGCTCACTGCAGCCTCTGCCTCCTGGATTCAAGTGAGTCTCCTGCCTCAGCCTCCTAAGTAGCTGGGATTACAGGCATGTACCACCACACCCAGCTAATTTTTGTATTTTTAGTAGAGATAGGTTTCACCATGTTGGCCAGGCTGGTCTCGAACTCCTGACCTCAGGTAATCTGCCCACCTCAGCCTCCCAAAGTGCTGGGATTACAGGCGTGAGCCACCGTGCCTGGCCTCATTGTTCTTTCTTTCTTCGTACCTTTCTGTTTTTTAACGAGATTCTACTTAGTGGGCATACACTACTTTTAGAAACAGAAAACCTCTTTGAAGAGTTTGCATTTTAGAGATTTTTTTGTGTGTCTGATAAAAAGTGCCAGATATTTAGAAAGTGGAAAATTAAACTTGATTTAAATGTAAATGATGACAAGTCGGCCTGGTCTTTGCTGAATTTCACCTTTGAAATTCAGTTAAGCTGTCGGTTTGAGCTACCAGTTAAGAAAGCTTTGCATTGCTGAGCAGATCAGTAGGATGGATACAACTCACCAAAGAGAACAAGCTCATTAACAACCTTAATAGATTAATATGTTGTGTTTATACTCCAGTTACGTTTGCATTCACTAGAGCAGAACTTAGAATGGGAAATACTTAGCTGGCAAGGAATTTATTCTAGTTCATATCTGAAAGTAATAAAACTGTAGTAAAATGTTTTCAGTGATTCAGTTATGTAATCCACATTACCTCTTACATTCCCTTGAAAATCAGTGATTGCAGATATCAAAAAAACGGGAGATTTTCTGGTGGCCCTATTTATCTTGTGTCTTATCCTTCAGTGAGTGAGGCTTTACCAGATAGCAGTTATATCTCTTTCTAAAGCACATTTCTCTTTTCTTCTTAAGCCTTAAAAAAAAAAAACTTATAAAATATTTGCTATATTTCACATAGAAACATATACCACATTGAATTCACTACCTTCTGAACCATAGGTACATTTCTTATGTTCAGAACCACAAGCTCAACTTGCCAGTGGACAAGCAGATAACCAGAAGGAGCATAGATTTGTGGCTAAGTGAACTGCACACTCCCCATCTCAAAGGAGAAACACAACTTAGCTTCCTCTGGTGGTTTTCATGTTAGAATATGGGTCCAGTGTGGCAGACTTCTCACTTTAAGAGAAGCTGGAAATCTACATTTTTCTGTAAAATCTCCTGATTTTAAAATGTTGACTCAATTTTTTTTCCAGATTTCTTTATAAATGTGTGAATCAAGATCATATTTAGCTGATGGCTCATCACAGCTGCTGGCTTGTGCTTTATTAAACAACTAAATATTTCACAGAATTGAATTATCGATAGTCTTTTACATTTAAACACAACCAGCAATATAATTTATGAAAACATCCCTAAAGTTTAGCATTTCATGATGCCCAGAGATTGTAATTATTTCTGTCAGAAAAAATATGATGATTATTTCTACTTAGTCATGATTTTGTTAAATATAAACTTTTTTTTGTTTTGTTTTGTTTTTTTTGAGATGGAGTCTCTGTTGCCCAGGCTGAAGTGCAGAGGTGCGATCTTGGCTCACTGCAACCTCCGCCTCCTGGGTTCAAGGATTGTCCTGCCTCAGCCTCCCAAGTAGCTAGAATTAGAGGCACATACCACCATGCCTAGCTGATTTTTGTATTTTTAGTAGAGATGGGGTTTCACCACATTGGCCAGGCCGGTGTCAAACTCCTGACCTCAAGTGGTCTGCCTGCATTGGCCCCCCAAAGTACTGGGATTACAGGCGTGAGCCATTGCTCCCGGCCTTTAAACTACTTTTTACAGTGCTGTTCTTAAAATGTCACAGTATCATGTAGACCTTTTTATTATCAAGTATTTTGTGTTTTAGGTGTCTTCATAGCAAGATGTTATGAACTCAATTGGATAACCCAATTCTGCCAAAGATTTTTTACTTCCTTTTTTGGTGTCTTAATGGTTATTTTTCCTTCCTCAGATATCAGCTGTGAAAGAATATGTATAATATAATACAAGGTTGAGATGTGATTTTTGGTACCATAAGTAAGAAGTAGTTTTTTCTATGTATCCTTTTCAGTGGGTGGTAAAAGAAAGATATTATAAAGTCTTTATCAAACATTCACTGTTCTCTACATATACATCTAGCTCATAAATAATTCCTAGATTTCATTGGTAGGAATATACAAAACTAAGACAAGCAGAAAAATTTTTTTAAAATAGCCAAAATATGTAGGGAAGAAAAAAAAACCTCACCCTACACAACTCAGTAATCCCTGAGAACATCACATTAGCATGGTATCTACTCTCAGTATTTGGGGCCTGGGCCATCAAGAAAAAAAGACTTAACTGTATTTTAGTATTTTAATATTTTTATGTCTAAAAAGGAAGGTATTCGTTAAAAAATTTTTATCTGCAAAGACTTAAAATACTTAAATTTTAGAGTCTCAAAGCTATAAACTTCATTCAGCTAAAAGCTGACGTATATACAAATGTTTTGTTTACCACTACTGCCAAGTTACTGTATTAGTCTGTCCAAATTAATGATAATTACAAAGCACTTATTGGGAGAAAAGCAAGATATTTCAGTTGGGTAGCATTATTACACATATGGTATCTGATAAATCTAACAGTACAAATAATAACTTGTGTTTTCTTTCCTTTTGTAACTCAAACCTTTCATTAAGGATCTTCAAAATGAATAATTTTTACAAGTATTTTTGTAGAAATAATATTTTTATGGTGTACAGTAAATTGTTGTTCTTAGTTGAATGTGCATTTGTAACTTTTACGTGTCAATTATTTTTTAAACCAGAGTCCTTACTGGAAGGAAGCCCTTAACATATTAAAGCTGGTGGTGTCACGCTCTGCGAGTCTTGTCGTACCCAGTGATATCCCCAAGACCTATGGAGGAGATACAGGTTCTCCTGAAATATCCTTCACTAAAATTTTTAATAATGTTTCTAAGGAGTTGCCTGGGAAGACCTTAGATTTTCATTTTGATATATCTGAGGTAAGATGCTCAGAAATTGATGAAGTTACTCTACTAGGAATTTTCATTTGTTTATTTATTCATTCTTTGATTTAACAAACATTGATTGAGCTCATACCCAGTGTTAGACAATATGATAGCTGTTATGAACAACCAAGTGGGGATGGGGAGAAGGCCTGCTGTTAGAAAGCTTACTGTCTGTTAGAGAAACAGACTATACATTCCCCATCTAAAAGAAACGCCACAACTTAGCTTCCCAACAGTGTTTAGCTTAACAACTAAACATAGTAATCAACACTCGGCTGGAATACATTAAAAGTGCTAGGGGAGTATGTAGCATCTATCTAAAGGAGTGGTTTCAGAAAGGAACCAACATCTGAGCTGAGTGTTGAAAGACAAGTAATTCTAGACAGGCATCTATGGCAGTTTGGGGAGGGGAGGTTAAATGCAAAGAAATGGAGAATGTGTGAATGAAGGCTTGTAAGCGTGAGAAAGCATGGTGTTCCAGACACTTCCAACTAGTACCGCCTACCTTGGGCACAGAGTTCAAAAAAATGCAAGTAGAGTGTGATGAGACATGAGGCTGAAGGCATAGGAAGGGGCAAGATCATGGGGATCTTGCATTTCATAGTAACAAACTGGTTTTATCTAAACCAGTAGGAGCTCTTAAAGGATTTTTAGTTGGCGTATTAGGGTTTGCATTTTAGGAGGATCACTCTAGCCACAGGATAGAAAATAGAGCAGGGAGGAGGAGAGGACAGTTGGTAAGGAATCTGTTAGAAGAATTTGGGCAAAAGATAATGTGGGACTGTCCCAAGACAATTGCAGAGGTAATGAAGAAGGAAGAGAGATGGTTTACAAAAAGACCAAGGAAGTAACTGATGGGATTTAATGGGAAAGTGGGGAAGAGGCATCAAGGATTTGATGAATGGCCTTGACAGGTAGATCAATGTTGCACCACTCAAGAGAGTGGGAATGCAGGAACAGATCTTACAGCAGGGAAGGAGAGGGGGCAATGAGTTCCGTCTTGGACATGTTGACTCAGAAGTGACCCAGAAACATACTAAAGGAGGTGCCTGGTGGTCAGTTAAATTTTGGGATCTGAAGTTTTAGAGGAAAACTTGGGTGGAAGTAACAAATTAAGGGTTTCAGTGTTGTATAAGTGAATGGCTGAAACCATGGAAGGAAAACTGAAAAGAACAGAAGGCAACAACTAAAGGAAACCTGAGAAACTGGATATTTTAGGACTAGACAGAAGCAGGGGCCATCAGTCCAGAAGGAACCCTGGAGCCTGGCTATGCTGTATATTAATAAAAATCTCACTTAAAGATTTCTCATCCTTGCTGAGAGTCCCGATTTTTTTTCCCTCTGGCACCTGAGCCCACTCTTGGTGCCTTGGTGCCATTGAAGTGGTCTTTCGGAAGCCAAGGGAGGAACTTTTCAAGAAGGAAGTTATTGATCAAGTATTGTAAGGTTGAGAAAGATTAAAAATTGAAGCTCTACTTACTTTTTTGTTGATTAGAATTATATAGATAAAAAATGTTTTATTGCAGTTTAGTCTTGGCATTAGAATTTATCCTAAACTTTATTTTTTTATGTAGAAAGCATATTTGTTACTAATTTTTTAGTTAATAATATCTGAGAATTTCTAGCAAGATGTATGTATAATAGCATGGGAGTATGATGGAGAAGCTTGGCTTTCCTTTTCCTTCTGATTCAGAAATCGATCGTTATTTGAAGCAGTGATGCAAATTCTCAAAACATTTTATATACTTAATTTCAATTTGTTGCATCAAAAATTCCTCAGTACCTGCCATGCATAGGCACTGGAGATACACCAAAGGTATAGAGGCAATCACACATGGTCCAGTGGATACATGTGTAGTAGGGAAGTCAGGCACATAAACAGTTTACAGTCAGCATGGTAAGTGTCCAAGTTTGATTACACAGAGGTGGTGGTGGTAGAACAGAAGGCCTCCTTAAAAGTCTGGAGTCATCATTAAAAGATGATTAGAAGTTTACTTAGTGGATATTCCATGCAAAGGGGCAACATAGGCTAAAACACGGGTCTATAAAAGAGCATGGTGTGTTTGGAAAACAAGAGCAAGCTCAGTTTTGCTGGTGTGTGAAGTTCAGAGAGGGGGAAGTGGTCGTAGTTGAGGCTAGGGAGAGAAGGATGATCAGTTGAGCATAAAGGGACTCGTATGACATGCAGATGAGCTTGAATTTTATTTTCAAATGCAAATTTAAAACACTTTACAAAGTCAAATATAAATGAGTTTTTGATTATCATAGAATTTTTACTGAAATAAATTTTGGAAGTATTACACATCAGATTTGTAATAAGAATCTACATAGAAGTGTTCCTCTTTTGTTACTTCAGTATTTGCTAAACCACATTGCTGAAGCATACTTGACAATATGCTTTGAAAAAGCGCCAAAATTTAACAAATATTAAGTCTGAGTGGTAAGAAAACAGATGATTTGATATTTAAAATATAAATCTTTTTTACATTTTCTGAGTTTTGGGTATATTTTATAATCATGGTGGGGAAAGGTGGAGATGGTGGTTTTTAAAGAATGCAGATTACATTTAAAGTAGGAATAGGCTTTCTGATAATCTCAGATGTAAAATTATTATTTCCAATAAAGTCTCTTGATTAAAAATATATATATATCATTACCTTTGATCTTTGTTAACATCTGCCTCATGCAAAGTAATTTCTCTCCTCATCTTTTTTTTTATTTGTAAAAAATATTATAGGTGCACTGTTAACCCTTTTAAGTTTCTTTTATGTTGAAATATTTGAGCCAAACACTGACATTTTGTTTCTGTGTAGACACCAATTATTGGAAACAAATATGGTGATCAGCACAGTGCGGCTGGAAGAAATGGGAAACCAAAAGTTATTGCTGTCACTAGAAGTACTTCCTCAACTTCTTCTGGTTCTAATTCTAATGCCTTGGTTCCTGTTAGTTGGAAAAGGCCACAGTTATCACAGGTACATAAAGAATATCAAAATGGAACATTCATAGAACAGAAGAATCAGTTTTGTTATAGGTATGAAAACTTGAGAATTTGTCTTATTTTATCAGCAGTCCTAACATTTTAATTTTTTTTTTTCCTTTAGCGAAGAACAAGAGAAAAGCTAATGAATGTGCTTTCTCTCTGTGGTCCAGAATCTGGCCTCCCAAAGAACCCATCAGTGAGTAATCATGAAGACCTGTGTCAAGGTCTTAAAGATCATGTTATTCCTTGAAGAAATGATCTGTCTCCTTGCTTGCCTTTTCTAATTTACCTTACTTACGGTATTAACTCAGAATGAAAAAAAGATTTCTTATCTCTTGTGACACCTGGCAGCCATGCTAACTATGTGTTCAACTAGTTAAACATGAAGACCAAATTTAAGCTGTGAATTCATTGAAGAATGAGGCCTGCGGTGGCTTTGGGGTACTGATACCTCATACGCAGAGTGACAAATCTGATGGATGGACTTTTTTTTTTTTTTTAATCGGGCATCAGGTTGTATTTTCTTCTAATGAGGATTTGGAAGTCGGTGACCAACAGACTAGCCTAATTTCTACAACAGAAGACATAAATCAAGAGGAAGAAGTAGCTGTGGAAGATAATAGCAGTGAACAACAGTTTGGTGTTTTTAAGGATTTTGACTTTTTAGATGTTGAATTGGAAGATGCAGAGGTAAGGATGTGGGCTTTCTCTGTTAATATTTATAGAACAGTTGTATGAGAATTAAGGATTTGATCACAGGATCATTCCTTATTGAGGTCAGTGTAAGGTCAAAAAGGTAAAAATCTAAATTAGGAATTAAATTTGATTACCACAATTAGTCAATAGAATAAGTCTGAGATAAAAGAGAAACATTCCATTTTTCATCTTTATCTTTAAAAATATAAAATTAAAAAATGGCTTCCTTCAAAATTATTTTCAGGGTATGCTTAGACTTAAATGTTTTGCATGATTTGTCTTACAAACTAATATGCAGCCAAATGGTAAAAATTTATATGAGAATTGATTAAGGACAACTTTAAAGAGAGTTGCACTTACCACTAAATTGCACATTCATCAACTCTCATGTACATATACATATACTACTCATATACAGCTCATACACATTCATCAATTCTCATGTACATATACATATACTACTCATATACACACTTACCACTAAATTGACATATCACAAAGGGTTTGTCTTTCTAGAACTCTTCCCTTTGGCAAATGACTGAGCTTCTTTCTTTGACATTCGAAATCACTTTCTTCTTTATGATGTAGGTAACTCTCTCAAATGCCTGGTTTCATTTAATACTCAAAGCGTTTCTCTTCTAAATTGATTTAGTCTGGATTACATTATATTGGTAGTTATGTCAGTTGAGATGCTTTCTAAATGGAATTTAAAACTCAGAAAGTAGATTTATTAGCCCACAAAACTAGTCCAGAATTAGAGCTTATATTTAGATATGGCTCAATGAAGTTTCTGGCTGTTTATCTGCAGTTCTCTAGGCTCTCCCCTTCTCTGCCAGTCAGCTTGACCTCAGATAGCAGCAAAACCGTCTTCATTGCTGGGTAATCTTAGCCCCACACACAGCAGTGTTTGAAGGAGGTGAGGGTCACATCCAGAAATGCTCTCAGAAAAGTAAGGAAGCTGCTTTCCTAAATGGTCTTAGCAAACTTCTTGTAACATCTCATTGGCCCAAATTAGGACACATGCTACTTTCTGAAACAACCACTCTAGTGAATAGAATAGGATTACCCTGGTTGTCTTAGGCTATTAGAGATCCATTTCTGTAGCTGAGCTCAGTTCCCTAAACCACAGTCTCTTAACCCTGAAAGTTTATATCAAATAGATTTGTTTTAAACATGTACATTTTGAAATTGCTACAAATATCTGTATGCAAGAAGACCAAAATGCCTTAATACCAAGTATCTGTATACCATATCTTGATGTATCTTTTTCTAAAGAATCAAAACTCATAGCTCAAATACATTTAGCTCTCATATACATATACATATACTATTCATATACAGCTCATACACATTCATCAGCTCATATACATACACATATACAACTCATATACAGCTCATACACATTCATCAACTCTCATGTACATATACATGTACTACTAATATACAGCTCATACACATTCATCAGCTCTCATATACATACACATATACAACTCATATACAGCTCATACACATTCATCAACTCTCATGTACATATACATATACTACTCATATACAGCTCATACACATTCATCAACTCATGTACATATATACATATACTACTCATATACAGCTCATACACATTCATCAACTCTCATGTACATATACTACTCATATACAGCTCATACACATTCATCAGCTCTCGTATACATATACAACTCATACAGATCATACACATCCATCAACTCTCATGTACATATACATATACAACTCATATACAGCTCATACACATTCATCAGCTCTCGTATACATATACATATACAACTCATACAGATCATACACACTGATCAACTCTCATGTACATATACATATACAACTCATATACAGCTTATACACATTCATCAGCTCTTCTTGTAGGGGTGTTTCCTTTGGCTCTAATAGGTGAGGCGGAGGAATGAAATGTAATGCACTCTCCCGTATCACACTGTTCATTGTCCATGGAAGACCAGTTTGAGGAAGTAAAGTTCCCTCTCCTCAACATGCCTCAGTGCCCCCTGCAGATGTGAGGATGTGACCATGGTGCCTCCAAGTAATGCAAATGCCTTCATGTCAGTTTAGGAGCTGTGTAGGCTCCTATGGAATACTCCACCATTTACATTTTCCCAAAGACACAATTGTACAGGTTCATAGGAACTCAAGAACAGGTATTATTTAGCACCTTTCAGAGCAGTAGCTTTTAAACTTTTTTTTGACACTAATCCACAGTTAATACATTTTACATCACATCCAAGTGTGTGTATATATATATATATATATATATATATATATATACCTTTAAAAATAAAAGTTGCAAGAATATGCATCCAAACTCTATGCTGTGCATACTGATATTTTCTATTCTCTTCCTTTTCATTCTTTTTTTTTTTTTTTCAAAAAGTGTAGGTTACCACCCTAAAATTAGTTTCACACTCATCATTTGAAAAAATATATTGTAGGAAATAGAACAGACTTGCACAACCAAGTAACGGAGTGGAATAGGTTAAAGAGACCTGCTGCCCTACCCAAGGCCAGGAGCAGCTTCTAAACTCTTCTGTAGTTAGTTGCTTTTTTCAGTCCAGAATTTAAATTTCTAAAGGCAGCTCTTGACATTTTTGTAATGGTAAGGTTATTTTTCTTTTTGTTTGCCTCTTGTTTAAAGAGAACTGTAAATGCTTTCAAGTTCATTCAGTGCTCTAAAATGTCAGTGGTAATAAACATGGCTTTTAATAGAACCTTAGAATGGACTAAGGATGTTCATTTGTAGTTCTGTCTTTAATTCAAGTCACAGTAATCAGGGGTGGGGTGGAGCACGCTAATTTATCCCTCATAATTACGCCAAATCAGCGATACACATTTTCTAAAACCTGGATATAGTCTTGTTTAAAACATGGTAATAGGAAATACTTTGATTGCTACAAAACAAACTTAACCACTAATGAAAATTATAATAAAATATCTCCTCACTTTGAAAGCCCACAGTGCATATTCATTCACTCACCAAATATATATTGAGTGCTGTTGCCATTATGTGTTTTGGTACATAATAATATTTGAAATGATATGTTCCAGGAAGGTGGTTTTCAAACTCTGACATGCAGGGCCCTAGGGCTTCCAAGATATCTTCAGAAACAGCCGGGACAGATTCAAAGATCCAATGGGCCAAGTTCCTGGACACCTTCAACCAGAGCAGCTCTGGTTTTCTGTTTTGCACAATTGACTGCCATCTAAAATTTCATTTGAAATAAGTATTCTTCTGCTTTCAAAAAAAAAAAAAAGATTTGAAAACTTCTAATCTGGACAATTCCTGTGTAAAGGGATACAGAAAAAAAAAATCATATTTTGGTAGCCAGCTCAATATAGTTTGTCATATCAGGGCCTAAGAAAAATTGTAGGGATTATATCCTTACAAAAGGAGGAGCAGCTTAGAATAACAGAAACATAACTTATATAAATCCTTAAGTGGGAGAAATTGAAATTTGTCATATTTCCTCTTGACCTTTTAAAATTGGCAACAGTTATGTTTTGATGGCTGTGATCTTGATTTTAAATTATATTTTGTAGCAAAAAATGACCATTGAATTTAGCCAGAGCTATCCTACCAACTGAAATAATTGTGACCTTGTATGTTGTCAAGTGCATGTGGGTATTTAAAGTCAGTTTTTGCATTGTACTAAGTATTAAACCTTTGTAAATCTTGAAGATTTTCTTAAAGTTTGTGTTGCCAAAGTGTATCATAGAAATGTTGTTTTAAGTGTCTGTCTCTGACTTTTTCACAACATATTTTGCATAAAAAAAGATTTGAATCACATGTTGACTTTCTGCACAAAGCTTAATCCAGAGCTTGAATCAGTCTTTGGGTTTGAGAAATCACAAAGAGTTTGCCCCAAAAGTGTAGTGTATATTTAAATGTTTGTCTTCGTTTTTTTCTAATTCTGTGTGTTTTCCTTTTTGCTAACCAGGAGCTGCAGGTAAGTTGCAGCCTGGTGTTATGGATTGTTTATTTGTTGTCATCTGTGATGTATTTGTCTTCTTTGTGGTCTCATTCATGTTTGTGTATTAGAATAGAAATGGCTTAGATAGTAGATTTACTTGGTCCCCAGTAATACAAGATAGAAAGTCAAGAAAATTATTTCGTTAAAACAGGTTGTCAACCAAATAATTTTGATCTTTTTAAATATAAATATTTGATGGTGTGTTAACAGTTTAAAGAAATTGAAGGGCTGATTGAAACTCTGCTTTTAATGATGCATTAAGTATTTTTCATCTTGGTATATGTTTTTCTGGTATATTACATTTAGTACATTTAGAAGCATGTATTTGAGGTTTTAGAAATCGTGTCTTGCTTTTCCAGGGTGAAAGTATGGACAATTTCAACTGGGGAGTTCGCAGGCGCTCACTGGACAGTATTGACAAAGGGGACACTCCATCCCTCCAGGAGTACCAGTGCTCTAGTAGCACCCCCAGCCTGAACCTCACCAATCAGGAGGATACAGATGAGTCCTCGGAAGAAGAAGCGGCACTTACAGCAAGCCAGATACTCTCACGCACACAGATGGTATACAATTCACTTTTCTTACAGTGACATTTGGTCTCATTTTCCTCTTAACTTCCAACTTCTTAATGATTATTTCTTGTGCATGGGTGAAATGCACACACTGAAATGAATCTACAAGATTGCAACACTAATGGAGTACCGTGTTGTTATTCATGACAGCACTAAACTTATTAGGTTGATACTGCACACCTATTAGCTGCTAAAATATAATTTCTCTTGCTTCTTTCCTAGTCACAGTGAGTTGTTTTGGGCCCTATTAGAGGCCTTCAGTGATAACATATTTTTGGTATCAATGTGAGCACCAACACCATTTAATTCACCACTCACTTTTCTTTCCTAGTTAGCATAGTGTGGAAAAACAGAGCACAAGTTTGGTCCCTTTCGAGATCAAGTAGAGTCAGTGGAAAATGAAAGCTGCAAGAGTAGCCTGTTATTTCAGAAGAGTACGGGTGCAAGAAAAGCCAGTGGTAGGGCTGGAACTTGAAGATGGCACTGTAAAGAAGGAGAAGGCACATGGAATAGCTACCCTGGTACATGTGATAAGGAAGAAACCAGTGGAGACCAGGCACCAGCTATGGTTACACAGCTCTTACAGGAATGCCTCCTTTTTTTATTCTTTAGGCACAGGGTCTCACACCATCACCCAGGCTGGAGTGCAGTGGCACAACCATAGCTCACTGTATTCTTAAACTCCAGGTCTCAAGTGATCCTCTTGCCTCAGCTTCTCAAGCAGCTAGGACTACAGGTGCATGCCACATATGCACAGCTAATTTTTTTAAATTTTTTGTAGAGATGGGGTCTTGCTATGTGGCCCAGGTTAGTCTTGAACTCCTGGCCTCAAGTGATCCTCCCACCTCGGCCTCCCAAAGTGGCAGGATCACAGGCATGAGCCACCGCACCCAGCCACCTACCTTTAATTTAGATCCATTTGCTCCACTCGGCCTGCTGGTAAAGTGCTGGCAGTGATGTTGAATGGAAGGGCCTGAGCTGCTTTAGGCACAATGTCAAGTTGTCGGTTTGTGGTTGGTGTCCAGTCATCTCTCCTGTATTTACATCTCATTGGTGCCCCAGTTTGTCTTTCCACTAACTGCCCCTCTCCCATTTAAGTGTTCAATGACCAACCGCTGCTGCTAATGGCAGCCATAATACGTTACCACTTACTGACTGTCTACGATGCACCCGGCCCTGTTCAAGGTGTTTTACGTGTATTAGTTACCATAACTCTCCTCCTAACACAAGGCAAGTATGGTTATTGCAGATCTGCATATTACATGTCTTATCCCAGGACACATAGCTAGTAAGTAGATGTGAATCAAGCAGTCTGTCTCTAGTGCCCATTCACTTAACCGTGCCACATAAATCTTCGTCCTCCATGAATGAATATGAATTCAGCTCCAATATGAATTTCAGCTCAAGGTTAACATAGTTACATAGAGCTCTTCCACTTTGATAGTTTTTGTTTAGCAAAATTTAGCCTGTATTAATGTGTACTTAGTTCTACCGAGGGATTAGCTGCTTACCCTAACAACACCCATTCTGGTGTAGACTGGAAGGAAAGAAAGATGATTTTAGGAAATCTCAGAAGCTCTTTATAACGAAGCCCCTAAAATATTTTATGATAGAGAATGTTTCCTGTGGCTTTTGACTCATAAATGAATTCCTTATTTTACTCTTTCTCTTTTTAGTTAAACAGTGATTCTGCCACTGATGAAACAATACCAGACCATCCTGACTTACTTCTCCAGTCTGAAGATTCCACTGGCAGCATCACAACAGAGGAAGTGCTTCAAATCAGGGATGAGACCCCAACTTTGGAGGCTTCTCTAGATAATGCTAACAGCCGGCTGCCTGAGGTGGGGAGAAATGGAGGCTGGTGCATGGCCAATCTGGGCTCTTTTTAGCACTCTTTTATAGCTCCCGCTTTTCTTTCAAAAAAGTTTTGAAGTTGATTTGTTTCCAGTATTTCTAACCTGTTGAGTTATTTTAAATGAAATAGTCAAATCTGATTTTTTCTTAAGTTGGTAGATTAAGGAAATGACCTACAGGTTAAAAATAATCTTGAGTGTTTTTAATGAGCAGTTTGCATTGCAGAACATGATGAGGTTAATGTACAGACGCTTCTCTGGGGTTGGCGAGCATCATCTATTGCACTGTATTTTCTTAGAAGGACCGCTTTGGTTTTTTCTTCTCTTTTTGCTTTGTGTTGGGTTTATGTGATTGGTGCTGTGATTGGGATTAAAACCTCAGGCCAGCTGTGGTTTTTAGCAGTTGTTAAATGAAATCTTTTAAAAAGACTTTGGAACCACTAGTATTATGTTTTTTGGAAAGGCCTGTGAGAAGTAAGCCAGATTTGAAGCTAATGACTGACCAAAAATAAGTAAGTATTAGTGTTTTTTTTAAAGATTATTATACTTTTTAAAAATGTAATTGCTATAGCTCTGCCATATGTGCTTTTTTTATTCCTTGGTAAATATTAGGAAATGCTACATTTTGTCACTGTTCATCAAATTAATGTAGTTATTAGATCTAATCTAGGTATCAGATCTTATTATTTTTGTAAGGTGATAAAACACTATTGTGTTCTTGTTAGGCTGACTCTTGTACATATTTGAACTTTAACAGTAACCAGACATATTTTGAAATGAAGGCACTTTGGCTTCCTTATTAGCAAGCCATCTTTAAAATGCTCATACTCATATGGCTAAGGTTTAGATCATTCAATTCAACAAATATTTATTGTGCTTTCGGTAGATGCCAGGCATTCAGCTAGGTGCCAGAAAGAAGAATAGGACATGGATGGCCCTGTTTTCAGAGAACGTTCTCTTGCTGTCTATTAAGACAGAGAAGGCTTTTAAAAAAATTTCATTTCAGGCCGGGCACTGTGGCTTACGCCTGTAATCCCAGCACTTTGGGAGGCCGAGGTGGGCAGATCATGAGGTCAGGAGATCGAGACCATCTGGCCAACATGGTGAAACTCCGTCTCTACTAAAAATACAAAAATTAGCTGGGTGTGGTGGTGCACACGTGTAGTCCCAGCTACTCGGAAGGCTGAGGCAGGAGAATCACTTGAACCCGGGAGGCGGAGGTTGCAGTGAGCTGAGATGTCACCATTGCACTCTAGCCTGGCAACAGTGCGAGACTCTGTCCCAAAGAAAAAAAAAAGAGCGAGAGAGAGATTGAGACCATCCTGGCGAACATGGTGAAACCCCGTCTCTACTAAAAATACAAAAATTAGCTGGGCCTGGTGGCATGCACCTGTAGTCCCATCTACTCGGGAGGCTGAGGCAGGAGAATCACCTGAATGTGGGAGGCGGAGGTTACAGGGAGCCGAGATCGCGCCACTGCAGTCCAACCTGGCAACAGAGTGAGACTCCATCTCAAAAATAAAAAATTAAAAAAAAAAAAAAAAGAAATTACATTTCAGTGTGGAAAATTCAATAATAGGTTCAAGGCTTTATGAAAACTGAGAGGAAAGTGATCAGCTGTGCACTGGGAGTGATGGTAAGAAAGGACAGGTTTCATGGTAACTGGGACATTCCAGGCAGAGGGACACAATGTAGAAAGGGATGGCAGTGTGAAATAGCATGATGTGTCTAGCTAAAAGCAGGAAATTGAGTATTTCCAGAGAGTAAAATGGGAGGAGGGAGAGGAAGAGCAATAGGAGCAATGAATGGGATCCAAGACAGGAGAAGTCCTATATGCCACACTACAGACTTAGACTTTATCTTGAGATAATAGACAGGAGAAGTCCTATATGCCACACTGAAGATTTAAGACTTTGTCTTGAGATAACAGAAAGACATTCAAATTTTTATCCTTTCAAGAGATACCTATTAAGTAACAAGCACTGTACCAGATGCCAAGATGGAACCACATGGCATGTGAGCATTCATTTATGTGACCAGTATCTACTGAGGCGCTACCTCGTGCTAGGCACTAGGCTAGGCACGGGGCCCGTGGCAACTGTGACACAGACAAAGGCTTTTGGTTTTATGGAGCTTCATTCTAGTAGGAGAGACAGATAATAAGCAGGTAAAACAAAATGTAAATAATATGTCTCATCTTATTCATCATACTAAGAAAATCTAACAGTAATGTGGACTCGAGTGAAGGAGAAAGTTAGGGGTAGCATTTAAGGTGAAACCTAAATGACAAGAACCAGCCCACCCCTTGAAGATTTGGAGGGAGAAGGTTCCAGGCAGAAGAAGCAGCAGTTTAAAAGGCCCTGATATATCTGAAGTACAGAAAACTGGCCAGTAAGGCTGGAACACAGTGAACAAGAAGGAGAGGGGTGGGCCAAGGCACTGTCATGACATGTGTCACAGGCCACACAGCAGGTAACCATTGAAGAAGAACATGATCTGATTATTTTTTAAAACTTTGGCCTTTTTTGTCGAAAATGGAAAGTAGGTTCTAGTCCCTGACACATAGAGCTTGCAGTTAGGGATAATCACAGAAGGTTTGCAGCCTCATTGTTGGTAGTGAAGTCTCTAAGGCAGAGGCTTTGAGGGTAGATTGGAGGAGATGAACGAGCTAAGCTGGAAGAATATTAGCAAGAATTTAGCAGGGCCTGACTAAGGGCACAAACATGAGAAATGTTTACAGGAGAGAACTGATGGAATTTAGAGATGGATTTTAAGTAGACTATATTCCTTTCAGTTGTTGGGAGGTTTATTAGTTATTAAGCCAAACTACAGTGCCTAGTTTGGATCACACCATAGATCACACCATACACCGTAACACCAGTGGATGAGAATGAAAGGGATATTTTGAAAGCATGGTATTTCATTTAGAAACAGTTCTACTGATATTAAAACTGTCACCAAAAGAATGGCTATCCACAGGGAACATGACAGCCTTATATCTGTTGGATATATTGGCCTAATTTGTTTTTCTCTGTTTTGCCAAATAGTGTCAAATGACCCAAAATTGCCTCTTGTACCAAAAGAAAAAGTAGAAAAGCACCAAGATATTGAAATAAAACCATAATTATTTTTAAGGCAACTTCTTAAGACAAAGAATATAATTAATTTTGATGGGTGAAATGTTTTGTGAATTAAAGGAATAAATCCACTCCTAAAAATGTTTATTTGAATTTCTTCCCTTAAATCATGTTAATATTGGAAAGATAAAATGGAGTAGGCTAAAGCATCTTCTGTCATGACAAACTTTAGAGCTGAGTGTCCCTTTCTTCTCTGTAATATACACACGTTACACTCTGATCTCAAGAGGGGATTAAGTTCTTCACTTGTATTTACTCACAGAGGGTTTCTTTTATTATTTATGATAGCTTGGAATCCACCTCATGGATGACAAATTATTCCTTATAGGAAAGAAATCTTTGTAACAAAGCATATGTGCATGTGTCATTGTCTAATAAGGTGAAGTACAAGAAAATTTGATTCTCATAATCTACATATAAACAATGGAATCCATTCTAACAGCCCCAAAAGCACTTTCTTCGTGATATGTAGGCATTACTAGAAAATTTCATTGTATGTTATATAATACTAACTACAGATAAAATATCATCTTGAAATTATTATTCAAGAAAAAATGACAATCCACTGCAGGTGTGAACTAATGAAAAGTGAGGGCATTGAACTAAGTTTGGGTTGAGATAACATAGTATGTTCATGTTGATGTAGAAGGAAAAATTCATGCCAATAAATATTCTAGGTGTAGAAATGTCTCTAGTACTGTCACATAGATTATCTTTCCAAATAATGACCAAATATTTTTTTAGAAAATTCATCTGGAAACCTTAGAGTATATTGAATATAAACTGGTGGAAGAATTAAGAAATAATCCTACTATATTATATTTAATGCTGAAGTAAAGACTCAGAGTTTGCTGCTTTCCCTGCTTAACTAAATCCAGAGCAGTGTTCTCTTACACACTTTGTGTTTTCATGGCGTTATTTCTGTGCCTTTGATATCTTCTAATCACTTTCCCTGCAATATCATCCCTACCTCATGTTTGTCAAAACATGCTGTTTCCTCCAAGGAGACTCACCTCAGTTGCCTCAACTAGATTGAGAGCTTTCCCATCATTGAGTTACCAGCACCCATTTGTATGTTGCTGATAGTATTTACCGTACATTTACCATACTCTGGTATATGTTATTGTCATTCACTTACTAGCCTAACCCTGTTAGACTAGATTATAAACTATTTGCAGTTAGGAATTATTTATACCAGAGCACTCAGCCCAGAATCTAGTCAAAATCCTTCATTTTATAGATGAGTTTTACATATGAATAAGGCCTGGGCTAGTCTAGGGTTATAGGCTCTGACTTTCTCTTACTTTTCTTATTTTGGAAGGAAAATTCTATTTTTATCCATGAAAAACAGATAAGGAGCTACTCTACAGCTGAGAAGTAACTTAGGTCCAAATACTCAAAAGAAGCTGATCTTTATTCCTAGAACTATGACCATTAGTACTTATTTTCAAATTGATTAAACCAATAAACTAAAAACTAGTGTTGATACCATCATCATATATGCTTTGAAAGTGTTTTCCTTTTTTGATAGTAGCAGCTCATTCAACCAATATCTCTTGAGCCTCTACCACTTGTCTATCACATAGCAACATTGTTTCAGTAACATTACGGTGGATAGAAAGGGCACACCACTAGTATGCTTTATAACATGTATTTTCATTATTGTTTACTTCAAATGAGGAGAATATAGTCTTTTTTGATAATGAGCTTGTGATAGTTTAATTTTCAAAAGTATAATTATCTAAAGTGTCCTAATGTCTTCTGAACTGTAGCTAAGTGATGAAGCTTTATCAATACTCAAAGCCAAAATGAGATTTTGTAGTAAGGCCACCCTAGTTGTCTAGGTTCAGCATCCTTCTGATTGGTCAGTACCTACTCCTGCTGTGTGGCAGCCCCACAGGACGAGTGGGTTAATTATTTTGAGTCATCTCTCCTACTTATATCCGGAATATACTGTGTTCCACTGTAATGAAAGCAATGACATTTCAAACAGGAGACGATTTATACTAATAATACAAAGTTTTACTTGTGTAGAGTTAGAACATATATGAGAGAAGATATTTTACCAAAGCACATATTTCCAAGTAAACACCTAAATCCTGTTACTGAAGAGAAAAAAAGTCCTCAATGTTTCTATATGATAATAGGTGATATATTTTAATTTCAAAATATTTTAAACCTATGACCGTTAAAAATAATTTATAACTGATTCAAAAACTATAAAAGTGGCCGGGTGCAGTGTCTCACACCTGTAATCCCAGCACTTTGGGAGGCCAAGGCGGGCAGATCACAAGGTCAAGAGATCGAGACCATCCTGGCTAACATGGTGAAACCCCATCTCTACTAAAAAATACAAAAAAAAAATTAGCTGGGCATGGTGGCATGTGCCTGTAGTCCTAAGTATTTGGGAGGCTGAGGCAGGAGAATCGCTTGAACCTGAGAGGCGGAGATTGCAGTGAGCCAAGATCACGCCATTGCACTCCACTCCAGCCTGGGTGACAGACTGTATAAATGAACACCACTTAATAAAACAGACTTAGATGGATGGCAATACTTATTTATTGTGTTGTAAAATTCTTTTTTTATGTGTTTATAGTTCACTAAAACTATGATTGTTTTGTAGGATACAACTTCAGTATTAAAGGAGGAACATGTTACAACCTTTGAAGATGAAGGATCCTATATAATTCAAGAACAGCAGGAATCTCTTGTGTGTCAAGGAATTCTTGATTTAGAAGAAACTGAAATGCCAGAGCCTCTAGCTCCTGAAAGTTACCCCGAGTCAGTCTGTGAAGAGGATGTTACCTTAGCTCTGAAAGAGCTAGATGAAAGATGTGAAGAAGAAGAAGCGGATTTCTCCGGACTGTCTAGGTGAGAATACAGTATCATAAACACTGTAGTGAGGGGATAATCTCTCCCCTATTCCTTCCAAAGAGTGCCCCTCTGTTTCAGTTTACTTACTTTCATTTCTTTGTGTGTTTCAGTCTGTAATCATACTTTGTGTGTTTTAGTCTAGAATCATACTATCTTCGTTTTTAAAAATAAAATGCCTGACTCTAATGGGATATTTCTTCGATTATGGACATTCCCATAAAGAAAAACAATTAGGCTATTTTCAAAGCATAGTAAGTGGTATTCCACATTTAGAAGCACACCAAATATCTATTTTGGCAGATGCCAAATGGCCAAATGTTAAAATCAATATTGGAATGAACTTCCGTGATACCACAATTTGAATCTAAAATATATTCCAAAAAATTGTTTTTACAGTTTCATGATCAGTGGTCATATTTTTAAAGTTTTATTTCTATAATAGGCGAAGCAATTATTTCTTAGATGCTAGATTGCTCCTTTTAAATGTTTATGCTCCATACATTAAAAATTTATTACCAGAAAGTATGAAGAATTCTCAAGTGGAACTTTTTCTTTACTCAAGGACTAACTTGAATAATAATCATAATAATCATATGTTATATATAGCTTTTAGGGGAAATTTTGGTGGCTGTTACGAAACTCTTAAACCAAATAATTCTTTAACACTTAGAATTATAATAGAATATCCACTGTTTAAATTTCACAAATATTTGTGGTTCAATATTATGTTTTTTATAAAGGTATCTAACTTCATGCACTCTGTGAGTGTATCTATTTCCCCATTCAACAATTTGGAGCTCCTGGATAACTGTTTTTATATAAAATTAATATTTAATAATTATCGAGTATTTCAGAATTTTACTTTTACAATAAAAATTACACCTTTATACTTCATGTGATAATAGAGTTTTAACACATACAACACATTGGAGATTTTTTTTTACCATCAACATATCAAGAATACTTACCTATATTTGAAAAGATACAATCAGATATTAACAATAAATCTTAGTGATACACCTTTTTCATATTACTGATTTGAATATGGCAGTAGCCCATGCAACCACTCAATCATTAATCATGCACAAGTTCAGGGATGCCAGAAACGATGTTATTCAGCTATTTGGCTTTCTAAAAGGCTGAAGCCAAACAGTTGACTTTGGCCAAGTACTGCAGCTGAAATAGAATGGAGCATTCCTACTAAGTGTACAGGTTATCTACCCTAGCTTATAGTATATGTGTTAAAATCATCACCACAGTGACAGTTTTAAAATTAACCTTTTTGAGGTCTCATTTGTTTTCACTTCAGATGTCTGCTTTATTTTGATTGTTTTGATTGTTTTCTCCAGTCTTTACTCGGGTCCCTCCATGCATTCCAGTGCATATGGAAGACCATATGCATTGCTCCAAAATTTCTGTAAAGCCTTATAGAACTAGCTTGTAATGCGAAACATGCAATTTTAAGACCTTGAATAACACATTTCTTTTTTATGAAGTGTCAGACTCAATATTTCTTCCTTTTTTTGGCTGAGAGTTGTAGAATGTCCAACCCAAATACATCTTCATCTTTTTCCATTGTTCATTTTTGTTTGTATAATCTGACTTTAGGGATTATAAATTATTTGAAGGAAATGGCGAGGTCTTATGTTTCTTTGGAGTCAAATCTATTATCGGCCATATTGCTAGGAACATAGTATATGCTTATGAAATAGCTGAGCTAGCCATGTGTTTCCTGGCTAATAGCATTTGGACCCGTAGTCCTGGGTTCAAATTCTGGCTCTGTCATTTCTTACCCAGTAACTAGACATATTATTTAACCTTACTGAACTTTTTATTTCAGCTTTAAAATCAAGATAATAATAGAACCTAATCCTCATATAGTTGTGAAGACTGAATGAAATTATCCATATGAGGCCCCTAACATAGCCCTTAACACAAATGACCATGATCAAAACTTTAAGAATATTATTATCACCAATGTGAGGCTGTTCAAATAAAAGCCTCCAAAATTGACCATTGAAAATGAAAGCATTCTAATCGGTATTATTCATAGAAGTTACTAAAATGAATCCATAGTGGTGGCATATTATAGGACTTGGGTTATTTTAAGGTAGTTGCTTGAAATTAGAGTTCTAATTCTAAAAATGCTAACTAGAAAGAACAGGAATTCACTTATTCACACTTTCTTACAAGATTTAGGTTGTTGTACATTTTCTAAATCAGTGTGTATGATGAATAAAAATAACCTGTCAAATGACTTAAGCTGTCTTACGTGATTGAGCCTATTCTTTTTTTCTGAGATAGTGTTATGATATTTATGATATCTGTGTTAATAGTCAAGATGAAGAAGAGCAAGATGGTTTTCCAGAAGTACAGACGTCGCCTCTGCCGTCACCATTTCTTTCTGCCATCATAGCCGCCTTTCAGCCCGTGGCATATGATGATGAAGAGGAAGCCTGGCGCTGCCACGTCAATCAGATGCTGTCTGACACCGACGGGTCCTCTGCAGTGTTTACTTTTCATGTGTTTTCTAGGCTGTTTCAGGTCAGTGAGGTTCAGGGTTTCTGAATTCATATTATAGTTACCTAATCAAGTTACAGTTTTTCTTCTAAAATCAGCATCTCCGATTTTAATATTCCTACCAGTTTTAACAAATTTTTTTTTTCTAAGCTAATGGTATTACTTACATTGACACTGTGACATTGTGGTACTGCTGGTACATTACACAATGACTGGTAGAGATTTCTCCCCTAAGGCAATTAGAATAAAACTTCAAAACAACGTCTGATATGTTTTCTGCAGTATGCTTAGGCACCATCAGGATACCAAAGAAATAAAGGCCTAAGCTCTGCCTTCAGGGAGCTTACAGTTAATATATCATAAATCAGCTTATAATCAAGGCTTAAAGTAATGGACTAAAAGTGTCCATTGACTTTGTGAGGACCTTAAAGTTTTTAGCTGTTAAGGTTGCTTCCTCCCCAATAATAAAGATAATACAAGCTAAAATTTATTGAGTACCCACTACTTGCTAGGCACTGTGCTAAAGGGCTTTACGGTAAGTGTTCTGACACCACAACTATGGAATGTAGATTTGATTTTCAGCATTCAGTGGAGAGGGAAACTAAGGCACAGAAAAATGCCACCATTTAAGTTATTGTCCTCTGAACTATCTACCACCTTTCCTCCCTTTTCTCCTCCCAAATTTTGCCCATCTTGGAAGACTCAGCTAAATGCATTTTCTTACCGAAGCCTTCCCAACCACTCCAACCTCCAGTCTCTCTCATCCTGGAAGTTCTTTAGTGCTCATTAATGGGAGCGCTTATTTAATTCTGTACTTATTGCATCACTACTTGGTTTTTCTACTCATATTCTTATTGATGTTGTAAGTTTCATGATGGCTGAAAGTGCGGATTTATGCTTTTTATTTTAATCATAATGCCACCTAACAGTGCAACACATATATAAGTAGGTATACTTTAACCATTGATGTAATAATTATACTACTGATAATATAATCTAATTGATTGACTTACTATGAGTCAGGCACTGTCTGTTTTATGGAAATGAATATTCCTGGACTCTGAGAAGATATTACTCTTAATACATTTTTATGACTTTACCTAAAGTTAAGCCAGATGGCAGCCCATAGCCAAGAATAGTAAACTACATTTACTGAAAGTTTCTTTCAGGTAATAACTTTTGATGAACAACTTCCTCAAGACAGGTGAGGACTTTCATTGCTAAGAATGTACAGCATGCATCCATCTGTCTGCCCCCTGATGAAAAAATCTCAGGAATAGGGAGATGAATGGCATATATCATTTTTTCAGTAATACTATTTTGTAAATTTTTGTTTCTTTTTAGAAATTAATGTTTTCTAAGGAAATACCTAAAAATATGGATTTATAGATCAATGATTAAAGTTCTATATATCATTATAATTTTAAAATAAAAGTCTACCCTATTATGCTTCTTTACTTAAAGATGAAAAAAGGCCTTCTTATGAAACACTAAACTCTTTCTTCTGCTTTTCTCCATAGACAATTCAAAGAAAGTTTGGAGAAATAACTAATGAGGCAGTCAGCTTTCTTGGTGATAGTCTGCAACGCATTGGTACCAAATTTAAAAGTTCCTTGGAAGTGATGATGCTGTGTTCAGAATGCCCAACAGTCTTTGTGGATGCTGAAACAGTAAGTTTTTACATGCAGGTTTATTATAAAGACTACATTGGAATGGCATCATTCAGTAAGTCTTTTTTTCTAAGTAATTCTGAATTTTATGGTATAAAGGTTCGTATTTTCAACATGATTATAAATATGTGGCAAACTACAATTCTAGTATATTAGGTGCAGCAACTTGTGACTATTTCTGATTCTGACTCCTTCATGCCCTTACCCTCTACAGAGTCCTAGATGGGAAAACTAAAAAGTCATGCTCTAGAGATGGGTAATTTTTATATTCTTAAATAAAAATGGGTAGGAGATGCCTAAACCTCCACCCGTGAAATACCCAGGCCTCCTGGTTCATTTCCTGATTTATTTCTAAGCACACTTCTAGATTATATATTAAGATATTTAAAGAACTAAGGTTTAAAAAGCTTCAAGGTTGATACCTTTGAGGTATGTACTGGTCTGGCATGACGTCTTTGAAAACACTTGAGGATGTCCTTCCTGACCCTCCTCAAGTCCCACTGCACTCCTACTCTGTTCCAGTGAGAGCTCAGCTCTAAGTATGGGACAGAGTAGAGTTAAGAGAATATCCAAAAACCAACTAACAGCTATTCCATGACTGAAAAGTCTCATGATTTTGTGAGTCTCATGATTTCAATCAGAAATGGTAACCTGGATCAATACTTCTGATTTGACAGCTGATGTCATGTGGTTTGCTGGAAACACTCAAGTTTGGTGTTTTGGAGTTGCAAGAACACCTGGATACATACAATGTGAAAAGAGAAGCCGCTGAGCAGGTCAGTCTCTTTTTACCATGTGCGAAAAGTGGTTTGCTCTTGACACTGGAAGGGTAATCCTGGCAGCAGAATAGCCCAGACAGAAAAGAAGACCTCTCAGCACCTGCCTCAGGGTTTTCCTGAGAGCAGCAGGTTCTTTGAGCTCTCTATCCAGCAAATTCCTACCTTTGGCTTTTAAAAATCAGTCCTCTAACAGCACAATGGAAAACCATAGCTTTGTAAAAAGCTTCTTTGTGGAGACTGTGTCACTGCTGTCAACATTCCAAGTGGGGAAATTGAAGCAGTATTTCTCAGTGCATTAGAGAATTGTGGTCTAGGAAATCCACAACCTCTGACAAAGCTGTAATCTTTTTCCCATGATGTGTACATGTACATGGGCAAGCAGTGGGAGAAAAAAGCATGTAGTGAATTAGACAATTACCTCCTAAGAAAGGCTTCTTCAAGTCCAATCTGGCATTGAAAACAGAGTAGCTCTGTTCCTTCCCTAAGAGTAAATCCAGCACATTTTCAATTGGGAGGGACAGAAGAACAAAAAATAATTTCTCTCTTTCACACAAACTGCATACAGTAGGTAATTATTTTTCTAGATGGGTCTTTCATTAATAAGTAGTAAATATCTGTGACATGTATAGACCTATGAAAAATGAAGTGTGTGGTGGTATCTCATGGTACTATTTTGCATTTCCCTGATGACTAATATTTGAGCCCCTTTTCAAATGGATCTCTTCATTTAAGATATTTTGTGAATTGTAGCTTCAAGTACATTGCTCATTTTTGTAAATCGATTGGGTTTTTCTTACTGATTTGTAGGGGCTCTTTATCCTAAATGCAAGCCCTTTTTTGGATGTATGTATTGCGAAGATTATTCCTTCTCTGTAGCTAGCAGTTTTGCTATCTTAGTAGCATTTTTTGATGAACAGAAGTTTTTAATTTTAATAAGTCCAGGTTATCAGCCTTTTCCATCATGGTTATGGTTTTTGTATCTTCAGAAATCATTGCCTACTAGAAGCAAAGGTAGATTGTTAAAATACTGGTCCCAATGAATCATGCTTCTCTTGTCGCCACACCCCTTTGCAATGTGACTTTGCTGTTCTTCCCATGAAGAGACAGAGTCCATTTCACCATCTCTTAAATTTGGGATGGCCTTGTGATTTGCTCTAACCAATCAAGTTCAGAAGCAACGCTGTGTAACTTCCAAGACTAGTCCTGAAGTGGTCTTTTGTGGTGTCTGCTTTTGCCATCATACTGGTCGGAGTGCAAACTGGGGTAAACTCTGGGAAACTATTTGACCTCTAGCCTGCTGGAAGATGAGGCCATGTAGGGGAGAACAGAGGCGTTCCATTGACAGTCAGTGTGCAAGACATATGAGTGAAGCCAACTTGGAACTTCAACCCTGCCGCTTCCCCAGTCAAGCCATCAATGACTGTAGACTCATGAGTGACCCTAGGCAAGACCAGAAGAAACTCCCAGCCAGCACATAGATTCATTTTGGTTGTTTGAAGCCATTAAGTTTTAGGGTGGTTGGTTTTAAAGCAATAGATACCATTTATAATAGGAAAATATCAAATACCTACAAATAAATCTGTCTAAAGATATGCTGTACCTCTATACAGAAAACTGCAAATATTGAGAAAAATTAAAGACCACCTAAATGGAGGACTATATACCATGTTTATCAATTAGAAGACTCAATATGGTAAAGATGTCATTTTCCCCCAAAATGGTCTATAGGTTTAATGCAGTCTCATTCAAAATCTCAGATGGTATATTAATGGAAATTGACAAGCTGATTCTAAAATTTATATGGAAATTCAAACAACTAATAATGCTTACAAACTTCTTGAACACAGGTTAGCAAACTACAGCTGTCAAGTTATATCTGGCCCACTGCCTATTTTTGTAAATAAAATTAGTAGAAAACAGCTATCTGGTTTACTTACATATTGTCCATGGCTATGTTTGCACTGTAACAATTAAATAGTTACAAAGACTATATGTTTTGCAAAGCCTAAAATATTTACTGTCTGCCCTATTTAATTTTCCCATTCATTTTTGAGTTATACATTCTTTTTATTATTATTCAAGACTGCTAAGGCTCACAGGTGAATTGAATTATTTTTCTCTCCCCAGCAATGTGAGACCAGCGGTCTCTGCCGACCTTCTCAGTCTCCCAGGGGCTGCTGTGTGGTTTTGTAGCCTCTCCCCCTGCAGATAATAAACAGGAACAGCAAGTGTTCTAAGGCGAGACTGCACAGAGACTATTGGGGTCACTTCTCTGCAGTTCTCTTTTCTCCAGGATATTGGCCCTCAATATCTCACGATCTATCTATCTATCTATCTATCATCTATCTATCTTTGAAAACTGTTTTCCCAGCCCAGTGAAACTGTAGGGCATAAACTCTAGGCCACTGCTTTCTGTTCAGCCTCTATGCGCAGGGACGTGAATATGAATACACCTAGAGTAGAGTAAGCACTGGGGCGGGTATTGGGCTCACTCCGGTACTTTTCTCTAACTAACTAACTGTTTGTTTGAGTGAGTTTTGGCCGATAGGATTCAGCTTCCATCATTGTCCTTGCAGGATTGGTCTTTCTTTCTTTTATACAGGCTACTCCATCACACCCAGAAGTAGAACCTCGACAGTTAAAAATTTTAACCTTCATTTGAACCTTGAATAAAGAAAATGCCGTGACAGGAAGACTGATTGATTAGATGTGAACTGGAGGGTGTTCTGAGCACAAACTACCATGTCTTGTATGCTCTGGCTGGAAAGGTGTGGACCTGTATCTCTCAGGCCAGTGTGCAGCCACAGGACTATATGGTTGGGGTTTGTCTTTTAACAGAATAAAAATCAGCAATATTTTGAATAGTGCCCCCCAAAAGGCTGTATCATTAGGTACACAGTATAAAAATAAGCCATTAAATAAATAATCAACTGAAATTATTTTCAAATTTATTAGTATACTTGGACAAACTGGACAAGATAAGGCATAATTAAGTGTATAAATATTTTAACATTTTGTATGAATAAAGATTAATGCACAGGTTCCATGTTAGATGTCAACTGCATTTTGCTGATACAAAGAAATCCACTGATAGCTTTTGACAATGGCTGCCATCAGCTGTATCTCACTAGAAAAGCTTAACATGTTTTTCTTCAGAGATGCTGTCAAGCAAATAGCCTAAGGGCCGGTGAAATCTGAGAGACTGGAATAAAAGGAAAATAAGGTCAAAGAGATCATTTTTGAAATAACTGAAATGTCAAATTTCAATTCTTTCTTTGTGGGTACAACATAAGCTACAATAGAGAATGTTAAATGTCGAATACTAAAATACTTTCAGAGTAGCTGCTTAATGCAGCTAGTCTGTTTCTCAAAGTCCTAATGATTTCATATATATATATATATATATATATATATATATATATATATATATATATATATATTAGTTGTATTGTTTAATAGTATAATTTAAAAAAAAGAACTTAGAAGTCAAAACAACTGATAATATCAAACTGTCCAAAGCTAGGAGCTTACCTGGAATGCACTTAGCTTTTACTTCAGCTTGGAAATTCTGTGAGTCCAGCGTTCTTTCTTTTCTACTATACCACGGTGCTATTGTTTTATTTATATTTTGCTGAAGAAAATGTACTTTATTTTTGAAGTATTCCTTTTTTTTTATTTTATGTTTTTAGAGACAGGGTCTCCCTATGTTGCCCAGGATGGTCTTGAACTCCTGCCCTCTAGCAGTCCTCCCCGCTCAGCCTCCCAAAGCTCTGGGATTACAGGCAGGAGCCACCACACCCAGCCTGTACTTTTATATCAACATTAGGAATACCCCCAGAGAAGGAAAAACCACATTTGGCTTCTACATCCAGTATTGTTTGGAAATAAATAACATGTTTGTTTGTCATTCATTACTGTCCAAAAAGAAAGAAAAGAAAAACAAAACAAGACTTAAAATGGATCTTGATTGCCGGTTCACAAATTTAAAACTGACACTAGTCTTCTGAGAATTACACTTCTCATAAGCAAACAGACCTACTTAATTCTAAGTTGTCTTTATTAAATTGATCAGAGGGGAAGCACATCTTTCCTTTCCCCGTCTTACGTTACACAAAGGTCAGGCATAGGTTGTAAAGATTTTCATAAAACCTGCAAAATGAAGAATATCCTTTACTGAAATGGAACATCACAGGTCCCTAGAATGGAATGGGTTTTGTTAGTATAGCTGTCACAAGTGTGTGCCTCTTGTTACATTAATGCTATCCCTGCTTTTGTTAGTTCCATATAAATGATTGATTTGGCTTGAATGGAGATAAAAGTCTAGGTCTACAACCAATCCTAGAACTTCAAGTTAACTTTAAGTTTGGTGTTGTATATGGACAGGCTGTTACACTACCCATTTTACTGTGCATATTAAACGTTACTGTTACTTATTTTTAGTGGCTAGATGATTGTAAGAGGACATTTGGTGCCAAAGAAGACATGTATAGGATAAACACAGATGCACAAGTAAGTTTCTTGTTCCTGTTTTTGCAACATACATTTTCTGTATCAGGTAAAACAATGCATGTGTTCAAATATCCTTATTTGATTATTTCTAAAAATAAAGAATATTTGTAAAACTTTTCATTTTGGTTATCAAAACAATCTTTGTAAAAGCTCAATGAAATACTGGTTTCATAATGAAAAATTCACTTTAATAAAAATGAACGACCAGCTTGTGACTGAAGCTTAATAACATCCAATAGATAAGCTTGATGGATATCTGGACAGTCCAGGTCGGCTTTTAAGTTGCATGTGCCTCTTAAAGAAAAATTTGTCCCATGTTAGTATTCTGCTATTCTGTTAGATAAATTGGTCAAGAAAGCAAACCTAAGAATAATGTGATATAATATATCCATGTTAAAGGTAAAATTAGAATTGGATAAATTATAATGTTTTTCTTTAATATAAGGCTCAGTGAAAACAACAGCATTATATTTTCTTAGAAAGGTGCACATACATAAACACATACATTGTAGTAAGTGAGGATAAGTTAGGGCCTACAAATTATTCCAATGGAAGTGTAGCTTCACAGGGGAAAATACATTCATCAACTGAAATTTATTTCCATTTGACATCAGAATTCCAGTCTTTTATATTCTACCTTTGGTTATATTATTACAGATTTCTAGTGTCTGTAAAGGTTATACTATTATTAGGTTATACTATTTATTATAGTAAAAAATTGAAGTTCTGCAAAAACTGCAGTGTTGAGAAAATAATAGTATACTCGCTAAGTGTTAACTATTTGCCAGCCTCTATAGTTTCTTTATCCTTACAACTCAGGCAAGTAGTTGCTCTAATTATCCTGGTTTTGAAGATGAGGAAACTGAGGTTCAGAGATGCTAATTTATCTAAAATCAGCAAATAGTGAAACCAAGATTGAAACCTAGGCAGGCTGACTCCAAATCCTGCACTAATGTTAAAAAGAAACTGCTAAGTCATCTATGTAAAGAAATGAAGATAAGGAATTAACCCTAGACCAGAATCCTTTGGTTCTAATTCTGTCTGTCTTTGCCACTGTTTAACTGCATCACTTCGGCAAGTAATGTAACCTTTTTTCCTACAAAAACTAGGTGTTTATATTAAGTGATTTTTTTATATCCCCTCTACCTTGAAGAAAATTATATCCATCTTAAGATCAAGTCAGTTAACATAGCTTGAGGTTTTCTACGAAGTGGAAACTGAACATTTAACACTTTCATTTATATTTCAGCTCACCTTTCATATTCAACTGTTTTGAGGGTGGAAGACGCTTTTTATGCAATTTGATCTGTCCTTGTGTACCAGTCTTGTCTTTTGCATAATAAGCAGTCAAATATTTGTTAGATGAATAAAAGAATGTGCAAATTTTAATATACTTTAAAATGTGCATATATATACACACACACACACTCATCCACAAAAACTGCACTGTTTTAGCATATTTAGAGTAATTGCTGGTAATTCAGAGCTGTAAAATTCATTACATTTGTGTTATTTCCTACGATCATAAACTTTATCAGCAGTTTATGTTCCATTACATCCCAAAGTAGAGGCTATACATATATGCTTGTAGAATCAGTTCTACTTTATTTGTGCTAATAGAAGTGAGGAAAGGTATTTAAAATTCAAATTGTTAATTTCCATATGAAATAAACTGTATGAACTAAACCCTCAGAAATTTAGATATGGAATATGCTTGACCTTGGATTGTGCTCAACTGATGTTTATTGGATGAGCATCCACATAATTTATGGTAAGCAGCATGGAGCTAAAGTTCACCTTTGCTTATTTAGCAAATCCCTTCTAAATTGATAGGAATAAACTTTATGAAAAACAGTCCTTCACAGGAAACTATTTAGAAAAGCAGGCTTAAGAATGACTTTTAGAAGATACATTTACGGTGTAACAATTGTTGTTTTAGTTAGAAGTCATTCTCCTCGTAAGAGACCAGATCCAAGTTGCTGTACATGTTTTCATATAGTTTTTAAGATGGTTCATAAATTTTTACTCTGTGTTTTACATACATTATGTTGATTCAAACCTAGTCGGGTTAAGTTTCTGAAACTTACTGAAGTATATTTGGAATGCAATTTAGAACATGCATCTGCTTTTGATATTCCACCCTGTGGCTCAGCACCAGTTATGGCAAAGTAGGACCTAATTAGACAGTAAAGGATAGGAAGCCTGGAATGAGCCACCCTAGAGATAATCTTTTGATGGTGATGGATAAGTATTTATTATGTACGATTATAAGCCAATTCTTTTCTGAGAAGTAACAGTAATTAATTTGTTTCTTATTTTCTAATCATAAGTTTTCCAGTTTACAAATGGAAGTTTTATTACAGTTGGGTTTTGGTTTTTTTTTTTTTAAACCTGGATAGCCAGATTTACCAAGATCACAATAGTTCAGTTTTATTCATTGTAGCTTTTACACAGAAATAAGTCATAGCCTAAATGTAATTTATTATTTGGCAAAGTGTTTAAAAACACCCTGAATCGTTGCAGTAAATGTCTAAAAAGTTTTATTCTGGAAATAACTTTGTATAATTTTCTTTGGGGTATAAATATATGTTCTTCAGTTTACCTGGAACATCTGTGACCCTAGTTAAAATGATTTCTTACACTAATTCTTGGTCTTTTTCTTCCTTTGTATTTTTTGTGACCTGATCACCTTCTTGCTTAGCAAATGGAAATACTAGCAGTAAGTGACCTGTCTTGATTTATAGACTACTCACCCTTGCCAGACAAACTGGTTTTCATCTGCCATTTGTCCATTTGTGACCCAGCAATGTTTTCTCGTGGACTACTTTACAAGTAGTATGTGCTTCAGTTTTGCAAAGCCCTAATCCATGAAATGTTGGTTCTTTTAAAATAGTGAGATGTTAAAATACATAAAATTAGCAGTCACCTTTTTCTTAAACATATCTCCTCTTAAATTTCTTAATTTAAAAAATCAAAGTGCACAACTTTTTTTTTTTTTTTTGAGATGGAGTCTTGCTCTGTTGCCCAGGCTTGGAGGGCAGTGGCATGATCTCGGCTCACTGCAACCTCTGCCTCCCAGGTTCAAGCGATTCTCCTGCCTCAGCTTCCCCAGTAGCTGGGATTACATACACCCACCACCATGCCCAGCTAATTATTTTTTGTATTTTTAGTAGAGACGGGGTTTCACCACATTGGCCAGGCTGGTTTCAAACTCCTGAGCTCAAGTGATCTGCCCACCTCGGCCTCCCAAAGTGCTAGGATTACAGGTGTGAGCCACCGTGCTCGGCCCACGTTGTTAATTTCATAGTTTCATTTCAATGAGATTACCAAGTGGTTTTCTTTAGAAAAATGACCTCACTTTAAAAGACAGCTTTTCTTACTTTTTAGGTAAGAGGTTATCCGGTTTCACTTTGCTTTATCAAGCATTTGTTGATAAATGCAGTGAGATCTACATCTCAATGAGGGCAAAAGTCTTTGCATTTGTAGATTATTTTAATTATGAATTTAAAGTTTTAAATTCTAATGAATCCTTTTTAAAGTATCCTATTAATTGCCTGCTGAAACAGTCTATTTGTAGAATGTGAAAATGTGCTTAACATTAAAACTGAATTATGTAACCAGCAGTGATATTTGTTTTTATTTTAATCTTAGTCTTTAAAGCATATTTCACGTGCCTTTCATCAGCTTCATACCATATTAACTTCCTTACTGCAGAAAAATAAACGACAAGACAATTTTAACTATAAATTTCCATTGGAAATATGCTGTCTAGAAAATAACACCTAAATTTAATGTAATGTTATTTATTTCTAGGAATTGGAGCTCTGCCGAAGATTATACAAATTGCATTTTCAATTGCTGCTTCTGTTCCAGGCCTACTGTAAACTTATCAACCAAGTAAATACGATAAAAAATGAAGCAGAGGTAAATATTCAGTTGTATTAGGCATCAGTAACTGATTCTAAAAAAATTTTAAAATAAAATCTATTACTTGTTAAAATAGCTTAAGTCAAAAGTCACTTAGAGTGAGTCTTTTTTCTTTTAGTTAAGGAATAATTTGTTTTTTAATGATGTGCTATGTCAGGACCTATGAGTAAATAAGACAGCAGATATCCAGCAGTTGTAAAAGGTTCAAGACCTTAAAGGTTTCCATAGTAGACACAGATCATCTATAATCAAAAGTCAAGTAAAAGCCAGGGATGGTGGCACATACCTATAGTCCTAGTTACTCGAGAGTCTGAGCTGGGATGATGACTTGAGCCCAGGAGTTAGAAGCTGTAGTGAGCTGTGATTGCAGCACTGCACTCCAGCATAGGTGACAGAGCAAGACCCTGTCTCAGAAAATCAAAATAGTCAAACAAAGCACATCAGTTCAATAAAGACATAAAACTGTATCATCAACCCCCCTCCCTCAACATGTTGTTCGTATTTCTATAGCTTTTTTTTTTTTTTTTTTTTTTTGAGGCAGAGTCTCCTTCTTTTGCCCAGGCTGCGGTGCAATGGCATGATCTCAACTCACTGCAACTTCCACCTCCTGGGTTCAAGCAGTTCTCCTGCCTCAGCCTCCCAAGCAGCTGGGACTACCAGTGTGCACCACCACACCCAGCTAACCTTTTTGTATTTTTAGTAGAGACGGGGTTTCACCATGTTGGCCAGGCTGGTCTCAAACTCCTGACCTCAGGTGACCCACTGCCTTGGCCTGCCAAAGTGCTGGGATTACAGGCATAAGCCACCGTGCCCAGCCCACATTGTTACAGTTTTATTAGTGCACACAAGAAAAAACATGTTAAAAAACACTTTGAATGTTGAAAATCAATACATAGCCTCAAAGATGCTAACTTTAGTCTTTTCCCCCCCTTGTCATCTGCTGGTAATAAAACTATCACTGGGGAAATGATTTAATTTCTTAGTCATTAAATCTGTAAAAAGAAATATACATGTATTTATTTTTTATATAAAAATACCCTGGGGTAAATAATCTTTTAAAATCTAAAGACTTTACTGTTATATAGTTTTCATGATCCCCCATAACAGTAAATGTACTTTTACTATCCAAAATGTAGTAATATTAAAACCAATATAGACATTTATTACAACTTGTTGCTTTATCAAGAACATTTAATTTCAAGACTACTATTTGGTGGAATTTATTTGCTCCTACAGAATGGAGTACTTGAAATATTAACTGCCCTTTCTTCCAAGACAAACATTTTAAAATAATCTTTAAGAGCAACAATGCTACTGCCATCAGGTATATTCTTGTAGCCAACTAAATGTTTTTGTTACCAAACATACGAATAGATCCTTAAAGATGTATTTGTTTTAGGTCATCAACATGTCAGAGGAACTTGCCCAACTGGAAAGTATCCTCAAAGAAGCTGAGTCCGCTTCCGAAAACGAAGAAATTGACATTTCCAAAGCTGCACAAACTACTATAGAAACTGCCATTCATTCTTTAATTGAAACTTTGAAAAATAAAGAATTTATATCAGCTGTAGCACAAGTCAAAGCTTTCAGGTAAAACGTGACGGGATTTAAAGGTGATGCCTTTAAATTAGACAGGAAGTTTAGTAATACTAGGTTTTCATTTTCAATTTGCTGTTTCCATATCATGTCTTTGTGAAAGAAAAACATGAGTATTTTTAACAGTTGCCACTGAAATGATACCAATTTTAGATTTCTTTTCACTTTCAGATGGTACTTTGAAAGTGAATTCAGGTGGTACTTTGAGTAATATTTGCTCAAATATTAAAACAGATCATGTTATTCACAAGGAAATGTTGTTGTTACAGGTATTTAACTTAAATTGAGTTAGTCTTAACTATTGCCTAAGTCTCAGAACTGAAAAACTATTGTGTATTTTCAGATCTCTCTGGCCCAGTGATATCTTTGGCAGTTGTGAAGATGACCCTGTACAGACACTGTTACATATATATTTCCATCATCAGACGCTGGGCCAGACAGGAAGCTTTGCAGTTATAGGCTCTAACCTGGACATGTCAGAAGCCAACTACAAACTGATGGAACTTAATCTGGAAATAAGAGAGTCTCTACGCATGGTGCAATCATACCAACTTCTAGCACAGGCCAAACCAATGGGAAATATGGTGAGCACTGGATTCTGAGACACTTCAGGCCTTTAGGAAAGAAACTAAACTGAAGATGATGAAGAATATTAACCAAGCACCTTTTATGGACCCTTGCATTCACTGATAACTTTCTGGCAGCATCTACTTTTTAGTGTAACTAATGTCAAACTGTATCATCAAAAACAAAGATCTGAAAGAAAAAAACATCTGATATTTTAACAGCTGCCAATATCTCCCACAATAACTGCGTGAAGAAGGAATTTTTTAATTACTTAACCTACGTGAAAAGAAAAGGGCTAAAAGTGATGCCTACAAATACATTACTTTCTGGGGAAAGAAAAGAATTCCAAGAATGTTTGCAATAATGGCCTCCAATACTGAAACAACCAAAAGCAGGTGAAATGAGGCTGAAATCAAGGCTGTTTCATTTTAGCTGAAGACCTGCAAAGCTGCTTGGATTTCTAGCAGTTGAAAACCTAACCTGCAATTGATGCTTAATCATCCATCCACATGAACATGCAGTCAGCTATACGCATCAAGACTCGTTTGCAAAAACCATTGATTTTTCAGTATGTGGGATAAGGGTTTGGGTTTTTTTGTTTTTTGGTCTGTATAAGGAATTATGTGTGTGTGAGTTGGGATGTATGGATATGTGATAGTCATATTTTCAAGGTATGGATGTTTGGTGATAACGTCTCAGAGCATGCCTAAAAGAGCACTGCAAGATTATTTTTGAAGAAATGTTATTTTATTAGATCTAACTCTTCATAGTATGTAAATGTTAGAACATTTTAATAATATTTTAAAACTGGGCTTTCCCAGTATTTCAAAAAGAAATAATATATCTGTTAACGTTATTGGAATGCTGCTCAGTTCTCTGATCAGTGCTTATGTTATGATTGTTGATAACTAACCAAAGTAGATGCCTGCAGAGACTTTAAAATGTAAAATAAAGATGTATGCTGCCTGTCAGCTATTCTCATTAGAAAAGTTTTAACTTATTTTACTCCATATAGAAACTGTAGAGACTAAAACCAGTTATTTTCTTGTACATTTGTGCCATGCACTGTTGTTATACAAGAATAGGTGTACAAAGCTAAAGAAAAATTGTGGTCATTGATGATGGAATATATGACTTGCAGGCTTTGAAGTCTGCAGAATTCAAGAAAAGAGCTGCAAATGCATTTTTGTATCTTTATTCAGGACTCACATGCTTTACCCTAAAGAAACCTGGGGCTAGGGGAAATGAAAGGAAGCCTGAAGACTGACTACCAAAACATGCAATATACTTATTCACTGTCTAAGTCTGTAGTATAACATGAACTGGAGTCTCTATCCTTTTCTAAAATCGCATTTTGTAAGAAAAGAAAGAAAAAAAAAAAAAAAGAATGTAGTCCCACAACTCCTGATTTGAAAGAAACACCTTGTATTTTTTATATACATCTCTTATCCACTGTGACTTTTCTTTTAAACTGGGCTCTGTGATTCCAGAGTTTAGAATGTAGAAATGAAATGCTTAGCTTTACCTTTTCTTGGGGGGTGTGGACCCTGCCAGAAATGTAATTACGTATGCTCAAGTGCATTAATTGAAGGCACTGTGCACACCATTGGACTGCTGACCACAGTTAAACATTTCCAGTAAAATTTCGTAACTGGTCACAGCTCATTCATAATCACTGTATTTTTTGACCCTGATAAAGACAATTATTTTGATGGTGTTCTGGTACTGTAATTGGTATCCTTTAAATTATTTAAAACTTTTGGGTGTGGGGCAGGCAGAGAGGGATGGTGTCCAGAGATACATCACACTTTACATCCTATCTTACTGTCCTCTGTTTTTCTTACCCTCCTTACATCCTTTTTGTTAAAAATAAAAAGCATTGTAGCTGTTGGTTTGTGTTGTATTTTAACAAAGAATGAATGATTACAGTGTGCATCATTTAGAAACCTTTCAAATGTTACCTTCTTGAATTGCCCTAGAAAAGAACAAAATTAGTTGACTACCCAACCAAACCTTTCAGTTGATATTTGCTTTTTGTGTTTATTTATATGTAACTAAGTCTATTAATATAATAAAAATGAATATACCTGCAGCAAGCAAGATGCAAACAAATTCATTAGGATGGCCTTCTGCAACAGCATTTTCCTCCAACCTACACTTCTCTGCTCCTCAGCCTCTGAATCCCAAGTTAGCATTTATTAACAAATATATACCAATGCTTAATTTATTACCTGATTTAGTTCCATTTGGAGCCCAGTTTTTGCTACATACAGCCTTTTTCTTTTGCCCACTAAATTTATCATTTTTAAATAGTACGCTTATAAGACAACAGCAAAAGCAGCAATCCGGCAGTTTCTTCATGCTGCTTCTAAAACAAAACCACAGGATTTCTTATTTTAAAATATATTTTCTACTTTTAGTGATGTAAAATAGAGGGTGTGGCAAAACACATAACCTCCCTTAAATTTAGGAAATCATTACATGCTTTCTTGGAAAAGACTCAAGGGCAGAGTAAGGTTCCTCATCCAGGCCTGTGAGTGAATACTGCTCACATAAAACACCAGGATAACCTAAACAAAAGGAGAAAGACGACAGTATGAAAATCCATTTATTGGTATTTTATAGCATTTTTTCCCTAATTTTTCAAAGTAATCCATGGTTCCTTTAGAAAATAAAGGAAATATGAAGAAAACTACAGTTACTTCTCTTGATACCCAGAGACATCTTGGAGTATTTCCTTCTAACCTCTCAACTTAAAATCTATTCACATCTTTTAGTTTTTGGATTGTACACATAGAGTTTGGCAGTGCCTTTTCATTGCTTGAATGTAATCATAACTTGAATGGCATGTTTTTGTGCCACTTTGTTGAATATCTGCATGCCCACCCACCCTAGGTAAAACAGTCTGATCCTCACTTTCCTCAACTGAAAAATAGGGTTAGCTGCTAAGTTAGGAAAATTAATGGCAAGCAATATTAAAGAACAATGTAACCATATTAATAGCCAGTGAAAATTTCTTTCTTAGGACTCAATGTAGGTACATTTATGTAATTCACTCATTCATTGAGCAAATACTATTGATCACATCATTATGTATCACTTGCATGCCACAGTACAAATAATAGGTTTCCTACCCCTGTACCTACCCCCAACCAAATCAACAGGAACATGTTCGAACCAGTAAAAAACACATCGCCTTTACCCACACCAGTTCTTGTCATTTCTCTCTAGCCTTGCCACCACTTTATCAGGTCCCTGTGAGTCTCCTTATCTACAGGTATCCACTGTACAGCTGGAGTGATTTTTTAATCTATATGCCACCATGCCCCACTATCCCCACCATACCTTTAAAACCTTTTAGTGCAGCCTGGCAAAGTGCCTGTAGTCCCAGCCACTTGAGAGGCTGAGCCAGGAGGATGGATCACTTGAGCCCAGGAGCTTGAGGCCATGGTGTTCCCTGATAATGCCTGTGAGTAGCCCCTGCACTCCAGTAGAGACCATCCTCCTAATGAAGGCCTAAAACACCCTTCCAGTCTGGCGCTGCTAGATTCACCTGGCATGTCATGTCCTCCAAAGTATTCTCACACTGTGGCCTCCCCCTGGTTGTTTTCTACCACAGGGCTTTTGCAGATTGTTGTTAACCTAATCTGGAAATTTTCCCCTCTCCATTTTTGCCTCATTCGACTCATTTGAACTGGAGCTTAGCTGAGGTATCGTTCTTTTAAGCAGGGCTTCCCTGATCTCCCTAAGTCAGGTCCCTTACTGCAGAGGCACATAAGCAGATCACAGGTCAGAACCTCAGTTTTACATTTATATAAAAACTAGTGGCCATCTGCCCACTCTACTGGAAGCTCCATGAGATGCCACCTCTTCTCTACCGAGCACAGGTGCTCATGCTTCAATTCTATTAGCAACAGCTGGGGCGCCTATTAAATGTAGGTAGGACAGGTGCCCAGTAATCTGCATTTTACACGCACCATCTCTGTCCACATTGATGCAGGTGGGCCTTTCCCCTTGAGATACGGATTCTATGGAGGCCTCAAACTCACTTTGGTCCCTTTTAACAAGTGTCCAAGATGTTAAGACTTAGTCCTATGGCCTAAGGTAGTAAGGGGTTCACTTAAGTGGGATGTTTGTTAGAGAATTGGAGGCATAATTAGCACATGGTTCCAATTATATGGTTTCTGTAATTAAACCAATACTACAACTTTAATTTCATCAGATGCACCTGAGGCTCTAAACTCAGTCCCATCCTCAACTAGGAACATTCTGGCAGTGGGGCCTCAGTGTTGTCATGAGAAGCTACTAGACGCAGTTAGAGTCTGGCATCCCGACTAGCACTAAGTCAGTGAAGACAAAAGCTAAGGCCTACACCTCTAACTTGACATCTTTAAGTGCATTTTAGGAGGCCTACTTTAAAAAAAGAAGAAAAAAAAAAGGCTTTGAAGAAACACAAAGTCTACTTGATAGGTTATTCAGTGTCTTAAAAGCAGCTAGCTGCCCACAGCCACCCTGTTCCAAGCCCCACTTTTGCCACATTTGTGAAACTGACTAGTGAGCCAGGTTAGTTTTCCCAGCCTCCCTCCACCTAGTAGCTTACCTCCTAAGGTCACCTGGACACTAAAGCCTTTACCTACCCCATCACCGCCACTCAGCATTCTTACTCAACGTTAACCTCCAACGGTCTCATGCAACCAATAAATGGCTCTGCCTCCACCTCTCCCAAAAGAATGCCTTAATGTTACAGCTAGGCAGCTTTTTTTTTTTGAGATGGAGTCTCACTCTGTCACCCAGGCTGGAGTGCAGTGGCGCGATCGCTAGGCGGCTTTTTATTCAGTTAACTTCCTTCTAAGCTTCAGTCCTCCAGACCTGCCTAAATAAGTAGACCTCGTCTACAAGCACCCCCCTAAATTGTTTTCCAAGTGGCTGCAGCCTAACTCAGAGCCTGGCCCACTCTATGCCATCAGCAAGCATTCATAAAGGTGAAGTGACAGGCCCAGACTGTTAGCACAAGACAAGCGCTCTTGAAACTTTATTTTCAAAGACAGATTTTATGCAATGTATAAATCGTGTTGCAATACCTTTATTTGAAGGCTTTTTCAGAATACACTGCCTTTCATGAAGTATTTTGAGAAGGGAGAGGTGGAGGAGAGGCACGGAAAAGCTCACTCGTCTACTCCATCAGCGCATGCACAGCAACACTGACTTTCACCTAAATGATGTATTTGAAGCTGAAAGTGCTGTCACAGGACAGGCGTTTGCCTTTGCATCTACCGCACAAATCTTGACGGTGGGGCCGTTTAGGGTCCACGTGGCGAAGTTTTACTGGGCAGGAACATCTCGTTTGTTTACAACTCTGGGGGAAAAAAATACAGAAGGGCATGCAGAAGATAAACCCTTAGTGATTTCCTAGGACTTCAACATTTTTCTAGTCCATTCAAGTACTTAATGAATGTGCTCTAAGCAAGGTCCCATAGTAATCTTGTTTTCCCTCTACATCCCTACCTACGTAGCAATGACAGGGCTAGGAATAGTGGGTGTTTAACCATGCTGTACTGCTGCTATATTGCATCAGATCCAATTATGAATTGTGAAATTTCTTTTACAACAACTGTTTAAGAGAAAGGGTAGAGAACAAGTCAGGGATGAATTTGACAATGAACACCAAGAGCAGAGTGGTTAAGGCATCCTCTTTTAGAAACATGCCCAGCTCTGATCTAAGTGATTCTAAGTGGCTTTCCATACTTAGTTTCTCTCCACCACCCCAGGGTGTTAATGCTTTTAAATATCCAACGTGGGTCAAGTGTATTGATTAGGCTGTCTCAACTGGCAATTCAGACTCCATTAGCTGTGTGACAAGAGGCGAATGTAGTCACTTCTTTCCTCTTAAAGATTAGCTAAGCCCCTTAGCACAGTTAATAGCAAGCAAGCGCTTAAGCAATGCTTAGTTAACATATTGCTTGCTTACCATTATAGTCAACTCCCCATAAAGCTAGACAACTTAGATTTATCTTAAACTGTCCCTTTGTGAGCTTTCAGGCAAGACAAACTAACCCCCTGTGCTTAAGTACTTTAAGGTTGTGCTTCATAAGAAGCGTTTCGGTAAAACAGTCAACCTTGACTACCTCATGTTAGCTGACAAGCATGTTTTTGTTGATTTTCTTATACATTAGACTAAGTAGCAAGTAAGACAAGTATTCTTCCATATTGCAAGTGAGGTTAACAGTTTTAGAAGAGGTTAACAACAGCAAGATTTGCAAGGCCAGAAAGAAGCTAACACCAAGGCCCCGTTTCCCAGCTGAGTATTGTTTCTACCACTCCTAACAAAAGCCAGTTGAAACCTAAGGTCTGGGGGCCTGGCCTCTTTTTGGAAGTATACTCAAACTATACTAAAAACCCTCGACGACTGCCCAGGTCAGACAAAATGCAAAACATCTGATTTACTTGACAGGTGATATCCTCCACTCGGTAAGGGTTATAAGACTTCTGACAAGTTCTGCAAAACTGTTTGAAGTAAACCTGTGATGACAAAGAGGATAAACTTAAAATCGCCTTGACACTTTCAGCAAGAAGATGCCAGTTACCTGGTATTTCTTACCTTGTTAGTTCCCTGTACACACCACACATAAGCACTCTCCCAGCGGATGTTGCAGTCCTTGCAGTGGTAATAGCCATATTTCTGCTCTAAGAACTGAACAACAGGATATGTCAATTTAACCAACAAAACACCTGAATTATCCTTCATTTCAGACGTTGGGAAGGATCTACTTGATATTTGAAATTGGCAACTTCAGATCATGAAAGAAAGCAGGTCAGGTTTGGGTACGCCTCTTCAATACAGTAATTAAGTGAGCTTAATAGCCTAGTCAAACAATTAAGCAAGCATGGGCCTTAGAGTTCATATACCAGATTAACTCAGTTCATAAGGCTGGCTAATAAACGAATAAGTAGGGACATAATAAACAGTTCTCTAAAGTTTGGGATTCTGTAGGAAGGCCTTTTAAGATAAAGCCTGATCTTAGACTATGCACACATGTATTAAGCTGAAGAAAAATAAGACTCCACATCTAAGGAACTTTAAAGGTTCACCCAAGATCACATTCTTCATGCTGCTAGTTAACTCCCAAACAGTGGTGCCAGGAACCTAAATCGTACGTAAGCCATAATTCATATTCAATATGAACAAAAGTAGTGTTACTTAAACTTCCCTTCTTCCCTCCCAGTAAGCAAGCAGTTATGCACACGTTTTTAGAGTTAGCCTTTCAGAATTGGAAGGAACTCTGGGGAGCACTTAATTCAGTCTGCTCACCTGTGAGACTGCGCTAAGTCCAGGAAGGTTATGACTGGCCTAAGATCACACACAGCTCCTGCACAGCCACGCTGGGAAGCCCTGGCCTCTCGATTCACTCCTCGCACAATCAGCCTACCGCCACCAACCCCGCCCCTCAAAAGGAATACCAGCCTGTGGTGGCCGTGGAAGAGACCGCGAGGGACTCCCTCGGGCTTCTTACCACCTCTTGTGCCTTTCCACTTCTGCTAGGTCACAACTGCCCTCTGCGTGCCCCAGCCCTTTAAAGTTTCAGCCTGCTGCCCTCGGGCAGCAACACTGAGCAGTCCAAATGCTTTCGCAGTATTGGATTTCTGAGTTGGGGGTGCTTCTTAAAAGCAAAGCAAATTCCTAGGAAGGGGCATTTTAGGAGCTCCAGCTTTCCAATAGCCTGGAAGCTCGTAAAGGAGAAATCAGAATTGCTGACCAGAATCCCAGCAGTTGAAGGGTTTTTGCCACATCCAGTGCGGAAATGGGAGAGAGGGATCCTTGGGAATCGACTCTCCAGCCGGCAAGTGCTCCGAAGTTCAGTTGTGCCTACTGATAGGTAATCCAACCGTGCGGTCAGGGCTGGCCTATGCGCCCACTGCGCGAGGTTTACAGTGCAAATATGTGGGTTATAAGAACGTCCCAAGGGCGTCGCCCTGGCCAGCCCGTGGAGCAGCCGCCACGAGTAAGTCTGGATGTCGGGGACATGAGACTGTGCTGTCAAGGAAGACACCTATCGCGGTCATTGGCTGTCTCGGAAATACGGAAGTAGCCCACGCTTAGGGAAGCGCCGCACCTCCGAGTGCCCGAAGCAGTCACAGGGCCAGGCCCAAGGAAGACACCCGCACCCCCGGGCTCCCCTGTGCCCTGACCGCCCTAGGCTTTACCTGGAAGCGCAGCCGCTCCTTGCCCAGCTCCGGGCTCCGTGGCGACGGCCCCTCTCCCGCGACGGCCGCCTCCCGTCCGTCGCCGCCGTCTCGGGCCCTCCCCGCCGACGGAGGTTGCCCCGGGCTCCTTAGCGCCGACCGCGGAGCCGCCTCGCCCTCCTGGGCCTCTCGCGGCGGCAGCTCGGGACCGTCGGCCGGCTGCTCCCAGCTCGCTCGGACTGCGGCCTGGGCCTCGCCGTCGTCGTCGGACTGCGGCCGCCGGGGCGCCTTCTTCGTCCACACCTCCCCCTCCTCTGGGCCTTGAAGCCGCGCGGGCGGCGGCCCCCTCTCTCCGTCCGACGCCCCGGACCTCTGCTCGCCCGCCGCGGGCCCGGGCCCCTCCAGGAAGGCGGTGAGACGGCGCAAGGCCAGGGGCGAGTACACGGCGACGGTGCGCGGGAAGCGCATGGGCCGCGGGGCGCCGTTCTGGGGGCTGCCCTGCTCCAGGCCTCGACGGGATGGCTGCTGGGAGAAAGAGCCGCCACCCGTGGTGCCCTCGGCCCCGGGGCCGGCCGGGGACTCGGGGTCGCGGGCCCGGCGCTGCAGCGTGCGCCTCCCCAGCGAGCACTGTACCGCGGCGTCGATGCGCGGGCTCACCTGCACCGCCACGTCGCAGCTGCCGGCCCTGCGGGCGCGCGGCCCGAGACCCGGCCCCACCTGCGCCAGGAGAGCCATGAGCCGCTCCCGCTGGTAGCTGTCGAAGTACTCGGCGGCCGTCAGCCGCCCGCAGCCCGGGAAGGACAACGAGGCCGCGCCCGCCGAGCAGGGGGAGGAGGCGGGAAGGCAGCCCCTGCCGCGCTGCTGCCAGCTGCCGCCCGCCGCGCCCTTGCCCTTGGTGGCCGCGGGGTATGGGTACCGGTACGAGCAGGGGGGGCACGCCGGGAACACGTAACCGTCCAGCACCTCGTCCCCCAGGGCCGCCATGGGCGCACTGCTCCCGCCCGCCGCCGCACCCTAAATAGGCGACTTGCCCGGGCGGCCGAGCGGAGGCGGGGATGGCCCTCGGCGGGGGCTCGCACGCTGCACCGCCCTCCACGCCCTTCCTGCCACCGGCCCGCGTCCCCGCCGAGGGGGCCCCTCTTCGTCCTTCTCCCTACAGAAACTCTCCACGCCCGGATGTTGGCACAATGACCCTTAGATGATCTGGAAAGAGGGCTTTCTTTGTGATGAAAGGGCTGATCCGTAAGGGAACCAAGGCGCCCGAGGTGAGGAGGATTTCAATGAGAGAAACTCATCACCGGCATCAGCTGAGCCGGCTTCTCCCGGTGCCCTGATTGTTCCAGGTGCCTGCGCATCCCCCCCACCCCCGCTCCCTCACCGGGAAGCCGAGGCCAGGCCGGGTGCCTCTGGCTAAGTGAGCGAAAGTGCCAAGGTTTGGGAACTGTTCTGGGTCTATTACCCGTTAACTCAGATGATAAGTTTATTCTCAGAGCTGCTCTAAGAGGCTACCCACTGAGCCCCCTCGGCGAGTGCATGGAGAACCACCCAGGGATCTTCATCTAGGCGAATTGTTTTCTCCCCTGGAGCGTGTCCCTTCCCCCAGTCCCAGTGGTGACCGGGAGGTACCGTTTTGTTCTGCTCCAGAGCGGTTCTGAAAAATTTCCCAACCAAATCATTCCTACAAAAGATAAATTGATTTGGGGTGTGTTTACATAAATGCAGAAGACCAGTCGAAAAGAACATGGCTTGTCCACTAGAAAAATGTTGATTATTCATTAATAAGTAGATACCAGATCAAGTAATCAAATACATTAATGTAACTTTTCTCTGATACTGGTTTGACAAATACTATATTTCCTTATTTAACTGACCTGTTTTGGAATTCTTCTGAATACAGGTCAAAATTCAACATTGTGAGGAATTTTAAGTAGAGCAAGCACACTTTTTTTTTTACAACAATTACATTAAACTCAATTATGCTTTACAAAGATAGCTTGTTTTTCCTCATAGTGCGCCAAAATTCTACATTTCCAAGACCCTGTTTTCTAATAGATTCTGTATTTGCAACAGTCATAGAAATTGGTGATGGTAAAAACTAAAAACCACATTTAATTCAGGCTTCACGTTAGCCATTCCAGGTGCAAATTATATTACAGCATTGATTTGTAATTTGTGACAACGTTTGGTTAATACACCAGTGAACCTTAAAAAGATCAGAATTGTTACATGTATGATGTGAACCAGTGTTATCTTTTATGTTAACCATGTGCACTACCACAGGCTATAAATATGAAGCAATATTTCAGCAAGATAGAAGCTCCTGTGTATCTCCACATTTAGAGAGAAGTCTGAGCGGTTTCCATCATTATTATATTTTCTGCTTTCACTGTGCCATAGGAAGTGTCTGCCATTTCCTCTTCTTTTAGTTTTTTATAAGAAATATCTGTATCTTCATCTTCATCTAGAGGATCTCGCTTGTGCAACATTTCACTTCCATACATTTTATAGATTAAAACAAAAATCCCCGCTTCTGCAGACTGGAAAAGTGCATACAGCAAAGGAAACATGTACATGCTTCCTATGAATTGCGGTGGAAAGGCCAGTTTTAGAATGGCTGTACAGAGCTGCACATTCTGACTACCTGTTTCCAGACATACAGTCCTCTTGCAGTTGGGTGGAAGATGGAAGAGAGTAGCTAAACCATAACCTGAAGCGTAGCCTGCCAAAGGCATAAAAATTGCTATCACATAAACAGCTGCAGGGATACTTGCCAGCAGTTCAGGTCCTAACATAGTGCCGGTCATTATGAAAAGGACCACCAGAGTCACTAGCAGAGACCACAGGGAAACCTAGTAATAGAAAATTACAATGAGATGGTTGAAGATGAACTCAGGCGAGAGAATCCTAAGCTCACGGAAGAAAACACCCATCTAGTATGCTCTCCAACACAAAATGGAGACCTTTGACAGAATATTTCTGAAGATGGGCAGGCCACCTCTTCAGGAAGCATCCAGAGCCACATTGGGCAGCTCTGATTGTTTGGAGGCCTGTCCTTATGTCCAGGGACAATTTGCCTTCTATAACCTCTAGCCATTGAGTTGGATATAGGCTCTCAGGAGCGACAGAGACCAGCTCTTCAAAAACAAAAAACAAACAAAAAAACCCAGCTTTTCTGGCCAGGCGCGGTGGCTCACACCTGTAATCCCAGCACTTTGGGAGGCTAAGGTGGGTGGATCATGAGGTCAGGAGTTGAAGACCAGGCTGGCCAAGATGGTGAAACACTGTCTCTACTAAAAATACAAAAATTAGCCAGGTGTGATGGTGAATGCCTGTAATCCCAGCTACTCGGGATGCTGAGGCAGAGAATTGCTTGAACCTGGGAGGTGGAGGTTGCAGTGAGCAGAGATCGCGCCACTGCACTCCAGCCTGGGTGACAGAGCAACACTCCATTTCACCAAAAAAAAAAAAAAAAAAAAAAAAAAAAAAAGCTCTTCAAAAAAAAATAGCCTTCAAAAGCTTTTTTCCTGAAAAACAGCTCTTCAAAAGCTTAAAAACTGGTTATCAGGGGAAGGCTACTCTTCTTCAGGCAGATCATCCCCAAACTTAAACCTCCATCACATAACTTTGTTTTGGTATCCTGACTGTTCTGAGAATGTGTTTCATATGTGAATGTGCCTCTTAAAAACAGGGCATTTAGAACTGAACCTAATACCCCAGGTATGGTCTGATCATCAGAGCAGACAAGTGGATGTTTACTTTCCCTGAACTGAACCCCGTGTTTTCCATAAGAAATTAGTTCTCATTTTACATGAGTTAAAACTTGTGAAACTTGATTAAAATGTCTGAAGCTCAGTGTGTGATCTTTTTAACCCTCAAAATATACTGCAGAGGATTGCTTGCAATATTGAAACAATTACCTACTCTTAGATTATGTAAGAGAGAAAAATGTAAATAAATATGTGAAGAATTCTTTGCAATTTGGCAACTTTCCCCTTTTTTATTTGTTCATGAGAAACCTCCCATCTATAAGTCTGTAATGATGCTTACGTATTATTACAATAGATGGATTTCGGATACAGTACAACTGACTTCTGTATAAAACGTGTCATCTTGATGTTCTGACTGGTACATTTCACTCATTCAAATAAAACAGTCTGTATGAATTGTAAGGCGGAAATCTAAAAATTCCTCTCCTCGTTCTCCTTCATATTGGTAGTTAACTTATTTTTTTTTAATGAGGAGTGGGCAGGGAAAGGAAACTAGAGCCAGAGAGAACAGCTTAAATGTTGCTTCTGGTTCCCTGGATAGCTGGGATATCCCTTTTGCAGTCTTCGGGAATGGCGTAACTCTACACTCTTAAAAAATTATTTAAAATTTATCTGAGCTGGTCACAAATTCTACCCTAGAGGATGCTGCAATAATTATTATATAAGGTACAGATACTACAGATGCATAATTGGCAGAAACCAGGCTATTACATGTAAAAGCATACCATTTCAAAGTATGTCACATTGAAAGCGCTGACAAACAGTCTGATTTCTTCATTTTGAAATATTGGCTCCAAAGTCCCTTAGAACTATTTTAAATCATTTGGGCAAGCATTGACATTGAATGCTCATTTTGAAGTGTTTGCAAAGGTGTAACAATTATATAAACCGTTTCTTAATAGTGTGTTAATTAAAGAATAGGGCTAGGTTAACCTTAAATTCAAAGGTAGCTAATCTTATGTCTATTATATTTAAATATTAAATATATTAATTTATTAATATATTTATTTTAAATATATTTCTTGTTTTGGGTGTGTAAATAGGTCATTTGATTGACTTTCTCTTAGACTTCCTAAGGTTTTATAGTAAATGCCATCACATTAATAGCATTAGCTTAATGATTAAGATTAACAAGTTCTTAATGCATCTCAAGAGTATCTATGAGTATATATTACAGGTATTAATATATGCATATTTACATGTACACATACATTTTTACATTCACATATACATGTGTATTATGGAGCAGGATTTCTTTTACTCAAGCCTGGATATATGCACAGAAAAGAACTCTCTACTTTTCATATTAATAAAAGCTGACTCTATATAATCAAATTACTTTAGAAAATAAGTAAAACAAAAGATTATGTCTTCTTGAATCTACATAATTGAAACATTAGGGTGGCTCTTTTTCTCTTCATTTGTCTAAAGGAATTTGCCTGTGCATTTTGCAGTAATAGTTACGTATTTTATTTGATTAATTACCTGAAGTCAGCATCCTGGTCATGGTTTATTCTTTTTTGCTACTGTTTTTGAATTTTCAAAGACAGCTTAATTTTGCAAAGATTTTTTTTCCTCCAGTCAACTACTAGAATCTACTAAACTATTAAAATCTCTACTGCTACAGAAAGCATTCATTTTTTAAAAAATCAAAGCCTTAGGAGAAATATTGCACAAATTATAGAAATCCCCTATCTTTTCACTAGCTTTATAAGCCATATAAAATATTGCAATGGAGAAAGAAAAAGAAACACATTTAGTAAGGTCAACATAACCTCCATTATTTATCCAGGACCCAATTTTATTTTGTGCTTTAAAGCCAATATTTTGTGTGTTCTATTACTACAATGTAACTTTTCCATTACTTTTTGTCCTATTAGTATCAACTTACTTTTAAAAATTTAATAAAATGTTAAAGGAACCTACTACAGAGTTTCTCAGAATTAGAGTTCCATTTTTGAAAAGATAGCCATGCATTTCTAAAATACTGCACCAATTCTATTAAAGTAATTTTATTTAATCTGCTTTTATGTTTAATTATATACAATTAGTGGAAAATATGTTGCCATTTAATTACACTGTCATCTTCCCCACCCTGCTATGATCTGTTTCCTTCCAATGAGTACTGATAGTTCTCTTATGCTGGTTTTGATTAAGCTGTGTCTTAATTAAAGCTGTCATTCTAGGAATCCCAAAAGTGGAAGTTATCTTTGTAGCATAAACTTTTTAAAAAAAATTTTATCCATGCAACTACTTCCAAGTCCTTTTCTTCCTTTCCGCCTTCTCCAAACTTCCTAACATTTCTGCTGTGGGTCAGAGATCAAGGGCTCTCCAAGCTAGTATGGAAAGGGAAGAGGGGGCCTTACCTTCACAATGTAGTCAGCCACCCGGCTGTATTTGTAGCGAATGAAGACGCCCAACCCGATAGGTATGAGAGTGCTGCAGAGAGTCAGGGTCACGGTCCCTAGGGGTAGTAACTGCACGATAGGGGTGTTGATCCAAGCCCAGCTGTAGATCCACAGGCACAGGGGCATCAAGACGAGGGCCAGAAGCGTGGAGGAGATGGTCATGATGATGCTGCAGAAAAGGGAATGTGCAGAAATCAGAACGAGCTTTGAGTCAAACAGCCAGCTAACCTTTTTCTTGTATGTTGAGTAGAGGTGGAACGGGGAGACTGCAAGTCCCGGGGTTGAAGTCTGGGCAGAACCTACATCCGAGGAGAGTGCCAAGAGAGCAGCACGTCTAACACCGATGGAATTATGAACCCAAGGCAGGGAGGAAAAACAAGCCCCCTGTCTCGGTACTGCTGCCCTCGACATTATAAAGTCTATTGAGCCTGGATGATTCTGAGGGGAAGGAACGTTCTTCCTTGCAAGCCCCCTGCAAGGTAAGCCATGGTAAAGCTGCTGACTGCTACTTGTTGGTCGGACTCAACAATCCTGCACTCTATGTGAGATTACTTTCTCTGACGGGCCAGTAGCCCTATTTTACTTTTACGTTGCCGGCGAGTTCTAGTTCAGACTCCCCCTTCTCTTTGTCTTCCACTGGACAACGACCTGCGCTGCCACCCCGACGCTCGGGGAGGACGGCGAGGGACCCTGCTGAAGGGCCGCGCTGCGCATGGAATCCCAGCCTTGGAGCAGCTCCCTCGCCGTCTAGCTTGCTCCCCTAGCAGCACAACCTGCAGGTCGGCCTTGACTTCTAAAGCCGGGGCGTCATCAACTTCCTCTCCTTTTCTCCTCCTTCCTCCACGCCTAATTCCAACCCCTCCACTGCCTCTGTCCTTCGTCGTGAGCCCACGGCCGTAAACGCGCGTCTGGGATGAGACAGATGCCCAAGGAATAGACAGATCCGTACCTGAGGTTCATGTCGCCGTCAACCAGCAGGGACATAAGATTGGAGAGATTGCCGCCGGGACAGCAGCCACACAGGAGCACCGCCACGGCGGCCACCTCGTCCAGCTTGAAGGCGAGGGCCAGCAGGAAGGCCAGCAGCGGCAGGAGGCCGAACTGGCAGAGCGCTGCCAGCAGCGCGCCCACGGGCCGACGGACGTGCGCCCCGAAGTGGTTCACGTCCACCGTGCAGCCCAGGCCCAGCATGGTGATGCACAGGGCGGCGCCCACGAACACGTTCAGCCCGTGGTTCAGCGGCGTGTCCCAGAACGGGAGCGCGTGGGGCGCCCAGGGCCGAGGGAACGGGGAAGGGCCGTGGCTCGCCGCGCCGCCCGCGAGGCCGCTGGTCGTGGGCTCCGGGGTCGGAGTGGGGCCGGGGCTGAAGCCGAAGCTCGGACCCGGCCCGAGGCTGAGCCCAGGGCCGGGGCCGGCGCTGGAGGCAGGGGCGAGGGCGAGGTCCGTGCCGGGGCCCAGGCTGCTGGCATTGGGCGCCAGGGTGTAGTTGTCCCGCAGCAGAGGGGCGAAGAGCAGGGTCACGTTGTCGTTGCCGTCCATGGCGCGGCCGGAGCTGCGGATTCCGGTCCCCTCCCGCCGCGTGCCTCTCGCCGTCCCGCGGTCGCCGCAGTCGCCGCCCGTCGTTCTGCCCGTCGGTCTCCGAGCCCCGGCTGCGCGCCGCTGACGTGCTCGGCGGCGTCGGGGGCGGCGGGCCGGTCTCCGCTCCCAGGTCTGCAGCCGCCCGCAGCCTGGCACTCCGCGCAGCGCGGCCCCCCGGGTGAACCCAATCGCTGCGCCGGCTCCGCGCCGCGGCCCCGCGCCCCGCAGGCCCCGCCCCGCCCTGCCGCCCGGTCCCCTCCTGTGAATCGCCAGTAAGTGGTTCTGTTATCGAGTGTAGCCAGGGGCGGAACAAAGACCTGACAAAGGACCAGAGCAGGAAAAAACCGTTCCTGGCTGCCGATCAAGTTCTCTGATGGGCTCTGCCTCTTTATAATGAAATCTGGAGACCCAGACACACAAAGTGGAGGGGGCGGGTGGATAACCTCATCGATGCACGCTCATGGCAGAAACTGTTCCTATAGCCTGCAGCCCTAAGAGGGGTGCTTGACTTAATATGAGCGATTCTCTAGTAAGCAGGACACGATATCTGGCTTGAATTTGCAAACAATTTTTTGCATGATTTTCAGTCTTAAAGTAGAATGTAATAATAATATAGCGGGTTTTGTGCAAGTGCGTGTGCATTATTTCATTCGATTCTTACAGCAAAGCCGTGAGATAGATACCATTTTTACAAGCTCGATTTTTACAAACGAGGAAACTGAGGAACGAGGAATTCTCAGTCTTATCAACCGAACCCACAAGTACCTGGCTGAATCTGCACGGCGATGTGTCCCTAAAGAGGGCAGAGAAGAGCTTGGCTAATAACAATTTCCATGAAAAATGTGTGTTTAAGAAGTTATTGGCAGGTGGAGAGAGGATATTTCAGTGGCCACAGATTTACGAAGCTTTATGAGTAAGGCCCTGGCATTAGGATTAAAGGACTGAAAAGAAATAAAGTGCTGAGATTCCCTGCTTGAGACAGGTTTATCCCAAAACAATTCAAAAGCAGAGCTCTTAGGAATGGAGATGCAACAACTTTTAAGTCAGTCACTAGATGGCATGTAGAAAGGAAAATAATTTCGCTGCTTACCAACCAGGTGGGGCCTGTTAAGGAGGCATCTAGCTCCCTGGGGGTGACCATAAAGTGATAGTCAGTTGAGTTGTAAAAACCAACAGGAATTTCTAGAATGAAATCAAGGCTCAGTCTTAGCCCAGGGTTGCTTTCACAAGGAGCCAAGATATAGTGAATTCTTCTATCTGGGAACTTTTCCCTAACTCCTGTCCTGGCACAGAGTGACTTCTATTACCCAAGGGTGGGCTGAGCCTTTCCTCCTCCCCAAATCTCATGAAGATGATGGAGACTATGAAAAGTAAGACTTTGCAAATGCAAAGCATATTGCACTCTTCATCACAAATAATTTATTTTTTCTCTTTTGGACTGTAAATTCCACGAGGGCAGAGCTTTTGCAAGAATCTAGGAGGATAATGTACCCTTACACTTTTCCAAAACACTAAACCCAGAAAAAAAAACTTCAGTGAGCTAAACTTTAAAGGAAGTGGGTTGTGACCAAAAATATTTTAAGTTGACATGTCACCTTATGTAGGTAAAAAGAAAGATATTCAGATATACAATGATCCATGCTACCCAACCGTTACATTAGTAGACCCAGGGAAGATGTGTGGAGAAACAGACAAGATAAGGAGGGAAGGCACTGCTGAGCCTTCACAGTCTTGAAACCACAGAATGAGATAAGCCAAGAACACAAATGGCAAGGGATCCAGCTGAAGCCAACTGTGCAGGCACCACTCCTATTTGCCTCAGAAACCCTCATCATGTTAATGATATTAAAATTCACAATCACATTAAATAAGCAGTAATTAGAGGCAGACCAACTCAACTCATCCAACTACCTCCTCTCAGGGTTTAGGGAGGGACTTGGGCGGCAACTTGTGCAATGGGCGAAGACTGAAAACAGAAAGGGGCCTGGCATCATGGCTTTTGTCTGCAATCCCAGCAATTTGGGAGGCTGAGACAGGTGGATCACTTGAAGACAGGAATTCGAGACCAGCCTGGCCAACATGGTGAAACCCCATCTGGACTAAAAAGACAAAAATTAGTTGGGTATGGTGGTGTGTGCCTGTAGTACCAGCTACACAGGAGACTGAGGCAGGAGAATTGCTTGAACCTGGGAGGTGGAGTTTGCAGAGAGCCAAGATCGTGACACTGCACTCTAGCCTGGATGACAGACTGAGACTCCATCTGAAAAAATAAAAAAGAAGGGGATGATGGGCTGCGATTGTAAATCATGGGGCATGTTGCACCTGCAATCTTGGGGGATTCTTGGGACCTACACACCTGATGTCACTCCTGCTGATGGGGTGATTGTCATTGTAAAGAAAACAGGTGCTCTGGCCTCCCCTTCTTTCTCATCTTCCTCACTATGTATGAGAAAACCCCAGGATTAGGTTTAAGCCCATTCTCCAGGTGTGATGACACTGGTGTGGTGACACTGGTGAAGTGAAGTATTCTTTTCCCAAGGGGGAAACAATATGTAAAAGGGAGAGATAACATAGTACTTAGAAAATATGGCCAGGCATGGGGCTCACGCCTATGGGAGGCCAAGGTGGGCAAATCTCTTGAGCCCAGGAACTTGACACCACCCTGGACAACATGGTGAAACCCTGTCTCTACAAAAACTACAAAAATTGGCCAGACATGGTGGCGCATGCCTGTGGTGGCATATGCCTGTGGTACCAGCTATTTGGGAGGCTGAGGTGGGAGGATCGCTTGAGCGCAGGAGGGCAAGGCTGCAGTGAGCCATGACCATGCCACTGTACTCAGGCATGGGTGACAGCAAACCGTGTCAAAAAAAAAAATTAAGGAAGGAAGGAAGATGAAATTAAGCTAGCTATTTGGGGAAAAATAAATTTAGAGCTTTGTGGCACAGTGTATACCAAAGCTAATTCCAAGTAGATTAAAGGGTTAACTATTATAATAATAATAATGCAACAAAATACTAGAGAAAAAGATTGGCAAGTGTTTATCTCATCTTTGGATATGGAAAATTTTTCTAAGCAAAAAAGTAACAGAAGAAATCATAATGGGGAGCTCAGTAGATATGGATACATAAAAACTTTCAACTTTGTTATAGTAAAAACATCATTTAAGAAATTAAGAGAAAATTTATGATTAATTTATAAGTTTTATTGTGTTATTTTATAGGAAAAGAGGCAAATGACATGAATAGACACAAGATCACAAAAGAGATGCAAGCAGCCAACATGTTTATGAAAATAGTCACATTCACTAGTATCCAGAGCAATTAAATTGAAGCAATTAGATGCCATTTTTCAGTACTGGAAAAGATTCAGATATATGCTATTATGTTACAGTGGCAAGGATACAATCAATTTGGATATATCCTACCATAGAAACAATCATGGAAAGAGAGCACCTACTTCCAGGAGTTCTCATAAAAGTCCTGGGGTTAACTTGGGATTAATAAGGGAGAACTATTGTACACTAATGTTTGTTTTGGCCACTTTTCTTGAAAGGAAGCTAGGAGGCTTTTTAAGAGTAGAAGCATTTAAATTTAAAAATTAAATAGAAAATAGGCAAGAGAAGTGTACCCATCCTTCAACCAATCATTGTGGCCATAGGATGGAATGCTTTCACTCAAGCAAGGGAGTGGTCTCATCCCCACTCAAGACACATCAACTCAAATTTGGGGAAGGGATTCCTCAGAGGAATAGTGGGTGCTGTTAACAGAAAGAGGAAAAATGGATGTTGAGTAGGCAGAAAAGCAATAAGCATACACAGAAGTTGTATTCAGTACCTCAGCACCCTCAAAGGTGTTTGAGGGCTTCTTCCATTGCATTTCCAGAAGTAAGTACTGCTACCTTAAGAATCTTTGTCAATATGCTGTTTTAAAAGTTTCATATTTTGTGCTTATTTAACTACTAGTGAAATAGAACTTTTTCAGTTTAATAATAAAAATACTTTATTATAAATTATGTATTTTGCCTATTTACAGAAATCATCTGACTTGCAGACAATTTAAGTACAACGTATAAGACTGGTAGAAGAAAAATTAGAAACAACCTAAGTATCCAACAATATGCAACTGGTTGAGTAAATTGTTTTTTATTTACATAATAGAATAAATACTATGCAACTATTTTAAATTTTCATGTTATATTTTTATGTGAAAAAAGCAAGTTATGTACCGTTTTATGTTGATTTCTTTCTTTTGTATTTTGTTAGAAAAAATTTTTTTAGAGATGTTACATTGTCCAGGCTGGAGTGCAGTGGCTATTCATAGGCATGTAGGCATGGTCATAGCAGACTGCAGGGTGGCTCTTGGCCCCAGTTTCTTTAAAAGTATTTATATAGTTGCATTCAAAAAGACTGGGCCAAAATATATTGGATTATGGAGGATTTTTGCATTCCTTTTTGTTGTCTTTTCTTTTTTCTTGAGACAGGTCTCCTTCTGTTGCCCAGGCTGGAGTACAGTGTCATGATCTTGGCTCACTGCAACCTCCGCCTCCCGGGTTCAAGCGATTCTCCTGCCTCAGCCTTCCGAGTATCTGGGGTTACAGGTGCCTGGCATTAGTGACCAATGGGTAGGTAGTGTAGACAGGCAGCCATTAGTCACTGAGTAGGCAGGCTCAGTAATCAGATCAACTGTCTCAGTATTCCAGTGCTTGTGTTCAATTAATATTTCATTTAATAATGGCCCCAAAGTGCAACAGTAGTGATGCTGGCATATTGTCATAATTGTCCTATTTTATTACCAGTTACTGTTGTTAATATTTTACTGCAACTAATTTATAAATTAAACTTTGTAAGAGGTATGTATTTATAGAAAAAACATAGTAGATATATATAGGGTTCAGTACTACCCACAGATTCAGACATCCACTGGGGTCTTAGGACATATTCCCTGAGGATAAGGGGGGACTATTGTACAGACATGTTTGTTTTGGCCACTTTTGTTGAAAGGAAGCTGGAAGGTTTGCTTTTAATAGAGATCCGTCAAACAGGAGAGCTGACTGGAACATTGTTCTTAGCTGATTTGTATCTAAAAGCAACATGGCCTGTTGATTATACTTGCTTTATATAATTAAGTCTATTTTACAGAATAAAAAAGTCCATTTCTAACAACATTAATTACTCTTTAATAACTAACTAATGATGGATAAAACGAAAGATTATTTTCTGTGTCCAAAAAGTATGCCACTCTTAAAACACTTACTAATTCCCAATATTACATTTATACACTTGGCACAAAAGTCTGGATACTCCAAATCAGTGAGGGCCTGGCTTGTCTGCTCATGGTGAACTCAAGCATATTAAAACCTGCTCAGGAATGTCTGGGTGGCCTGGTGGACCAGCCAGGCAGAGGTCATATTTATGGAAGCCTCACTGGTAGAGTTGTTAGACATAGCAAATAAAAATACAAGACATCCAGTTACATTTGAATTTCAGATGAACAACAAATACGTTTTTAGTAAAAAGATGTTTCAAATATTTCACCTGGCAATCTTACCTGGAGACGGATGATTGTTAGAAAACTGAGATGGCATGGTGGCCTCCAGGGGCTAAGATCTCCATGCATTTAGGAAATAAACCCTAAATTCCAATAAATATACTAGGTGGGCAAAGAGGAGGTGCACAAGCCTGGGCTAGGGATGCTGTCTGGGGATTGGTGAAGAGGAGGCAGCATGGGTTGAGGCCCTCCCTTGTCCCCTAGGGAATTTTGGCCTGGTTCTGTGTGGAGAGGGCAACACAGTATCAGAGATAAATATGTTTTGTAGCTGAATAACAGTTTGAGTGGGAGGAACATTGAGACACAAGAACCTTAGAGCAGGCAGTACTTTGAGAATGAAGTGAAAGTAAATTGGACAATGACAAAAGTGATCCTGGTCTCTCAATGGGACCAGGAAGCCACAGGGAGGAGCTGAGGGGAAGTGGACCCATGAATGTCAAAATGGAGGAGGGCACTTAGAGACACTTACACCCTCGGTGGACGCCTCTGTAGTGAGTCCAATGTTGTTTATCTCAATTATTTTGCTCCCAGCACTGTTCCCCTATTCTTCTGGGAAATAGGTCCTCCGTTGTCGGAGGAATCACACCTCCAATGGCTCCTACCATAAAGTCCAAATGGAAGCTGCTCCCTTCCTACAGGACCCCACTTCCAAGTTGTCAGTGATAGCTTAGGGATGAGCCTCCCATATCCACTCTGAGCCCATCTTAACAAGAGTTCAAGGTAGCCCTAAGCAGGGCTTAGATTTTATTATCAGTTTGTGGGGAGAAATTCATTTATAAGTAAGTATATTTGCCCTTGAAAATCCTTTAAATACCTATAACAATAAAATAATCTCTTTTCATCAAGGCCACAATGACATTCTTTCCCCAGTATGGGAATAGCTGATTTCCAGGCGGAGTGGCTGGCTTTGGGGTCAGAGTATAAGAAAGAACCCTCTGATCTTTCTTCCAGATGCTCAGGCCATGACAAGCACAGGGAGTTGAGGCTGACCTTGGTAGCTGCAGATTCATATTTCCTGGCTCACATATCATTCATTCAATCTCTCTTTTGTTTTTCCCTCATTTAATTCTCATAATTGAATTTGTGAAAGTTAAATTTTGCATTCGATGTGATGCCACGAACCAATATTCTACCCTCAGTGACTGATTTGGAGGTGGAGCGTGATCCACCCTGGCCACTTGGGATCCTTCCCTGTGATTTTTTTTTTTTTTTTTTGTAATAAGAGCCATGGGGAAGAGCCCTTTCCTCTCTAGTTAAGAAGCTGGGAAATTGTGAGCTCAGAAACTGCTACTAATTATGGTTCATTTCATGATATCACCCAGCCTGGGAGAAAAAAGCCAAAAATAAAAGCTGAATTAAAGGAGATGAGAGGGGAAAAGAGAAAGTGCAGGCAACACCAAGACCCTGTTCTGGTCCTTTCCAACAACACTCCTCACCTAGCTGGTTATATGAGCTATTAAATCTTCTTCTTTTAGCCAAGCTAGTTCAAGTTGCAACTGAAGGGGTCCCTAAGTAATAAGGCCATTTCTATGAAATGGTTAAAAAAAAAGGAGCATTAGTTATCCAATAACTTTCTAGGTGGTATTTCCAAGTCCAAGGCTTTACTGTGTTAGCTTCAGGTAATAAGAGTTCAAGGTAGCCCTAAGCAGGTAGCCCATATTCCTGGATTGCAGCCTCAAACTCATGTGGCCAAGGGGAAGTATGGGCTACATTCAGTTTTTCCACAAAACAAGCAATTGCTAACAGCATCATCTATCATCAAGGACGACCAGCTTTCCATACCTAGAGATGATCTTAACCATTACCAAATACACATAGAGCTAACAGGTAGCTATGTAAAATATAACTTTCTGTGCCTTGTAACTAATCTAGCTCCTGTGCTGAGATCATCTTGGCATCTCAAAGTTGATCTGTGTGTAGCTGTTGCATCCAAACCTCCTGCCGCATTTTTGAAGCTGTGATTCCTCGTGTCCTCGCATGACTCTCCCTGGCCTATCCTGTTTGCTCTGATAACACGTCAGATCTCATACAGCAATCAGCTTTGTAAAGGTACCAGCTCATCGGCTCTCAAATCATATGATTCAATTGCCTAGTCCTTACCAACAAGGTGTCAACTGAGGTTTCATTTATTCCAGGCCCTCCTTTCCTGTTATCTCCAAGTCTGTACCAGAGGGGCTCCGCTTTCTACAGATTTCTTCAAGGCTTAACAAAAGTTTGCTTTAACGGGAAGATTGTTTTCACTCTCTCTTTTCCCTACTAATCTTCTATTCTTTGATCAGTCCCATCCTTGTTTTCATCTATTCTTTAACCTAACATTTCAACTTGTTTTCGGTGCATGTTTTTGAAGCCTTTCCTGGGGATTTCACACAACTATCTTTGTATGGCAGAAAGTCTTGTATCAGGAGGCATTTGTCATCTGATAAACTGAAGAGGAGAAAACAATATCTACAAAGCTCTAGCAGGATATTAAACTGAGAATTTATTTGATCTAAACATAAAAAAAAACTCCAGTGATATGTTTCAAGGCTCACTACTGAAAAATTACCTCTTGTTGAGTAACCAGACTACACAGTCAATAGCAAAAACAGATGAAAGAAAAAGAAATTTTATTAAAATTGGACTCTACTAATTGGTTTGGGTTTGGACTATTTCATTTTCTGTCACACCATACAAAGTTGATAAGCATTAACATTTCTTATTTTAGAAAGTGTTATTTTGAAACTTTCAAAGATAGATTTTTCTTGAAATAATTATAAACTTCTTGTCCATTATGCAGGAATCAAATCATAGAAACAACCTCTTGCTCACTAACTGGTACTGGTAGAATTGTAAAGAATGCTGATGAACCGTGGTCTGTTAATAATTTTATGTTTTGTACATCTTTTCTTACTCCCAATATTGAACTGGTCTTGCCATTCAAGAGATCTGGGAATTATTACCCAAAGCTGCTGCTCACCAGCACCTGTCATTGCTATCCATTGCCCTGCCTTGTCTAGAATATTGACTAGGGGACAGAGGAGAAGGTCACTGCTTTCCCCCACTACATCTGCAAAACAGTGCCTGACTTAATGGGGGCTGGATATGGGGGATTAAGAATTGGTCCTGAGCATTTTTATCATACTTGCTTAGGCTCTCTCCTAACAGCTGACCAAATATAAACAACTTAAAAAAAACTGATATTTTGGAATATATATTATATATATTTTTTCTTCTATTATTTTATAGTTGTCTGTAATTAGTAGACATTGACTCCTAAACTTTCAGAGTTCTTTTGGTAACACTGTATTATAACCACTCAATTTAACAACTGTATATTAATCTCCCAAAGTTTTGCTAGGCAGTAGGAATGATAGAGAACATTAACCATGTCTAAGGTATGTTTTGTGTTCTCAAAGACCTTGAAGCTCTAAGTGTAAGTCAACTGCAATGCAAGGCACTCTATGATGAACTTTATATATTTAGGTTCAAATAGAAACGGGAATGATGAATCCTAGATGTGGAGTCTAAGCATCATTAACTGGGAAGCACTAGACTTCAACATGTGAAGAAAGGCAAAGGCCATTCCAGGGCAGGAGAACACCTTGAGCAAACTCATGGAAGTACATCACTTCCATGTTGGAAACAGAGAGTGGATACAAAGTGGCAGGGACAGGCCAGGCACAGTGGCTCACACCTGCAGTCCCAGCACTTTGGGAGGTTGAGGTCAGGAGTTCCAGACCAGCCTGAGCAACATGGTGAAACATGTTGAAACATGGTGAAACCTTGTCTCTACTATAAATACAAATATTAGCCAGGCGTGGTGGCAGGCACCTGTAATCCCAGCTACTCAGGACGCTGAGGCAGGAGAATCACCTGAACCCGGGAGGTGGAGGTTGAAGTGAGCCAAGATCGAGATCCCACCACTGCACTCCAACCTGGGTGACAGAGCGAGACTCCGTGTCAAAAAAAAACAAAAAACAAACAAAAAACAAAGTTGCAGGGACAGGAAACAAGCTATGGAAAAGTGGGTAGTAGGGCAAATTATTTAGGGCTTCTATTGCATGAAAAGCACTTGGACCTTAATTTTGCTGACAGCAGAAAGTTAGCTAAGCTTTCTGTGCAGGGAAGTGACATCTCCAGATTTAAGACTCAGAAAGGCAGGTCCAGAAGCCCTGGACAAATGGATACAGATGAATAAAGGCCAGCCAGGGAGTCAAACTAGGAGGCTATGATGATAATGCCAGTGGAAAATAGTGGCAGCTTATATGAGAGAAGAAATAGAAGTTGAGAGAAGGTACATTTGTGGAGAAGGAGAGAGATAATTCAAGAAAAAATTAGGCTTTAATTTGGAAAACTGGATGAATGGGCATGACATTAACTGAGATAGAGAACACATAGGCAAAGTGCCATGTTTGAGACTCGGGTTTTAGATGGTTGAGTGTAAGGTGTTTGTGATGCCCTCTTGGAGTCTAATATGCAAGTGAACTGCAATTCTGAGGCCTGGTGGAAAGAACTAGGAACAGAGGGAAATTAGCAGCCATGGCTTGTGGTAGTTTGCAAGAGCTGAAAGTGCACATTTCTTCCTAACTCCTCCTTCAGTGCCTTAAGTTGGCTGCTTAAAATCAGCAATTATGTAAATATTTGCAAAACAATTGACAAATGCTTCAAATCAGGGCTTTTCTCAAGAGAGCTAGCTGGTTGTTAAGTATTTCTCTGTCTCCCACTCTATAGGCCTGTCTTCACGCAGGTTTGAAGTTAGAATTTATAATAGTAGCGTGGCCTAGGTGTACCCAGCCTAAGAAATTGACACAACATGTGATCTCAGGATGGTGAAATCCTAGGGTACCCAACAGAAGTAAAGCAGAGCCTGTCTGGAGGGACATACCCTAAACCCAGGCCTCAGAGTTCTCATCAACAGTCACAAACATGAGAAGATAACTACCCATGAGGAAACATCCAAACAGCTTGATTAGATTTCAAGAGCCTCAGTAAATAGATGTTTTGGCTAGAGGCCAAAATATAGAAAGGAAATACATAATTAAAGACAGAAAATAAAACATTAAAAGGTAAAAAATATTGCTCCCAGAAGACCAGGCTGATTTGAAAAATAATTTTTTAAAAGATAGAACACTTCCAGAAATGAAAAGTTTAATATTGAAACGAAAATCTCAGTCACAGGTTAAATAGCAGGCTAAACATGGCTAAGGAGAGAATTTGCAAACTGAAAAATAGATTTGAGGCATTACCCAGAAGGCAGTATGGAGATGAGGTAATAAAAATATGATAAATTATGAGGGATGGAGGATAGAATGAAAAACCTCTACACACATCTAATAGGCATTCCAGGAGGAAAGAATGTACAAAATGTAATCATTTAAAATATAATTGTTGAGAATTTTCTTGACTCAAAGAAAGACATGTATCCAGATTCAGGAAGCATAATGAGTCCTGAGAAGGGTAAGTAGAAATAAATTCAGGCCAGGTGTGGTGGCTCACATCTGTAATCCCAGCACTTTGGGAGGCCAAGATGGGTGGATTACTTGAGGTCAGGAGTTTGAGACTAGCCTGGGCCAACATGGTCAAACCCTGTCTCTACTAAAAACACAAAAATTAACTGGGCGTGATGGCGAGTGCCTGTAATTCCAGCTACTCAGGAGGCTGAGGCAGAAGAATTGCTTAAACCCCGGAGGTGGAGGTTGCAGTGAGCCAAGATCAGGCCACTGCACTCCAGCCTGGATGACAGAGCAAGACTGAAGAAAAAAAAAAAGAGAGAGAGAGAGAAAGAGAAGAAGGAAGGAAGGAAGGAAGGAATTTATACCTAGCTATATCGTAGTGAAAATTTTTAAAAAGATAAAGAAAATACCTTAGTTACACAAATTACATAATTTTGGGCTTTACTTTTCTCATTCCTAAGATAAAATTAAGTGGGATCATATCTAAAGTTACTCATTTAATAGATATCCAAATGATTATCAGGTACAAAGTATGCTACAATGAGAAAGACAGTTTCGGTAAAAGCAGGGCCTTGTGTATCTGCCACACACTTTTCTTTGTACTCGTTCTACACTTTTTCACAACTCCTTGTGTGTCCCTTTTCTTTAGTCAGATCCTTAAATGTTCCAAAGACTCAGTCATGGGCTCATTTTTCTTCTCACCCTGCACATTCTTAGGTGATTTTTTCCTTTTTTTGAGACAGGGCCTCGCTTTGTCACCCCAGCTGAAGTGCAATGGTGCAATCTCAGCTCACTGCAGCCTCAACCTCCTGGGCTCAAGTGATCCTCCCATTTCAGCCTCCTAAGTAGCTGTAACCATAGGCATGCATCTAATTTTCATATTTTTTGTAGAGATGGGGTTTTGCCATGTTGCCCAGGCTGGTCCCGGGCTCAAGCAATCTGCCCACCTTGGCCTCCCAAAGTGCTAGGATTACAGGTGTGAGCCACCGTGTCCAACCTCAAAAATGATCTCATTAACTTCCAAATCTCTATTGCTAGCCCCAAATCTCATCTGACTGCTAAATCAACCAGATACTGCGAACACATCATAAGGTAGAATTCATGATCTCCATCCCACCCTGTCTCCTTTCTACCTTAGCTGCCAACACCAGTCTCTTGCTGTTGCATATGTATCTCTTTGCTGGGGGATATATCCACTCCTTTTCTTCATCTGGAAATATCCAGTTTATCCCTCGAAATATACTTCACATCTCACTTCCTCTGTGAGCCCCTTCAACTCCCCTTTGGTTTCTCTGTTAGTGTTCAGTGCTATCTTCCTTGGTTTTCCAGACAACCTGTAAATATTTTTTTGAAATCTACCTTTTCCAACAGACTACAGGTATGTTAGTAGCAGGAGCTGTGCCCCTATTGTTTTATGTCTTAGCATTGCCTTTGCATTGTGCCTATCCTGAAATAGGTCCACTTTGAATATAATTAAATGAACGAATGGATTAATGAATGAAAGCATCTTATCCAACCAACACAGAGGAAATCAAGAGTGTGGCTTTAGTATTACATCGTCACCTGATGATCACATTTGGTTCTGTTCAGTTGGCTCCTGTTCATGGTCTGGTATTGAGAACAGAGATATTGCTAGGAGCACACTAGCTGTTTTTCATGCTGCCTTTTTTTCAACAGCAGGGTGTTGCCAATCATTGTCATATAAAGCATTCTCAACAGCTCTGCTCCAAATGACCCAATGTGAAACTGTCTGGGCTGTGGGTTGGAATATTAAATGACATTGTGTTTCTGCAGCTAACTGAGCTGCCTGAGTCACAGCTGCAGTAAAAACGTTTTAACAAAATTAAAATCTCCGTGGGGGCAGGGGAAAGCAGAGAATAAAGAAGGTTGGCTAGAATGCTGAGATGAGAGCAGCAGCAAAACAGGAGACATTGGTATTGCCTGATTTCTAGATTTAATTGCAATAGGCAAGTAGATATTTTAGACTGAGAGGTCTGTAATTGTGATTTAAAATAGCCTTAACAGTCTAAAATTTGCTCCCCTTTGAATAAAAAAAAGATAAAAATTTGGGGGAAAATACATACACTAAATAAAAAGAGGCCATGGGGCAAAGAAATAAGAGCTAGCTCTTGTGAGAGCAAATTGAAATAGATCAATTACTTCTTGTCACTTCCTATTTCCAAGCTAATGAATTATGTTTTAAAAGCCTGGCTCTGTGCAGTGCTGAGTTTGACATGAAGAAGGAAATTCCTGATGTGTATCTCACGCAAATGGAAAATGACTGGGATGATAAAGTACTGGTGCTTCTTTAGGGAATCAACATAAATAATTCTTGATACTATAGAAAAACTAGAACTTGAAAAATCTTTCTGATAAATTAGAACCCTGAAGAACACACTGTATTTTATTTTCATTCAAAGGAGTGTTTTCATATGTCACCTTCAGCAAAGGGTAGAAAGAGGGCTCTAAACACCCTAAAACATGATGTAGTTTCTTTAGTTTTCTCCATGTGGAAAGGGAGAAATAGCTTGTTGTCCTACTGTGTTCCAGGCCCTGAGGATACAAAGATGAGTGAGGTTAGATCTCTGCCCTTGAGCAACTCACAGACAAACATAAAAGGATGCAACAGAGCCCAATGTGAGGGCAACAACCAGTATCAAAGATCCCAAAGGCAAGTAGAACAGCCAGGCTCCAGGACGGATTAGGGCCAGGCACTGAAGGTCAGGATTCCTCATGTCTCTCTGGTTCTCTTTTTCTAATTCTTTGCATACCTGAGCTTCTCTCTCTCTTTGCCCATCTCCTTCTCTCTCCCCCCTCTCCTCTACTCCATTCACTTATTCATCCATTCATTCACTTAACCCTCTTCACAGTGCATCTACTTTGGGATAGGCACCATGCAAAGCAATAGGGGAGGTGAGGGGAATATCATTCAGGACATAAGCATGGGTAAAGACTTCATAACTAAAACACCAAAAGCAACTGCTACAAAAGCCAAAATTGACAAATGGGATCTAATTAAACTAAAGAGCTTCTGCACAGGAAAAGAAACCATCATCAGAGTGAACAGGCAACCTACAGAATGGGAAAAAATTTTTGCAATCTATCCATCTGACAAAGGGCTAATATCCAGAATCTACAAGAGAGTTAAACAAATTTACAAGAAAAAAAAACAACCCCATCAGAAAGCGGGCAAAGGATATGAACAGACACTTCTCAAACGAAGACATTTATGCAGCCAACAAATATATGTAAAAAGCTCATCTTCACTGGTCATTACAAAAATGAAAATAAAAAACACAATGAGATACCATCTCATGCCAGTTAGAATGGCAATTATTAAAAAGTCAAGAAACAACAGATGCTGGAGAGGCTGTGGAAAAATAGGAACGCTTTTACACTGTTGGTGGGAGTGTAAATTAGTTCAACCATTGTGGAAGACAGTGTGGCAATTCCTCAAGGATCTAGAACCAGAGTTACTGTTTGACCCAGCATCACATTACTGGGTATATGCCCAAAGAATTATAAATCGTTCTATTATGAAGACACATACACACGTATGTTTATTGCAGCACTATTTACAATAGCAAAGACTTGGAACCAGTCCAAATGCCCATCAATGATAGACTGGATAAAGAAAATGTGGCACACATATACCATGGAATACTAAGCAACTGTAAAAAAGGATGAGTTCATGTCCTTTGCAGGGACATGGATGAAGCTGGAAATCATCATTCTCAGCAAACTAACACAGGAACAGAAAATCAAACACCGCATGTTCTCACTCATAAATGGGAGTTGAACAATGAGAACACATGGACACAGGGAGGGGAACATCACACACTGGGGCCTGTCGGGGGTGGGGGCCAAGGAGATGGAGAGCATTAGGACAAATTCCTAATGCATGCAGGGCTTAAAACCTAGATGATGGGTTGATAGATGTGGCAAACCACCATGTATACCTATGTAACAAACCTGCACATTCTGCACATGTATCCCAGAACTTAAAGTAAAATTTTTTTTTTTTTAAAAAGAGACATTTCCAGGCAAGCTGGCACAGTGGCTCATGCCTATAATCACAGCACTTTGGGAGGCTGAGGCAGGTGGATCACTTGAGTATAGGAACTTGACATCAGCCTAGCCAATATGGTGAAACCCTGTCTCCACTAAAAATACAAAAATTAGCTGGACATGGTGACGTGCTCCTGTAATCCCAGCTACTCGGGAGGCTGAGGCAGGAGAATCACTTGAACCTGGGAGGTGCACGTTGCAGTGAGCTGAGATCGCGCCACTGCATTCCAGCCTGGGCAACAGAGCAAAACTCTGTAAAAAAAAAAAAAAAAAAAAAAGATGTTTCCAGGCAGAGGAACAGCACCTGGGAAGACACAGACTCATGGAAGGTCTGCTGTGTTTTGGCATGAGGGGGCTGGAGTCCTGGAGTCCTGGAGAGGTTGGGAGGAGTGGGAGATGAGAGAGATAAGCAGGGGTAAGCAGATTGGTCGTATTAATTCTGTAGGCTGTGGAGGATGAGTTTATAGGCAAAAAGAGTTACAGCTTTAAAGAAGCTCTCTCTGGCAGCAACCTGGAAGCCAGCCTAGATCCATGACTCTTGACTTTTTCCCACCACGACATCCATGGTGACATCCTCCCATTTTCCTGTGTGTATCTAATATTAGGGCTTTCATCCTAAAGAAAGCATATTGGAATGCAAGAGAGAGCATGACTTCAATCCACTCCCTCCAAGTTATTTTAAACTAAATTCATCACAAACATTTGTACTTTCATTATTACCAAATTATATGCAATGCATCACTTAATTGATTTTGAAAGAGTCACAGTGCTGTGGTGGGGAACTGGGAGAGTAAGCATGGTCATCTGTGCTCCACAGACCCCCTGGGAGTTCACGGGAAGTGTCTTGGGGATTCTGGGGGGAGCTAAAAAGACAGAGCTCTGACCCCACCCTCCACTGCACACACACTTCAACCGGAGCAGCTGCACTTTAATTATTGTAGGTTTTTCACCAAGATTTTGTTGCAATAATGTGTTCCACTGTTTTTTTTTTCAATCTTTTCTAGCAATAGATTAAAAGACAGGAGAGACTGAAGGCAGATAAACCAAATAGGAGATAATTTTAAGAGTCTGGGTGACAAATAATAAAATCAGTTCCACTAAATCTAGTTGAATGGATGAATTATAGCTCATAAACCAATAGGAATCATATGCAAGCTACAGTATAAGGTATTTCCATAATATGTAATAGGAAATGACATCAGTAATTTATTTTGGCATGAGATGAGGGTACAAATGAATAAATAAAATATATTATCACAGTGCTTCTCAAACTTTCATGTGTATAGACATCACACAGGTATCCCGTCAAAAAGTAGATTCTGATTCACAGGGCCTGGAGGGCTGAGAGTCTACTTTTCTAACACGTTCCCAGAAGACTTCGATGTTACAGGTCCATGGACCACACTTTGAGTAGCAAGATATTAGAAACTCCTAAAATAATTTAAAGATTTAAAAGCTATCCCTAGCCCATGAAAGAATGTGGGCTTTGTAATCAGAGGCCTTTGTTTTTAAGGCCAGGATTCATCGTTTACAAGTTCTAGCTGACGTCTCAGCCTGTGTCCTCAGCTATAACTGGATGAGCTCTTGTGTGGATTAAGATAATGCATCTAAAGGGATTAGCACCACACTTAGCTTATAGAAATATTTAGTAAATCTAACTACCAATTTTATAAAAGAGTCATTTACAAATTGCCTGTATCAGAATCCCTGTGGTGCTAGTTTAAAATGCAGATACCTGGACCCATCATTGAGTCTACTGAATCAGAATCTCTGAAGGAGGACTAGCATTTTTAACAAACTCTTGGTACTCTAGAGCTGAAGGAAGGGGCCCTGCTGGAAGCCATGTGCACACATGGCTGGATGTGGTCAGAACCATTTCCAAAGAGACACACTTAGCATGTAGAGCTAAGTGGGAGTATGGTTGGAAGGCTGGGGTGCAGACAGGAAGGGTGCACATTTCCACTGGGCTACAGAGATTTAGAATGACTGCAGTGTTAGAACTGAAGGAGAAATCTATGCTCTGCTTCACCATATTCCTTGTCAGCTAAGAAGCTCATGTCCCAGGACAAAAAAAAAATTGTCATCTTGCACCCCCTTCCTTGCCCAACTTTCTTTTATTTTTTATTTATTTTTTTATTTGTTTGTTTATTTATTTATTTATTTTTGAGATGGGGTCTCATTCTGTCGCCCAGACTGGAGTGCAGTGATGCAATCTTAGCTCACTGCAACCTCCGCCTCCGGAGCTCAAATCAATCCTCCCACCTCAGCCTCCAGATTAGCTGGGACTACAGCTGCGTGCCACCATACCCAGCTAATTTTTGTAGAGACAGGGTTTCACCATGTTGCCTAGGCTGGTCTTGAACTCCTGGGCTAAGGGATCTGCCCATCTCGGTCTCCCAAAGTGTTGGGATTACAAGTGTCAGTGACCCTGCTTGGCCCCCTTACCCCATTTTCACACAAGCTTTCCTGCCAAGATAAGTCAAGAGAAACTGCATTTTTTTTTTTCAAGCTAACTGTAGGCAAAATTGACCCTACTTATCCAAATAGGCCCAAGTTATTTCTGAGGCCTTTGCACTTTTTTTTTTCTCCCTTTATCCCACTTCTTAGCCCTACCCTCTCTTCTAACTCCCTGGCACCTTGTACCACCTCATTTTTCTAAATCCCAACTAAGTGTGTTCTCCCTTATCTACATCTCATGCCTCCCTTCTACCTAGTACAGGATGGAAGGACAGGCAGAAGCAGTTGGTGGGGGGCGGGGGGTGGACATGCTTTAAGGCAAACAGAGCCAAAGTCCCATCTGGAAGGAATTCCACCCCACTCTGTAACACTGTTGAGGAGAACCAAAGCCGGCACTACCTACAGACGAAGGCAGGACTTTACCTAGAAAACAGGCTGAACCCACTCCAACTCATGGTTCCATGATGAGTGAGATCCCCAGAGTTCCAGAGGATAACTTAGAAAACTTTGGCCTAGAAAAAGGCAGATGTTACGAGTTGTCTACCACAGCCATAGAAAAATCTCAAAAGTGGTCTGAAAGAAGATCTGTCTTCAGCAGTTGAACTTTGTGAACCTACCAGGGCCCCATATTCATTTTTTAAAAATCCTTTGCACCTATTCATATTAGGCAGTCAGTCCACAAATTATTTACTGAATATTTATCATGTGGCATCATCCTAGATTCTGAGAATACTAGTATGTAGATTGCATTACGTTTTTAAAAATAAGCTAACTTTAAGTGATTCTATAATCATATGCTATGAGGAAGAGAATATTTGGATAACCTGGCTGGGCATGGGTGGGGGTGGTTAGGAGAGCCCTGTCTCTGAAGGCAGCATTTGAGTTGGGACCTACCTAAGAGGAAGGTGGTAGCCATGTGAACTTCCAGGGGAAGGGCATTCCAAGCAGAAAGAAAACAATTGCAAAGACCTTGAAATGGGAAGAAGCTTGGCAAGTTTCAGGGACAGAATGAAGGCATCCAATACGTGTTTGTATTGAATGTGTGTATATTGAGTATCTCATAACACACATGACTGGGAGCGAGCCTCGGCAGAACTTGAACCATGGCATTAGTGCATTATCAATTACTTTCTTTTAATTCCGTGAGTATTTAGAATTGTCTCTTCCCCTCTCCCTCCCCCCACCCACCACACCCCAGTGGTAGGCACTGGACTAAATGTAGAAGATAAGAGATGCATCCTAAAGTGCCTGCCTTGAGCAGCTCCTAACTGGTGGTGGAGACAGATCCCTAAGGACACAGTTAAGGCAACTTTTTAAGTGAGTGACGGCCCTGGAGTGGGGATGTCACCAGGGCCTGTGGAAGCTTTCTTTCATTAGAGGAAGAAAGGCTAACTCCTCCAGGAGAAGGACAGAGAGCTTTTACATAAGAGGTGACCTTTGAGTTGAGCCTTTTAAGATGAATAGGATTTAACAAGATTAATTGTTCCTGGCAATACCTCAGACTAGATATTCTGAAAAATTCTCCAGCTACAAAACACCAAAACTGCTGAATTAAATACAATAAATAGTCTTTGAAAACCAGGAATGTAGCATCTGCCAATACTAGGAACCCAGAACCCTGGAGAGAGGCTGCGATGGGGGTAAGCAAAGACAGGGCACAAGAGACAGAACCCAGGGCATACACAGGTGGGGAGTAGGAAGTGGGACTGCCCACATAAAGCCAGAGCCTTGAAGGGCCACAGCCTCCTCACAAAGGTAGGAGAGGAAAAAGTATCTGTGCCTTAGCGAAGGCAAAGCACATAAAAATGTATCTTGTTCATCTCAGCCTAGGTGCTAGGGAAGAAAAAGAGAAAACAGAAATGTCTCCTGAGAGAATTAGTAATGACAGCCAGCCCAACTGTCACCCAGACTGGGGTTTGACTACACCAGTAACTCCATTTACATCCCAAAATTCCCAATGGCTCAAGAATGTACAGCACCATGTACTTGAGGAAGATGGGGCAAAGGATAGGCCAACATCAGGAGGTTTGTTAACGATGCACTTTGTTAGGTCCACCCTTAAGGTTTGTGGATTTCTCAGTATGTAAGTTATATCTCAATAAAACCTGTTTTCAAAGGAGGAGAAGAGGTTCAAGTGTGGGAGTAGGGGGAGAGGAGTAAAAGAAGAAGTAGAGGTTGTTAAATGTCCAGTTCTACACTCCAGTTTATGTGTCTGTACAACTTCCCTGTTATGGACTGAATGTTTATGTTCCCCCAAAATTCATATGTTAAAATCTTAACACCAATATGATAGTATTACAAGGTAGGGCTTTTGAGGGGATGATTAGGTCATGAGGGTGGAGCCCTCATGAATAGGATTAGTGCCCTTAAAAGGGATCCCAGAGAGCTCTCTCACTCTTTCTGCCATGTGCGGATGCAGTGAAAAGACAATATTCTGCAACCCAGAAGAAAGCCCTCACCACAGCCAATTTATACTGGCACCCAGAACTGTGAGATATACATTTCAATTGTTCATAAGCCACCCAGTCTATACTACTTGGTAGCAGCAGCCAGAACTGACTAAGATGCTCCTCTCGATGGGAGGTTTCTTCTCTGGAGAAGGTAAAAGAGTCTCTGCACTGGGGGATATCAGGAAGAGTTGAGGGCACAAATACGGTAAGCAGAAGAATAGGTGAACGTGTGCAAGCAGGATACTGTGCTTTCCATAGCTTCTTTCCTTCCACTTGGTTTTCAGAACCTACAAGCTGTGATCAAAAGATAATGACACTGAAGACCCCCTAATAAAATGGCCCAGCCAGACCACCCTTGATGCCTTTCAAACCATCCTCACACCATTCAGATGTCCCCTAGTTATTTTCAGAAATAATTTGAGACTTTACCTATGCATCATTTTTAAGATATTGGATTTGGGGTCATAAGTAAACATTTTTTCTCTATAAACTTCAGCTGAAAAATGTATTGAGAGGCTGCATTCTGTGAAGTTGGGAGTATTGAAAGCCAAGGGGTCTTCTAGCAGGAAAATATCACCAGAGGAATGCTCTGCCAGTCCCCTCATGCCCTGGAAATCCTTCCTCCAACTACACCATCCTAGAGCTGAGTGTCGGGCGAGCCTCAGCAAGAGGGGAGGCTTACGGCCAAGCTTGTTCCTGGGAATTTCCACCATCCAAAATAAAGGCTACCTCCATGGAGGAGAGGGGATACTTAGTGAGAAATTTATCAGTCATTAAAAACAGATGCTGAAAAGATGTTTTTCCCCCTCTTGTCTGATTGGTGAGTTAGAATTTGATGATTCAAGTGGTTCCAGAAAATCAGATCCATGACTTCGGTTTGTACTGTCCTTTGTCTCAGCTACTGGGTTCTATCTTTATGGCTGCATTTAGCAGCATTACAAAGCCACCTGGGGTCAATTATAGCATAAATTTCACTAGATGTGTCCTATTTTAGAGCCTGCACCATTAGGAGAAATTCTGCCAAGAAATTCGACTTCAGTTTTAAGTGAATTAATATAACCCTGTCACATGTAATTTATTAACCACTGTTATCTTCAGATTGGAAGTTCGCCAAGAAAATAAAGTCCGACGTGCATCTCTCTATATCCATTCTTCCAAGGGTGGAAGTGATTATATAACTGAATGGATGCCTGATTTGCTAATTGATACTTAGCTATTTCAAAGGGCTTAAATAGTTATTTTTAAAGTCTTTTTAAATTTGAGACTAAAATGTCTCTTATTGTTTTCCTTAAAGTCTCTCTTTAAAATTATGAAACATTAACTTCGTAATTTAATAAATGCCTGATGATGATCATGATTTATTGGAAAATGAAGACTTTTTTAACAGCAGGATTAAAAATTGTTATATAACTTAAATGATTATATGCTGGGGATATGGTTTGGATCTGTGTCTCCAGCCAGATCTTCCTCACTGCAACCTCCACCTCCCAGGTTCAAGTGAATCTCATGCCTTAGCCTCCTGAGTAGCTGGGACTACAGGTACCTGCCACCAGGCCCAGCTAATTTTTGAATTTTTTGTAGAGACAGGGTTTCACCATGTTGGCCAGGCTGGTCTTGAAGTCCCGGCCTCAGGTGATCCACCCGCCTCGGCCTCCCACAAGTGCTAGGATTACAGGTGTGAGCCACCACACCCGGCCTAAACCTCTTTTCTTCATAAATTACCCAGTCTCAGATATTTCTTTATAGCAATGCAAGAATGGACTGATACAGCTGGTCAGAGTCTGAGTTTAAGCAAGACTTAGACAATTGATAAAAATCAGATATGTTGGAGTGTAGTTGCAGTTTCTCTAAAAAGGCAATATATTAGTCAGAACAGGCTAATTGCTTTAACAAATAGCCCTGAACTGTCAATGGTTTGAGATAGTGGAAGTTTATTTCTCACTCATGTGAAGTCTAGTGTGGATGTTTCTGAGCAGTTCATTGAACAGTTCATCTCCAGGAAGGGACTCAAAAATTTAGTCCCCTACCACTTGCAGCTCCATCATCTTCCCTGTGGGGCTGCCAAGCTCTGAGGGAGTGGACGAGTTAGGGAGGAGAAGACCTCATAATTGCTTGCCTAGGTCACACGTCGCTTCTGCTCAAATTCCTTTGCTAAGAACGAGTCACCATCTCAGTGACTCCAGGTGTGCTGGAACCTGCTGGTCCCAGCTTCATAGAGTCACTTTTATGCATTTCCTCCCAATTCTACTATAGTGATACCATATTGGTGGTTTGAAATTGGCCTTTGTGTGAATATTCACACCATGCAATAGTAGGCAAATGCTACAGATGAGGCCTTTGTTCATCTAGAGAGCCAGGTGTTAAGCATTTACCAATATGCCAGAGTCACAGGGTGCCACCTAGGTGCAAGAGGCCTGGGAAAGGGATTTAGCTGTGTGTTTAAGAGGAAGGAATGTATTTGGTGAGTATCTAGTCTCTCTCTATCTCATGAAGCAAATAAGGGAAACAGATAAGGAAAATGAATGAGGATAAATCATTCCATTTGACTTTGGAAATGGTCTCCTTATGTGGTTCTTTGCAAAGGAACATTGCATAGTTTTGGTTATCATGTCTCTATGCCATTTATATTATTTAAAGTCAGGGAAATTGTTTATGAATTGGCTAACTAAAATTATATTGTGTTCGATAAGTAAGATGCCATCTTGTCCACGGGCTTTTCTTCAAAGAGAGTTCTACTCTCTTTTATTTGCAGTTTCTGGTCTTCTCTTCCTCAGTCAAAATATTACATCCCTAATGCACTCCCTTAAAATGTTTATGGACATTTCCTTCTGATCTTTTAAATGAGTTGAAACATATGAAATCACAGTTTTTATAGGTAATAAATGTTCAAATATCAGCAACTTCATATGGCTCAACCATATATTTTTTTAAGTCCCATTAGGGAATTACTTTCATATTTTGTCTTATTCGGTAAAGTTTTTTGGATCACTTCATGGGGCCACTTATTAGCAATATACATGATCAGAAATTAAAGATTTGTTCTCGTTCTCTCACAGTTCAAACCTCTCTAACTTCTTGAAACTTCCAAATGGATTATCTCCCCAGTCTCACAAAAATCCCTGCAATGATGAAATTGATCTTTTTAAGAGAAAGATCATGTTTTTGCTGTGAAGGCTTCTGGCTATGTGAAGAACTGTTTTCTCCTTGAGTCCATGAGGCTGCTTTTCTGTGGCCCTCCCTACCTTTGCCACCATGACAAAGGGAACTTGGAGAATTCTTGGGAACTGTATTGGGACTTTTTGCAAAGCAGTAAGTGATATGTAAAAAGCCGTATTCACTGTGTGGTGGGCTGCAAGTTGTGAGTTATGAGTCAGGTGTACCAAAGGGGCACAGAACCCTGCTGGGCAGTCCAAAAGAGCTTGTGCTGTTCTCTTTCCCATTCCATGCTTCTCCTCCTCTCTGTGCTCCCTCTGGTTTCAGGCCATGTTCTCTAGGGTTTTGTGATATGTGGTAATCCTATCCCCAAGATGATGGGGAGTATTATGCTTATCCTACCCCTTCCCAGAGACAGAGCATGAGAAAATGGCAAAATCGTTCTATTTGCTTCCCCAGGATGATAGTCCTGGGGTCAGAATGGAGGTAAGGTGGGTTACCCTTGGATGGTGTCAAACTCTTTTAAAAGGGGCAACCCTTTTAAAGTTTGCTGAAGTGCGTAGTCAGAAAGGATTGGATGTTTTCAAGGCCCCACAGCTAATTATAACTGATGACTCCTGGCTAAGGACAGGGGAATAACTTGAACCCAGGTTCAAGGGCTTCTAACTTCAAGTCTAAGATGCGTTCTCTGACCTGACTTTGCCTCTTCCAGTGTAGACATTTAGGCAGAGTGTTAATTTCTATTAGCCACTGTTTGATATTACATTTAGTTTTAGTTTTTTTTTTTTTTTGAGACAGAGTTTCGCTCTTGTTGCCCAGGCTGGAGTGCAGTGGTGTCATCTCAGCTCACTGCAACCTCCATCTTCTGGTTTCAAGCAATTCTCCTGCCTCAGCCTCCCAAGTAGCTCAGATTATAGGTGCCCGCCACCACACTCAGCTAATTTTTGTATTTTTAGTATAGACGGGGTTTCGCCATGTTGGCTAGGCTGGTCTTGAACTCCTGACCTCATGATCCTCCTGCCTTGGCCTCCCAAAGTGTTGGGATTACAGGTGTGAGACACTGCGCCAGGCCTACATTTAGTTCCTATCATTCTCCAACACACATCCAGGCAAAACACATTTGAGAGGCATTACTTCACGGTATCCATGCATTCTTGGTGATTTGTTATTTTTTGTGACTGTTTTCAGTTCTAATAATGTAATGCAAATTATCTGTATCAGAAGTTGTGTTAGTAATTCTAAGGTTTCCCTTTATTTTATCGTGATTTATTTTCTTCATAATAATTTAATTATCTCAGGAAAGATACACGTTATTCCCTGACTTTGGGATTATTACAAAGATGTCTTCACCATTTTTTAAATCACACAAACATGAGCGTTCATTGACCTCTCTGAAACTTCTGACAAACTTTGAATCTGTGACCAAAACCTCACACCATGGTAGACTTTTTATCTGTTTCTCTTTGTAATGTGCCTGTGTTTGTTTTATTTATTTTGAGGGTCTTCATCTCTTCACGATGACTTGACTTAATGTCATTTTGAAATGACTCGATCTCTAATTTTTTTTTCTGATAATAATGTAGCTACTAAATAATTCTTTTGATTAATATTTTTCATCCTTTTACCTTTAATTTTTTAATATTTTTATATTTTGGATGTGTCTCTTGCAAATAACTAATTTTTTTACCCACTCAATTCTTCTTTGTCTTTTAATTGGAGCATTTTGTCTATCTGTAAATATATGATTATTGATATACCTGGATTTAAACCTATCATCTTATTTTTTGCTCAACCTGTTATTTTTGTTTTCTTGACTTCCTTTGAATTCATTATTTTATCATTCAATCTCTTGGCCCTCTAGCAATAGTTTAAAAGTATATACTGTATCTCTCTTTTCTTTCGTTATTTTGTTTATTTATTTTGCTTCTCAGATTCTTTAGTGAAACTCAGACGGTCTATCTGAGACCTTTTTCCTTCTATCTGAAGTATATCCCTTAGAATTTCTTTTGGTGATAAAATGCTGGTGATGAGCTCTATTTTTGTTTTAATATCTTTTCTTGGCTTCCATTCATTTTTTATTTTTTCAGAGGCAAGATCTCACTCTTTCACCCAGGTTGACATGCAGTGGCATGATCATAGCTCACTGCAGCCCCAAAATCCTAGGCTCAAGTGATCCTCCTGCCTCTGCCTCCCCAGTAGCTGGGACTACGGGCATGTGCCACCATGCCCAGCTAATTTTTTAACAATTTTTTTGTAGACTATCTTGCCAAGTCTGGTCTCGAACTCCTGGCCCCAAGCGATCCTCCTGCTTCAGCCTCCCAAAGTGCTGGGATTACTGGTGTGAGCCACCATGCCTGGCCAGCTCTCATTCATGGAAGATATTTTCATTGAAGATATAATTCATCGGAATTCTAGGTTAGCAGTTGTGATGATCTTTTGATATGTCGAACCGGCTAGTGTACAGACTCCAGTTATTCAATCAAACACCAGGGGTTGCCATGAAGGGGTTTTGTAGATGTGATTAAAGTCCATAATCAGTTGACTTTAAGTAGGGAAGATTATTCTAGATAATCTGCATGGGCATGATTAATAAGTTAAAAGACATTAAGAGCAGAGTTGAGGCTTCCCAGAATAAAGTAGAAATTCTGCCTGTGGATTGTCTCTTCAACTTGTACCCGAGAGTTCCAGCCTGTCCTTCTCACAATTGTGTAAGCTAATTCCCACAACAAGTCTCTTAATATATATCTCCTTCTGGTTCTGCTTCTCTGGTTGAATGCTGACTGATACAGCAGTTATTTTCTTGCAGCTTATTTAAGACATTATGGCATTGTCATCTGCCTTCCATTATTTCTTTTTTTTTCTTTCTTTGAGACAGGGTCTTGCTCTGTTGCCCTGGCTGGAGTGCAGCGGCATGATCTCGGCTCACTGCAACCTCCACCTCCTGGGTTCAAGCAATTCTCCCACCTCAGCCTCCCAAGTAGCTGGGATTACAGACATGAGCCACTGTGCCTGGCCTGCCTTCCATTATTTCTGTTGAGAACTCACTTGTCTGTCTAAATGCTTCTACTTTGAAGACATTCTCTCTTTTACTTCCCCTCTGGCTACTTTTAAGACTGTCTTTGTTTTTGTTTCCTCTATGATGTATTCAGGTGTGAAAATCACAAGCAGCATAAATAAAAATATATTCTGAGCCTTTGGAATCTGTCAATTAGGTATCTCATATTTTTCTAAGAAATGTTCTGCTATTATCTCTTCAGATATTCTCTCTGCCCCATTCTCTCTCTCATCTCCTTCTGGGATTCCAATCACAAATAGTTAAGACTTTATCTTGATACTTCTCTGCTGTACTTTTTTTTCTTTTTTTTTTTTTTCTTTGAGACAGAGTCTCACTCTATTGCCCAGGCTGGAATGCAATGGTGGCCTCCCGGGTTCAAGTGATTCCCGTGCCTCAGCCTCCTGAGTAGCTGGGATTACAGATGTGCCCCACCACGTCCTGCTAATTTTTGTATTTTTAGTAGAGACGGGGTTTCACCATGCTGGCCAGGCTGGTCTCAATTTCTTTACCTCAGGTGATCCGCCCGCCTCGGCCTCCCAAAGTGTTGGGATTACAGGCATGAGCCATCACTCCCTGTGCTGTATTTTCTATGTTCTCTGTTACACACTCTGAGTGATTTCTTTTGCCCTATCTTCTAGCTCACTAATTTTCTACTACCAAACATGTCTTTTGAGTTTTTATTTTGGTTGTTGGTGTGTGTGTGTGTGTGTGAGTGTGTGTGTCTGTGTGTGTTTTAAGAGACAGGGTCTTTCTCCGTCATTCAGGCTGGAGTATAGCTGTGCGATCATAGCTCACTGCAGCCTTGAACTCTCTGGTCTCAAGCAATCTTCTCACCTCAGGCTCCCAAGTAGCTGGGACTACAGGCACATACCACCATGCCAGCTTTTTTTTTTTTTTTTGTAAAAATGGGTCTTGCTATGTTGTCCAGGCTGGTCTTGAACTTCTGATCTCAAACAATCCTCCTGTCTCAGCCTCCCAAAGCATGAACCAGCATGCTTGGCTTATTTCTAGAATTTCTATGTTGCTTTTTCTTAAATCTGCTGTATTTAAGATTTCTTACAGAAATCTTATTTAATGGTTTCTTACAGGGATTTTCTGTATTTAATGGTTTCTTACAGAGATTTTCAAACTTATCATTTATATAATTTGTGCCTGCTAATTTGAATAGCTGAAATTTGGGTAGTCTCTTTTGTTCTACCAATTTTCATTCATGTTGCCTTGCTTTCTTGTGTGTCTAGTATTTTTTGCTTGCTGGTCATTGCCCTTAAGAAAAATTTGTGGGTTCCCTGGTGCCTAGGATAAATTATTCCTGTTTCATAGAGGTTTTGCCTTTGTTTCTGCCAAGTGCAAGGGCACACTGGTTGTGGATGGTCTCAACTTGAGATTCTCTGTTCACCCAGGCTATGTTTGTCTAGAGTACAAATACTTATGAGGACCAATCTATGCCCATAACTTCTTAGGGATTTGATTCTTTCTTTTCCTTTCTTTTTCTTTTTCTTTCTTTCTTTTTCTTTCTTCTTTCTCTTTCTTCCTTTTCTATTTCTTCTTTCTTCTTTCTTTCTCTTTCTCTCTTCCCTTTCTTTTCTTCTCTTTTTTTCTTTCTCTCTTTTTTCTCTTTTGTTTGTTTTTCCCTGTTCCATTACTACTGGGAAGTAGGAGGAGTTTAGTTCTGTTTATAATTTATTTTATTATGTAGTGTTTTGGGGTTCATTTGACATAGAAAATGTTATCCCCAAGTTTCCTCTTCTTGAGTGGCCCTGGGCCTTGACTCTGTCCTTTTGGCCACATGAGGCTGGGGAACTCAAGACTAAGTGATCAGTGTCAGTAAGCCCCCTTAGAAGGGTTTTGTTGCTCAGATACTTTTTTTCTTTGGCTTCCAGGTTCAGGCTTTTCCCACCAAAATGTGGCATGACATGTGGTAATCCTTCCTTGTCTTTTCTTTTTCTTTTTTCTTTTTTTCTTTTTTTTTTTTTTTTGACAGGGTCTCGCTCTGTTGCCCAGGCTGGAGTGCAGTGGCACAATCACAGCTCACTGTAGCCTCGACCTCCAAGGCTCAAGTGATCCTCCCACCTCAGTCTCCCAAGTACCTGAGACTCTAGGTGCCCACCACCATGGTCAGCTAATTTTTGGATGTTTTGTGGAGGCAAGAATCTCACTATGTTTCCCAGGCTCGACTCCTGGGCTCAAGTGATCCTCCTGCCTTGGCCTCCCAAAGTGCTGGGATTACAGGCATAAGCCACCATGCCCAGACCTTCCTTGCTTTTAACGTGACTTTAAATATATTTTATTCAGTGTTTTAAATATATTTTATTCAGTGTTTTTCATTGTGGAGAAAGATTGATTCTTAATACTTTCCACTAATGTGAACTGAATTCTTGTTTGTATAGAATGTCACAACACATAAACTCTCTTTCTACTTCCTTTTAGCAATCTGGTTAGCTAGCCCAGTAGTGGAGAATCTCAGACCCACATGCTAGATCTGGACTTCATCATTTTGTCCAATAGCCAATGCATTTTCTAAAATTGGCTCCCAGGTGCCCAAACTTCCACCATTAAAATGAACAAATTCAATTATGAGCGCATCTGCAAGCATGCAGTGGCAGGAATATACCATGCAGGGCAGGGTTTCTCTGGGAGCTTCATTCTGAGATGGTTCAGAACTTACAGAGGTAGATGAAGCGGGTGGGGGACAGAAATAGAACCTGGGCTGAGAGTCAGTTCCCAGCAGGTGATTTTGCTGGTGATAGAGGCAGTTAGAGGGGGCCCTAAATATCCAGGAATTAGATCACGTTAGCTAACTTTAGCTGGTATTGGGGATATTGGTTTCAGTTCAAGCTAGGCTGAACAAGCAGAGGACTTAAGCTTTCTTACACAGAGAATAAGACTTCTTAGAGAGGAGGAATAAGACGCGGTGGGAAAGAGCATGTGGGCATGGTTAAGAGAGCAAAGGATGGGCCTGCAAGTGATACTTGCTAGTGGCAGGGGTGGAGTACTGGGGGAGTATTTTGTAGTGTTTTCAGGAGCCGAGGATCTGGGCTGGAGACTGAGGGTTTGGGTAGGCCAGAACACTTCACCTATATTTCTCTTCTGGCCACTATTCTCATCTGTCAATAGCTTTTCCTGTCATTTCTGTTACCTACCCGCATATGCCTCTTTCTCTGTGGATATAGAAGGGGTGAGTTTTGGTGATGAACCTTAATAATTAGTGTACTCTAGTATCATGCTTCTTACAGTATATGAAAAGTTCTGCTGAGACATAGAGAAAGCCATAGGATAATGGAAAATTCTCCATGAGTTTCGCTTTTGTTTGGAAATTTTGGAAAACAACATTTTTTCTTCATTCAGAGAAACCATGGACTTTACTGCCCTTTACTAGCCACTTTCTTTTCTTTTCACTCCATATACCTTTCCAGGGAGACCATATCACCACCAGGGCTTCAAGTACCAAATATATGCAGTTACCTCCCTAGCCTACATTTGCAGCCTTGATATATTTCGTGGGTCTAGGCTCTTACATACAATGTACACCTTAAGCTTGGCATCCCCGAAGCTCAGCGGAATATCTTCTTCCCAAAGCACTCATGTTCTTTCCTGCATTCATTCATTCATTAGTTCACTCATTAAATAGCTATTGGGCTCCAGGTACTTCACTAGGCACCATAAAAGAATCATGAGCAAGAATCACATGGTTCCTGCCTTGACAAAGCGTATTATGGTCTAATGAAGTACATGCATGAGGAAAGAACATTTCCAGAATAGAAGAATAGGAGCTCGTGAGTTCCCAGGCTGAAAAGGCCTGTTGAGGGCCTGGAGCAGCATATTTCTATTTATTTGTAATAGTTTTTAGTTTTTAAAATAGTTTTAGGTTCACAGCAAAACTGAGTGGAAGGTACAGAGATTTCCCATACATCCTCTGCCCCACACAGGAATAGCCTCCCCCATTATCAACATCCCCCACCAGAGTGGGGGATGTTGCAATTCACGAACATACATTGGCAGATCATTATCACCCAAAGTCCACAGTTGACATTAGGGTTCACTCTTGGTGTTGCATAGTCTATAGGTTTGGATAAATGCATAACGACATGTGTACACCATCATGGTATCATACAGAGTATTTTTACTGTCCTAATAATCCTCTGTCTTCCGCCTATTCATCCTTCCCTATCCCTAACTCCTAGGAGCAATTGAGATTTTTGCTGTCTCCATATTTTTTGTTTTTTTTTTTTTTCCAGAATATCATATAGTTTAACTCACGCAGTATGTAGCTGTTTCAGATTAATTTTTTCTTTCAGTAATATGCCTTTAATTTTTCTGTTTATCTTTTCACACTTGACAGCCCATTTCTTTTTAGCACTGAATAATATTTCATTATCTGGGCATATTTGTTCATTCACCTACAGAAGGACATCTTGGTTGCTTCCAAGTTTTGGCAATTATGAATAAAGCTGCTATAAGCATCCAAGTGCAGGTTTTTGTGTGTAGATACGTTTTCAACACATTTCAGTAAATATTGAAAAGCCCAATTGCTGGATCATATGGTAAGAGTATGTTTAGCTTTGTAAGTGGCTACCAAACTGTCTTCCAAAATGGCTGTAGCATTTTTCATTCCCAACAGCAATGAATGAAAGTTCCTGTTACTCCACACCTTTGTCAGCATTTGATGTTGTCAGTGTTCTGCATCTTGGCCCTTCTCATGTGTGTAGCGGTATCTCATTGTTTTAATTTGCATTTCCCTGGTGACATATGATATGGGATGTATATTCATATACTTATTTGACACCTGCGTATCTTCTTTTGTGAGGTATCTGTTAAGGTCTTTGTCCCATTTTTTAATTGGGTTATTTCCCTATCATTATTACTATTATTATTGTTGTTGTTGTTGTTTTCCCATCTTTCATTTTACAGAGGGTACATGTGCAGGGTTGTTACATGGTTAAATTACAGGTCAGGAGGTTTGGTGTACAGACTACTCTCCTCCCACCCTCCACTCTCAAGTAGAACTAGTATCCGTTGTTCCCTTCTTTGTGTCCATGTGTACTCAATGTTTAGTCCTCACTTATACAAGAGAACATGTAGCATTTGGTTTTCTGTTTCTGTGTTAATTTGCTTAGGATAATGGCCTCCAGCTGCATTTACATTGCTGCAAAGGACATGATTTCATTCTCCTTTATGGCTGCATAGTATTCCACTGTGTATATATACCACATTTTCTTTATCTAGTCATCTGTTCATGGACACTTAGGTTGATTCCATGTCTTTGCTTTTGTGAATAGTCCCATGATGAACATAGATCTGCATGTATCTTTATGGTAGAACGCTTTATATTCCTTTGGGTACATACCTCACAATGGGATTGCTGGGTCGAATGGTAGTTCTGTTTTACATTCTTTGAGAAATCTCTAAAATGCTTTCCACAGTGACTGAACTAGTTTCCATTCCCACCAGCAGTGTGTGTTCCCTTTTCTCCACAACCTTACCAGCATCTGTTAATTTTTGACTTTTTATAATAGCCATTCTGACTGGTGGGAGGTGGTATCTCATTGTGGTTTTGATTTGCATTTCCCTAATGATTAGTGATGTTAAGCATTTTTTTCATATGTTTGTTGGCTGTGTGTATGTCTTCTTTTGAGAAGTGTCTGTTCATGTCCTTTGCCCGTTTATTAAATGGGATTATTTTTGTTTAATAATTTATTTAAGTTCCTTATAGATTCTGGATATTAGACCATTTTCAGATGCATAGTTTGAAAATATTTTCTCCCATTCTGTAGGTTGTCTCTTTACTCTGCTGATAGTTTCTTTTACTGGGCAGAAACTCTTTAGTTTAACTAGGTCTCACGTGTCAATTTTTGTTTTTGTTGCAATTACTTTTACAGTCTTTGTCATGAAATCTTTGCCAGGGCTCATATCCAGAATGGTATTTCCAGAACAGCACATTTTAAAAAAGACCTTAACAACAACAACAAATGTGTGTGTGTGTGTGTGTGTGTGCGTGTGTAAAATGATGAAATATCAAAACACTTGAGACACACACACAAAAATCCTTTTCATTTCCCCAGAAAGAGTGGGCAAAGAGCCGCATTCAAAGCAACAGTAATAGAATGACAAAAAGACTTTCAGTACCAACCTAAAATATTTGAAGACCATGGGGTAATACCCTCAACATTCTGAGGAGCTATTATTTTTGGGAGAGAATACTGTATCCTCTGAACCGTCACTTATATGAATTATGTATGAGTCAGGTTCTCCACAGAAACAGAACCAACAGGATGCATGTATAAATATCTATGAGATTTAAGGAACTGTCTCACACAATTAAGGAGGCCAGCATGTCCAAAATCTGCAGGGTTGGCCTGTAGACTGGAGACCCAGGGAAGAGCTAATGCTGCAGTTCAGGTGTGAAAGGCATCCACTGACCGAATTCCCTTTTGCTCAGGGCAGGCCAGTCTTGTTCTATCCAGGCCTTGAAATGATTGGATGAGGTCCACCCACACTATGAAGGGCAACCTGCTTTGCTCAAAATTCATCTATGTAAATGTTAATCTCATCCCAACATCCTCGCAGAAATATTCAGAATAATTTTTGACACATATCTGGGCTCTGCGGCCCAGCCAAGTTGCCACATAAAATTAACCATCACAATGGTTAATATTTTTAAACTTTCAAGGAAGTTTAAAATATAATATTTATATACATTTTATATATTTATAAATTTATATTGTAGTTATAATAAATTTATTATATTATAAATCTGTTATATAATATATATTTATATTATAAATATGTTATATATAATTTATATTATAAATATATACTTATAAATTTATTGTAACTATCATATATCATATTTTATGTATTTATATTATATATAAATAAAACATTGTATATTATATAGTACATGAATATATATTTTATTTATATATTTTTATTATATATAAATATATCCTCTGAACTATCAATTATGAAGTGTGTATTAGTCAGGTAATATATTTATATTATAATAAACATATTTATTATAATATAATAAGTAAATATAAAAAAATTATTACCTGACTAATACACTCATACATAATTGTGTATTTAATATTTTAATATAAGTATAAATCATTATATATTTGCTATATTTAATATATAAATATATATTTACTATATTATTTAATATATTAATTATATATTAATTACATATTAATATATAATAAATATATAACATATTAATATATAAATATATGTTATATTAATTATAATTAATATATAACAAATTTGTATATATTTATACATTTATATTTATAATAAATATATAATATTTATGTATAATTTAAAAATATAATGTAATCTTAAACTTTCAAGGAAGGCTTCAAAAGTTTACCTCTCATGCATCCTTTCCTATGAGCCACTTAGGAAGCTTCAGCAAAACAAGGGAGTAAACCAATAAAGAAAAAACACAGATCCAGGGAAAGGTTCTAACACAGGTAAGTTTCAGGACAACATCTACCTAGCAGGCCTAGGAAACCACCCAGGAAGATGGAAGTAGCAGTCGGCCCCAGAGTGGGGAGGAAAGGCAGGGAGGACGGTCCCATGCTTTCTTGGTCTTCTCTGGGAGTCTTTAGGGGACGGTGTTAAAGCACAGGCTCTGGAGCCGGACTTCCTGGATTTCAATCCTGGCTTCACGATTTTGTAGCTAGGTGATACTGGGCAAGTGACTCAACCTCCCCGTGGTTCAGTTTCTTCACGTGTAAAATGAGGGAACTCATTTTTTAGACTATGTGTTGCTTGGAGGTATGGTGGCTCCATGATAGTTAGGATGAACTATGTTATGTTGTATTCAGCAACGACCCCCAAAACTCAGGGGCTTAAAACCACAAAGATATTTTCCTTTCTCCTTCTATATGTCCCTGTGGTTGGATGGAGGGCTTCACGTTTTTTCACTCAAGCGAGCACGCTGAGGGAAAGCACGCTGAGGGAGGCTCCACCACCTGGAATGACAGTGTTTGCGGAGGGAAGGAAAGGTCAGGAGTCACATACCAGCCCCTGAAGCCTTCTGCCTAGAAATGACATGTCATTTCTGCTCACGTTCCATTGGCTGAAGGAAGAGAATGGCCAGGGATGTTAAATCCTACCTCACGCTCAGGCGGAAGAGAACCAGAGTCTTGGTGGATGGACACTCTAACCACAGACCGGTAATCCCTCCCACCACAAAGAAGGGACCATGGCTCTAAAGAAGTGGAGTGGAGCCACTTGGAGGGAGGAACAAATGGATTCTAGAGGCGGGAGTAAGGAAAAGGACAGCAGAGGGGAAGAGAGCAATGAGTCTAGGGACAGCGTGTTTTGGATTTGAGAGGGAACAGAGCAATGAGAGAGTTCCTGTGAGGAGTGGGAACATGAGAGTGTGAGAGAGGTCTGAGTGGATTTGTGGGAACTCTTGTTAGGTATTGTGGCCCATAAACCTCTGTGATGGCTCCTTAAGAAACATTAACAGACTTTTGTCACTTTTCAATGCTTTTTAGAATCAGTTTTATGTTTTTTCCAGATGGAACGCCAGGCTAAGACAAGCCTCAAGGTAGCCTATACACGTGAGTTACCATGAGGACCCAAGAAACTTGCCAAACACTTGGCACTTGAAGCCGGCTTCCCTGGACTCAGTCCCCAGAGCCTCTTCCCCCTTCACCTCCTCTGCTGACAGGGGTTCTTTGGTAGGAGGTGGAGAAGTTCAAATAACACATATTTTTATATTTAAGTATTTTTAGTTTATCTAATCCTATTTAATTATATCTTCAGATATTTATAGCTCATTTAGCAAACTCCTAATAGTCAACTTATTCTTCAAATATAGTCTTTTCAAAGTATTTTTATGGGAATTAGGTTCTGGTTTCATTTTTTGAAAAAATATTTTTTAAATAAACATTTCATTTGGGAATAATTTAGACTTACAGAATAATTGCAAAGATAGTTCCCATAGTTCAGAGAGTTCCCATATACCCTATATTCACTTTCCCCTAATGTTAACATCTTACATGAATTAGTATTCTATGTTTGTCTCAACTAATGAACCAACGTTGATATACTTTTATCAACTAAATTTCACAGTTGATTCAGATTTCCTTAATTTTTATCTAATGTTCTTTTTCTGTTCCAGGATCACGCCCAAGACACTGCATTACATTTACTTGTCATATATCCTTTTATTTTGATAAATATGCAAATCTCACACTGATTCACTTGTACTGAAAATAGAACAAATTTAATTCAGAGCAAGCTGAGGGAAGGATTTAAAATACTCCAAGTGTAAATTAGTTCAACCATTGTGGAAACCAGTGTGGCAATTCCTCAAAGAGCTAAAAACAGAACCACCATTCCATCCAGCAATCCCATTTCTGGGTATATACCCAAAGGAATAGAAATCATTCTACCATAAAGACACAAGCACATGAATGTTTGTTGTAGCACTATTCACAGTAGCAAAGACATGGAATCAACCTAAATGCCCATCAATGACAGACTGGATAAAGAAAATGTGGTACCTATATACCATGGAATACTGTGAAGCCATAAAAATGACCGAAACCATGTCTTTTGTGGGAACATGGATGGAGCTAGAGGCCATCATCCTTTGCAAAAGAACGCAGGAACAGAAAACCAAATACCGCATGTTCTCATGTATAAGTGTGAGCTAAATGATGAGAACACATGGACACAAAGAGGGGAACAACAGACACTGGGGCCTACTAGAGGGTGAAGAATGGGAGGAGGAAGTAGATCAGGAAAAATAACTACTGGGTACAAGGCCTGGTACATAAGTGATGAAATAATCTGTACAACAAACCCCCATGACACAAGTTTACAAATACAACAAATCTTCATATGTACCCCTGAACTTAAAACAAAAGATTAAAACAAATGAACAAACAAATGGAATCAATCCACTTGATGAATGGATAAACAAAATGTGGCATATCCATACCATGGAATATTATTCAGCCATAAAAATGAATAAAGCACTGATAAAGGCTACAACATGGATGAACCTGGAATATGTTATGTTAGGTGAAAGAAGCCAGACACAGAAGGTCACATATTGTATGGTTCCACTTATATGAAATGTCTAGAATTGGCAAATTCATAGAGACAGAAAGCAGATTAGTGATTGCCAGAGCTGGGGGGAGGGGAAATTGGGGAGTGACTCCTATTGAGTATGGGTTTCTTTTGGGGGTGATGAAAATGTTCTGGAATTAGGTAGTCACGATGGTTGCACAACCTTGTGAATACACTACAAACCTCTGAGTTGGATACTTTCAAAAGATAAATTTTATGGTATATGAATTATATCCCAATTAAAGTTAATTTTAAGTCTAAGCTCATGATTATGGTATTTCTGACTTCATAAAAAAAAAACTGATAACTCAGTGTGGGTGGAGTAGGCCTTTATATGGTTTTTCACTTGTTTTTTATTGCTCTTAAGAATATTTGGTTGAACTATGCTAGTGTGAATATGCTTTAAGCACTGGACTAATGCAAAAGACTTCTGTAGAAGACATTGGAACAGTGAATCATTCTATCAACATTTATGATCATCTATTATAGGTCATGCTCTATGCTGGGCATAAGAAACAAAAAGATGAGAATACATGAATTCTTTTAGTGCTCATAGTCTAATGCAAAAGATGAGCACGTAATTATGGTGCAGAACAAGGGCTGAAGGAGAGGCATGAACAAAATGCTGGGCTCAGAAAATGAAGTGGCACCCAAGGATTCCTTAGGAAGATATGAAATCAGCATACAGGACTGGTTGAGCTTTTCAAGACCTTAGAGTTAAAAAACAAACTTCAAAGAGCTCACCTGGAAGGGCTGAAAAAGCTGGTGCTGGGAAGGGTAGTGGGGGTGGGAGAGGGGGATGTGGGGATGGTTAATGGGTACAAAAAGTAGTTAGAAATAGTGAATAAGGGCCAAGTGCGGTGGCTCACGCCTGTAATCCCAGCACTTTGGGAGGCCAAAGAAGGTGGATCACTTGAGGTCAGGAGTTTGAGACCATCCTGGCCAACATAGTGAAACCCCGTCTCTACTAAAAATACAAAAATTAGCTGGGCATGGTGGCATGCACTTGTAGTCCCAGTTACAGGGAGGCTGAGGCAGGAGAATCACTTGAACCTGGGAGGTGGAGGTTGCAGTGAGCCGACATTGCCCTACTGCTCTATGGCCTGGGCGACAGAGCGAGACTGTCTCAAAAGTAAAAAAAAAAAAAGTGAATAAGACCTAGAATTGATAGCACAACAGGGTGACTATAATCAATAATAATTTAATTGTACATTTAAAAATAACTAAGAGTATAATTGGATTGTAACACAAAGGATAAGTGCTTGAGGGGATATCCCATTTATTATGATTACTACACATTGCATCCCTGTATCAAAGTATTTAATGTGCCCCAGAAATATATACACCTACTACATGCCCACAAAAATTAAAAAATTAAAAATTAAAATAAAAAAAGGTAAAAATAAAATAATAAATAAAACACTCCAAGAGAAATCAAGATCTCCCCCTAGTGTTTAGATAAATAATAGCACTTTGACTTTCCAACGTTGTGCTAACGCTGAAGAACAAATCTTCGATTTAAAAAAATTTTTTTGAATAGGAGTGGTGAGAGAGGGCATCCCTGTCTTGTGCCAGTTTTCAAAGGGAATGCTTCCAGTTTTTGCCCATTCAGTATGATATTGGCTGTGGGTTTGTCATAGATAGCTCTTATTATTTTGAGATACGTCCTATCAATACCTAATTTATTAAGAGTTTTTAGCATGAAGCGTTGTTGAATTTTGTCAAAGGCCTTTTCTGAATCTATTGAGATAACCATATGGTTTTTGTCATTGGTTCTGTTTATATGCTGGATTACATTTATTGATTTGCATATGTTGAACCAGCCTTGCATCCCAAGGATGAAGCCCACTTGATCATGGTGGATAAGCTTTGTGATGTGCTGCTGGATTCGGTTTGCCAGTATTTTATTGAAGATTTTTGCATCGATGTTCATGAGGAATATTGGTCTAAAATTCTCTTTTTTTGTTGTGTCTCTGCCAGGCTTTGGTATCAGGATGATGCTGGCCTCATAAAATGACTTAGGGAGGATTCCCTCTTTTTCTATTGATTGGAATAGTTTCAGAAGGAATGGTACCAGCTCCTCCTTGTACCTCTGGTAGAATTCGGCTGTGAATCCATCTGGTCCTGGACTTTTTTTGGTTGGTAAGCTATTAATTATTGCCTCAATTTCGGAGCCTGTTATTGGTCTATTCAGAGATTCAACTTCTTCCTGGTTTAGGTTGTTGGAGTTCTGCCCAGGGCAATCAGGCAGGAGAAGGAAATAAAAGGTATTCAATTAGGAAAAGAGGAAGTCAAATTGTCCCTGTTTGCAGATGACATGATTGTGTATCTAGAAAACCCCATCGTCTCAGCCCAAAATCTCCTTAAGCTGATAGGCAACTTCAGCAAAGTCTCAGGATACAAAATCAATGTGCAAAAATCACAAGCATTCTTATACACCAATAACAGACAAACAGAGAGCCAAATCATGAGTGAACTCCCATTCACAATTGCTTCAAAGAGAATAAAATACCTAGGAATCCAACTTACAAGGGATGTGAAGGACCTCTTCAGGGAGAACTACAAACCACTGCTCAATGAAATAAAAGAGGATACAAAGAAATGGAAGAACATTCCATGCTCATGGGTAGGAAGAATCAATATCATGAAAATGGCCATACTGCCCAAGGTAATTTATAGATTCAATGCCATCCCCATCAAGCCACCAATGACTTTCTTCACAGAATTGGAAAAAACTACTTTAAAGTTCATATGGAACCAAAAAAGAGCCCACATCGCCAAGTCAATCCTAAGCCAAAAGAACAAAGCTGGAGGCATCACGCTACCTGACTTCAAACTATACTACAAGGCTACAGTAACCAAAACAGCATGGTACTGGTACCAAAACAGAGATATAGACCAATGGAACAGAACAGAGCCCTCAGAAATAATGCTGCATATCTACAACTATCTCATCTTTGACAAACCTGACAAAAACAAGAAATCGGGCAAGGATTCCCTATTTAATAAATGGTGCTGGGAAAACTGGCTAGCCATATGTAGAAAGCTGAAACTGGATCCCTTCCTTACACCTTATACAAAAATTAATTCAAGATGGATTAAAGACTTAAATGTTAGACCTAAAACCATAAAAACCCTAGAAGAAAACCTAGGCAAGACCATTCAGGACATACGCATGGGCAAGGACTTCATGTCTAAAACACCAAAAGCAATGGCAACAAAAGCCAAAATTGACAAATGGGATCTAATGAAACTAAAGAGCTTCTGCACAGCAAAAGAAACTACCATCAGAGTCAACAGGCAACCTACAGAATGGGAGAAAATTTTTGCAATCTACTCATCTGACAAAGGGCTAATATCCAGAATCTACAATGAACTCAAACAAATTTACAAGAAAAAAACAAACAACCCCATCAAAAAGTGGGTGAAGGATATGAACAGACACTTCTCAAAAGAAGACATTTATGCAGACAAAAGACACATGAAAAAATGCTCATCATCACTGGCCATCAGATAAATGCATATCAAAACCACAATGAGATACCATCTCACACCAGTTAGAATGGTGATCATTAAAAAGTCGGGAAACAACAGGTGCTAGAGAGGATGTGGAGAAATAGGAACACTTTTACACTGTTGGTGGGACTGTAAGCTAGTTCAACCATTGTGGAAGTCAGTGTGGCGATTCCTCAGGGATCTAGAACTAGAAATACCATTTGACCCAGCCATCCCATTACTGGGTATAAACCCAAAGGATTATAAATCATGCTGCTATAAAGACACATGCACACGTATGTTTATTGTGGCACTATTCACAATAGCAAAGACTTGGAACCAAGCCAAATGTCCAACAATGATAGACTGGATTAAGAAAATGTGGCACATATACACCATGGAATACTATGCAGCCATAAAAAATGATGAGTTCATGTCCTTTGTAGGGACATGGATGAAGCTGGAAACCATCATTCTCAGCAAACTACCGCAAGGACAAAAAACCAAACACCGCATGTTCTCACTCATAGGTGGGAATTGAACAATGAGAACGCATGGACACAGGAAGGGGAACATCACACACCGGGGCCTGTTGTGGGGTGGGGGGAGTGGGAAGGGATAGCATTAGGCGATATACCTAATGTTAAATGAAGAGTTAATGGGTGCAGCACACCAGCATGGCACATGTATACATATGTAACTAACCTGCACGTTGTGCACATGTACCCTAAAACTTAAAGTATAATAAAAAATAATAATAAAAAATAAAAATAAAAAAAATTTTTTTTGGAAATAAACATCTCGGTTTCAATATCACCAACAGAAAGGGTAGACACAGTCAATTACTAACAAAAATGGCAAACAAATTCAATAGTAAAATGCCCTTGAAGAGAGAGATGGAATCTCAGACCTGGGAGGTGTTTATGTAAAAAAACCTGTGGAGCTGGAGTGCATTGATTAGGATTAAGGAATCTAAAAGATAAGGTATTCAATCTCCATAGATATTAATATTCAAAATGGCTATCTATTAGTTTCGATGAGCAGTATAGTTCGCGATACTTCCCCCCTCCCACTTCTCACTCTCACTTCTGAGTTAACTGGGCATCAGATTTCTGACTACTCACACCATTGAATGTAGTGAAAAATCAGGAAGTATGCGAAAACAGCCCTGTGAAATAACTATCACAAAGACAGGCAAAAAGAAACTAGGTATCCATGTAGAAGTAAACACAGTTATGAATTTACTGGTTATTATTACTTAATATGAAATTCTAATAATTTGGATTGATTTGGGTTGGCAGAAAGAAAAGAGCACATTTGTAAGGATAGCTTCAACACTGGATTTCTGGCAGCATGATTGACAGCTGGTAGCCAGGGAAGAAATAAATCTACTGAACGCAGAGTATAGTCCTTCATTTTATTGATGAGCCTATATTAACAACATTCACATCATAATCAGCATCTTCTTTTTATGAAAGCGTCCGAAAAATATTTTTATTAAAAATGACTAAAAAATGTTTAAAAGTTCTTGAAAGTTAGCTAAGTTTCTGTGATTTAGTAAATTCATTCATTATTTGGGCAGACCCTGTTGATTGCTAATCCAACATCCATTCCCCCTCTTCTACCGCTAACAGAATTCATTTATTTGGGAAGATAATGAACTCAGCTAAATATTTCTCCAGCTTCCTTTCAGCTAGAAGTTGCTTTGTGACAGTTTTGGTCAATAAGATACAAGCAAAAATCTGCTGGGCCTCTTGGGAAGCTTTTGCTTTCCAGACAAAAGGGAACACATACGCTTGGCACTGCCCCATATTCCTGCCTTGAGTAAAGATGTCCCGACTGGATCCGCAGCAGCGATAATGAACCACAAGGAAACGCTAAGAATGGTGGGGCAGAAAATTAGGAAGAGCCTGTATCCTCAAAATTATTGTTGAGCACTAAACCAACATCACCAATAACCTAATATGGACTTCTTCCACACTTGTTTATGCCCCCTGAAAATCAAGTTTTCTATTACTTTCAACTCATTATATACCGACCAATTAATTATTCCTAAATATTCTCTTTAGTATTAATAAAAATAATTAATGTTTATTGAGGGCACCATGTAAAGCTCTTTTAATCCACACAGCAAGTCCATTATGTAGATTTTACCATCAAGCTCTTTTTTTCAAGGGTGAAGGAGGGATTCTAAAATTTAATGACGTGGGCTGCTAAGGATCACACAGCTAGTAAGTGGTGGAACAAGGGTTCAATTCAGGTCTGACCCCAGATGTTTTCTTATTCACTCCGCCATGCAGTTACAGTATCATTTCCACAACACTGCTGGAAGACTTCCATTTAGAATTTTTGCACCTATATTATGTCTTCAGGATCTAGTTTTCTATGTCTTTTGTCTGATACTTTTCTCAAACCTTCACTCAAAAATGAGAATTACAGTATTAGATTGTATTAGTCCATTTTCACACTGCTATAAAGACACTACCTGAGACTGGGTAATTTATAAACAGAGGTTGAATTGACTCACAGTTCTGCATGACTGGGGAGGCCTCAGGAAACTTACAATCATGGCAAAAGGTAAAGGGGAAGCAGACAACTTCGTCACAAGGCAGCAGGAGAAGGAGAAGTGCGTGGGAAGGAGGAACTGTCAACCACTTATAAAACCATCAGATCTCGTGAGAACTCACTATCATGAGAACAGCATGGGGGAAACTGCCCCCATGATCCAATCACCTCCTACTAGGTCCCTCCCTCGACGCATGGGGATTATGGGGATTACAATTAGAGATGAGATTTGCATGGGACACAGCCAAACCATACCATAGATTTTTGTAGAGCAGGCTGGTCTGATAGCTCTTGGGTTGTTCCAGTGATTTTCTGCATTATAAATACTTTTTTCATCGCTCTACTTACCACTTTTCTGTTTCAGTTTATTATATTTCATGGATCTTGCTGGCATACATTTTTATGCTCAAGTCAGTAAATTTATATTGGTAACTGATATCTCAATGATGATAGACTTTTAAGTTCTAGAAACTTGTAATAACTACCATTAAATGTTAATGAATTTCAAAGATGGCCAAAGCCAAATAGAACACTCCAGCAATCATCTCCCACCCACTCCCCCATGGAACACCAAATTGAACAGCTATCCACAAAAAATAGCACCTTCATAAGAACCAAAAATCAGGTGAGTGATCACAGTATCTGCTTTTAACATCACATTAAAGAGGCACTGAAGAAGGAGGAAAGACAGTCTTGAATTGCTTACACCATTCATTCCCCATCCCCTGGCAGCAGAGAGAGAACCTCTGTGCTTTGGGGAGGGAGAGCACAGTGACTGTGGGACTTTGCTTTGGAACTTAGTGCTGCCCTGTCACAGAAGAAAGCAGCATGGGGCAGAACTCAGCCAGGACCATGGAGGGAGCATTTACACCGGCCCTAGCCAAATTACCTAACCCAGAGAATGTGAGTTCCAGCAAGGCCCACCACCACAGTATAAAGTTCTTTGGGGTTCTAAATAAACTTGAAAGGCAGTCTTGGCCACAAGGACTGCAAGTCCTGGTGCTGGACTGGGCTTGGAGCCAGTGGATTTGAGGGGCATGGGACCAAGTGAGAAACTAGCCAAGGGCATGCTTGTGCTACCCCTCCCCCAGCCCCAGGAAGTGCAGCTCTGGGAAAGACTCCTTCCTTCTGCTTGAGGAGAGGGACGAGTAAAGAGGACTTTATCTTACAACTTGGATACAACCACAGTAGGGCACTAGATATTTATAGACACATCCTGGGCCAGAAGGGAACCTGCTGCCTTGAAGAGAAGGACCTAGTCCTGGTAGGATTAATCACCTGTTGATTAAAGCGTGCTTGGTCCCTGGATAATCAGCAGTGGTAGCTAGGTAGTACTCATCAGGGGACTTGGGCGAAACTCAGAGATGTTCTGGCTTCAAGTGTGACCTAGCACATTCCCAGCTGTGTTGGCTATGGGGCAAGACATTTTCTGTTTGAGGAAAGGAGAGGGAAGGGTAAAGGGAACTTTATCTTGCAGCCTGGGTACCAGCTCAGCCACAGTGGTATAGAGCACCATGCAGGCTCCTGGGGTCCCCGATTCTCATCCTTGGCTTCTGGTGACATAGCTGTGCTTGTGTCACCCCCTCCCTCAGCTCTAGGCAGCTCAGGACAGAGAGAGAGAGAGACTCATTTGTTTGGGGGGAAGTAAGGCAAGAGAATAAGAGTTTCTGCCTGGTAATCCAGGGAATTCTCCCAGATCTTACCCAAGACCATGAAGGCAGTACCTCTACAAGTCTGCAACAGCCATAGCATTACTGGGCTTGGGGTGCCCCCAATACAGATATGGCTGTAGTGACCAAAGCCTTAGATCATAACACCTAAGTCCTTCAAGTACTTGGAAAGCCTTCCCAAGAAAAACGGTATAAACAAGCCCAGACTGCAAAGACTACAATAAATACCTAACTCTTCAAAGCCCAGACACCAGTGAATATCCACAAGCATCAAGACCAGCCATGACCTCACCAAATGAACTAAATAAGACACTAGTCACCAATCCTGGAGAGACAGAGATATGTGACATTTCAGACAGACAACTCAAAATAGCTATTTTGAGGAAGCGCAACAAAATTCTCTGTGATAACACAGAGAAGGAATTCAAAATCCTATGAGATAAATTTAACAAAGAGCTTAAGATAATTAAAAAGAATTAAGGAGAAATTCTGGAGTTGAAAAATGCAACTGACATACTGAACAATGCATTAGGGCCTCTTAACAGCGGAATTCATCAAGCAGAAGAAGGAACTGGTGAGCTTGAAGACAGGCTATTGGAAAATACATAGAGGAGACAAAAGAAAAAGGAATACAAAATAATGAAGTATACCTACAAGATCTAGAAAGTAGCCTCAAAAACACAAATCTAAAAGTTATGGTCCTTAAAGAGAATGTAGAGGGAGAGACTGAGGTAGAAAGTTTATTCAAAGAGATAATAAGATAAAATTTCCCAAACCTGAAGATACCAATATTCAAGTACAAGAAGGTTATAGAACACCAACCAGATTTAACCAAAATAAGACTATCTCAAGATAGTCAATAACCAAACTCCCACAAGTCAAGGATAAAGAAGATTCTAAAAGCAGCAAGAGAAAAGAAATAACACACAAAGGAGCTCTATTATGTCTGGCATCAGTCTTCTCAGCAGAAACCTTACAGGGCAGGAGAGAGTGGCATGATATATTTAAAGTACTGAAGGAAAAAAACCTTTTATTCTAGAATAGTATATCCAGCAGTCCTTTCAAACATGATGAAGAAAAAAAGACTTTCCCAGGTAAACAAAAGCTAAGGGATTTCATCAACATCAAACCTATCCTACAAGAAATGCCAGTGGGAGTTCTTTAATCAGAAAGAAAAGGATATTAATGAACAATAATAAATAATCTGAAGGTACAAAACTCACTGGTAGTAGGTATACAGAATATTATAACACTGTAATTGTGGTGTGTAAACTACTCCAATCTTGAGTAGAAAGACTACAAGATGAACCTATCAAAAATAATAACCACAACAACTTTTCAAGACATAGACTATGATATAAATAGAAAAAAACTGGCCAGGCGTGGTGGCTCATGCCTGTAATCCCAGCACTTTGGGAGGCCAAGGTGGGCAGATCACTTGAGGTCAGGAGTTTGAAACCAGCCTGAGCAACATGGTGAAACCCTGTCTCTACTGAAAATGCAAAAATTAGCTGAGTGTGGTGGCATGCACCTGTAATCCCAGCTACTCGGGAGGCTGAGGCAGGAGAATCATTTGAACCTGGGAGGTAGAGGTTGCAGTGAGCTGAAATGGTGCCACTGCACTCCAGCCTGGGTGACAGAGCGAGACTCTGTCTAAAAAAAAAAAAAAAAAGATACAGATAGAAAAAACAAGAAGTTAAAAGCAGGAGGATGAAGTTAAAGTGTGGAGTTTTTATTTGTTTTCTCTCTGCTTGTAGTTTTTTGTTTGTTTGTTTATGCAATCAGTGTTAAAATAATGAGTTATATTATTTGCAAGCCTCATGGTAACCTCAAATTTAAAAGCATACAGTAAAGACACAAAAAATAAAAGCAAGAAATTAAAACATACCACCAGGAAAATCATCTTCACGGAAAGGAAGACAAATAGGAAGGAAAGAAGACAGAGAAGACCAGAAAACAAATAACAAAATGGCAGGGATAAGTCCTTACTTCTCAGTAATAACATTGAATGTAAATGAACTAAACTCTCCAACCAAAAGACATAGACTGGCTGAATGGATTTAAAAACAAACAAACAAAACAAAACAAAAAAATAAGACCCTAACAATCTGTTGCTACAAGATACACTTTGCCTATAAAGACACACATAGACAGAAAATAAAGGGATCAGAAAAGATATACCATGCCAATGGAACCCAGAAAAGAGCAGGAGTAGCTATACTTAGATAAAATAGATTTCAAGACAAAAACTATAAAATGAGACAAAGAAGGTCATTATATAATGATAAAGGAGTCGATTCAGCAAGAGGATATAACAATTGTAAATATATATATATATATATATATATATATATATATATATATATACCCAACACTAGAGCACCGAGATACATAAAGCAAATATTGTTAGAGCTAAAGAGAGAGAGAGAGAGAGAGAGCGAGAGAAAGAAAGACTCTGATATAATAATAGCTGGAGAATTCACCACTCCACTTTTAGTATTGGACCAAAATCATCCAGACAGAAACTCAAGAAAGGAACATCAGATTTAATCTGCACTATAGACCAAATGGATCTAATACATATTTACAGAACATTTCTTCCAGTGGTGGCAGAATGCACATTCTTCTTCTCAGCACATGGATCAATCTCAAGGATAGAAAATGTGTTAGGCCACAAAATACATCTTAAAAATTTCAAGAAAATTGAAATTATATCAAGTATCTTCTCTGACCACAATAAAATAAAACTACCATTATCATATTTTACCAGTTTTCTGCTTGGAACTTTCAACTGTGCAGGTGGGTGTAGTGGAAAGGGCTTTGTAACTTCACTGTGGGTCAGATCCTGAGTTTGCTACTTGCTAGCTATGCGTTGCTAGGGCAAGTTGTTTGCCCTACATAAGCCAAAATTTCCCTGTATTAAAATTGGGAAAAATATTAGTATCTACCTCATAGTTTTGAAATGATGCATGTACATGCCCAGCAAACACATGGTAAGCACTTTACAAATTGCTGCTATTGTTAGCATTATCATCTCAGCTGACCACACCCTTTTAAGACCTTTGCTCTGCTGTCTTTCAGACAATAAAACCAAAATAACTTAAGTCTACAAGAGCAAAATGCTTCAACAAATGAAAATAACTATTAAAACCAGGCATTCTTTCTTTCCCTACCAATCCTGGTGACTTGTTTTTGTTTACTCTGTTATCAGGTGGGTTCATCAGCCCTGCAATATAATCATTGCTCCTTTATAAGGAATTCAAAAATCTGTATGACTTAATACTGAGTCCACTTGGAATGTTCTAAACATTTAAAATAATTTTTTAAATGCTATATTATTAAATTTATCAAGCTTTTCCACTCATACTATTGATTTTTGATTAATTTATTTACCCTGTTAATTAGGAAGTCTATGAAATTGACAATAGCATAAATTAGTAAAAAATTATTACTTCACATGTCTATGACCAAGGATGCCATCTCAGTCAATTTCCAGAGAAGCTCTATTGTAAAGGCTCATGGGTATGAATGTCAGTTTCGGTTTTGGTGCTGTTACACTAAGAAGTTATCCCCTTGTATAAAATATATCTGAAGACTGGCTTATTTCTTCCAGGTCAAGGAGAGTGTATCTAGTGTTGCTTCTTGATAATGTGGTAGGCTTAATCACTATCAATTTCTTAGTGAAACGTGAGAATGTTTGGGGAAAATAAATTAGGATGTGAACTTAATAATGTAAGTGTTCCTTATTTTATGAAAATTGCACATAGCACAGGTACTGACACATAGAAGATGCTAAATGATAATTGTCAGATGAATACGTATTTATCATTCTTTTCTGATTCTGAGATTTAGACATTTCAAAATCATGTTCTTCTCTCTCAAATATTAGTAACATTTATCTTCTTCTGGAGATTCACAGATCTCCTTTTGAGGTTTCGTGAGAAGAAAACCTAGGCCTCAATGAAAATTGGTTGTGTTTCAGATTATGGTGGAAACATCTTGGATTTAAAAGTTAGCATTAAAAGAACTCTTTCTAGATATTTATGTCTGGTTTGGTGGCATCTTACAAAAAAAATAAGTAGATACCACCTTTTGTCTAAAAGATGTTTGAAATGTACATATCTTAAGTAGCTGCTGGCCAAATTTCCAATTCTCAAATATAGATTTTTTCCCCTTCAACTTTCTAGAAGTGTGGGCAAAAAAGTGTCTACCACAGAAACTTGAGTGTTGTAATTAAAAGTGTTTTTCATGTCATTTACAAGTAATGAAGATAAAGAAACTCTTATAGAAACACTTTTTGTAAAAGACTAACAGATTTTGCTTACATTTACTTAGTAGTCATAATCTCCTTTATTTCCTATAAAGCTAATATTTTAACTCGATTATAAAATTACATGATTAGGAGTGGTTTTGTTCTCAGTCCATAGCATAGGGCTGTGCAAAATAAGTTAAACCTACAGAAGCCTTGCTAGCTTGCTGAGAATGAAAATAGGTGGAAAAATCTGATATGTATATTAAAAATGTAAATATAAATTTAATTCTATTTTTAATTTAGTTCTATTTTTAATTCTTTGACAAATCTCCATACTGTTTTCCAAAGAAGTTGAACTAATTTGCATTCCCACCAACAGTGTATAAGCATTCTCTTTTTCGGCAACTTCGCCAGCATCTGTTATTTTTTGACTTTTTAATAATAGCCATTCTGACTGGTGTGAGATGGTATCTCACTGTGGTTTTGATTTGCATTTCCCTAATGATTAGTAATGTTGAGTATTTTTTCATGCTCATTGGCCACTTGTATGTATTCTTTTGAGAAGTGTCTGTTCATTTCCTTAGCCCACTTTTTAATGGGGTTGGTTTTTTTTCTTGTTGATTTTGTTTAAGCTCCTTATAGATTCTGGATACTTGTCCTTTGTCAGATGCCTAGTTTGCAAATATTTTCTCCCATTCTGTAGATTATCTGTTTACTCTTTTGATAGTTTCTGTTGCTGTGCAGAAGCTCTTTAAGTCATATTTGTCAATTTTTGTTTTTGTTGCATTTGCTTTTGAGATCTCAGTCATAAATTCTTTGCCTAAGCCAATGTCCAGAAGAGTTTTTCCCAGGTTTTCTAGGATTTTTATAGTTTGATTCAATCTGGCAATCCCACTACTGGGTGTTTACTCAAAAGAAATCGTTCTATCAAAAAGATACATGCACTTGTATGTTCATCGCAGCACTATTCACAATAGCATTTATATATTTAATATATTTATATTATTAAAATATATAAATTATATAAATGAAATCAACCTAAGTGTCCATCAACAAATGACTGGATAAAGCAAATGTGATACACACACACCACAGAATACTACACAGCCATAAAAAAGAATAAAAATCATGTCCTTTGCAGTCACATGGACACAGCTGGAGGCCATCATCCTAAGTGAATTAACTCAGAAACAGAAAATACCGCATGTCCTCATATATAAGTGGGAGCTAAACAATGGGTACATATGGATAAAAAGATGGGAACAGTAGACATTGGGGATTCCAAAAGGGGAGAGGCTGAAAAACTACCTACTGGATACTATGTTCGCTGTTTGGGTGATGGGTTAAATAGAACCCCAAATTCCAGCATTATGCAAGACTCTCATGTAAAAAATCTGCACATGTACCCTCTGAATCTAAAATAAAAGTTGAAATTATATAAACAAATATATAAACAAACAAGACACCTTTGCCAGGTGCAGTGGCTCATGCCTGTAATTCTGCAACTGGGGAGATTGAAGTGGGAGGATTGTGAGCCCAGAAGTCCAAGGTTACAGGGAGTTGTGATCGTGCCACTGCACACCAGCCTGGGTGACAGAACGAGACTCAAAAAACCACACCTTCATCTCATATTTCTATAAACCACCTTAAATCCTTTTGGGGACAAAACCGGCTTAAAAAAAAAATAAATTCAGTTGCTGCAATTGAGCGTCATATATGGATCTAAACTTTCGGGCAACAGGGACAAAAATGCAAACATGATAAATCACATAGGTCTTGTATTGAAGGAGAGCCCCAGTTCCTCAAAAGAGACAATGATTTTTCCAGATACTGCATTCTAGAAAAAAATTCTCACATGGGCCTTTATATAGGGGATATTGAGTCACATAAGGAACAATGCTCTTGATAATTTTACACCAGAGGCAGAAGCAGCTTTTGTTCTTCATAAACCCTTGATAAAGCCAAATGCATAATATTAGAGTAAAATTCATGAAAATGCTTCTCGTGGTGCAAATACAAAACTCATGATGCCATGAATGGAGAAGGCTGAAACAATGAAGAGTGCATTCACAGACTAGATTGAACTCATTTCATTAAGTAAAACAAGTTTTTTGAGGGGAGCAAGGAAAACAGCGGTTATATTTCTCTTTTACTGTTTGAAAAAGCAGTGGGTATACATATGGACATGATAAAGAATTCAAACAGGGCTAGGTGGGGTGGGTGTGCGCCCCTAGTCCCAGCTACTCAGGAGGCTGACTGACGTGGGAGGATCGCTTGAGCCCAGGAGTTCAAGGCTGTAGTGAGCTATGATCACGCTGCACTCCAGCCTGGCCAACAGACCCCGTCTCTTAAAAAAAAAAAGAAAAAAAAAAAAGAAAAAAGAATTAAAATACTCAGGTAAAATGCTGGTTCCTTATCTCCTTACCACTGTTAGCTGTGTCTCCCACTCCCGTCTTCACAGGTAACCAGTTACCTGTTTCTTTTGTATCCCTTCAGAAGCAGTCATTGTTAACAGAGCAAATATGACACACAAACCTTTTTATTCCAAATGGCATTTTGACACCTTGTTTTTACTTTTCATGATGCATCGTGGGTGTCTTTCCATATCATTACACATAGAGCTATTATATCTTGATCTTGGTAATAGGTGCCTAATATTTCAGTGAATGTTTCATAATTTAACCAGTTTCCTATTGAGGGACATTTAAGTCCAGCCTTGTTTGTCCACAAATACTACTATATACATATTCTTGTATTCTTATCTACACAAGCACATAGACAGGTACACCTATAAGATAATTAGAAGTGGAATCAATGGGTCCAAATGTACATTTTTTAAATTTATTTTTTTGTAGAGATGGGGTCTACTATGTTGCCTAAGTTGGTCTCAAAAAACTTCTGGTCTCAAGCAATCCTCCAGCCGTGGCCTCTCAAACTTGGGATTATAGGTGTGAGCCACCGTAGCCAGGCCAAAGGTATGTTTTAAATTTTGTTGTGTTTCAAATTGCTCTCTAAAGAGACTCCCATCAGCAATGCTTTCATTCAGTAAATATTTGTGTGCCTACCATGTGCCAGGCACTGGTCTAGGTATTTGCCAAGAGTTGATAAACAAAAATGATCTCTGCCTCCATGAACCATATATGGTATACATGCATGCGGGTGTGTGTGGGTGTGTGTGCCCACATGCAAGGGCATGCACACGAGTGGAGGGAGAAGAGAAAGCTGGCATAATAATGAGTTAATTATATGGGATGCTTGGAGGTGATAAGTGCTATGGAAAAGAGGAAGAGTTTGGTTAAAAAAAAATAAGATTAGAAGCTGGGGGAGGGGCTGAGTCAAAATTTTCACTGAGGAGGTGACACATGAGCAGACTTGAAGCAGGTAAGGGATTCGACATATGGCATCTGGGGCAAAGAGCGTCTCAGCAGAGGAAACAGGCAGTGTTTTCTTGGGTCTCTGGTGGGAATGTGCCTGAGGCCAGGAGCCAGGAGCCAGGGAAGTTGAAATGGAGTGGAGTGAGGGAGGAGATAATGCCAGAGAAATAAGTCGGGGGGAGCAATAGACATTTTGGCTTTTACAATAAATACTTGGTGAGCCCCTGGAGGATTTGAGATGAGGTTTGACATGACTGAATTACATTTTAAAAGGATCACTTGTGGCTGTGTGGGAGTGAGGGTTGAGGCAAGGAAGTGGTTAGAGTCTGGATATATTTTGAAGGTAGAATCAATGAGATTTATTTACAGATTGGTTAGGTGTGTATGGAGAGAGAGAGCAAAAGAGTGAGTGAGGGAGAAGAGATACCAAGAATGACTCCAAAATTGCTATTAGCTGAGATGAATGAAACAGGTTTGCAAGATCAGAATTGCGGCTTTGCACAGGTACACTCTGAGCTGCCTGTTTAATATTCAAATGAAGACACTGAGGAGGCAGTTTGGTATGTGAGTCTGGAGTCTCCAGACATATAACAAATGGTTTCTCAGCCATGAAACACTGCAAGAGTGTAGACAGAGAGGTGGACCAAGGACTGGATCCTGGGACACAACAAATAGCTACAACACTAAACTTAAGAAACCCCTGGTGGAACTGGTAAGAGAAGAGGTATGGAGGGGAAAGAGTGAGGGAGGGAAGGTGATAAAGAGAGAGAGATCCAAATACTAACACATGGAATTAAGGGGTTGTCACTTCAGATCCTGCATTCATTAAAAAGGGTTACAAACAACTTTACTAAAAACTCTCTCCACAATACCTACAGAACTCCTATAAATTAGTAAGAGAAAGAGACACCTCAATATAAAATCAGACAAATGATTTGAAAGAGACTTCACAACAGAGAATACCCAAATGGATGCACTTGGACATTGGAAAACAATACAAATAAGAACCTTTTGAGAGCCAATTTACCATTGGATTCCAATAACACAACTGTTAGACCTTCAATATTGTTGTCAGGTTCCTGAGGCTCTGCTCATTTTTTCAGTTTTTTGTCTCTGTTCTCCAGATTGAGTAAATTGTATTGCTCTCTTCAACTTCATTGACTCTTCTGCCATCTTCAGTCAGCTGTTGAATCCATCAAATTGAAATACTTTTACATATTTTTTCAGTTCTAAAATTCCTATTTGGTTCTTAAACTTATTTTTTCTACTCTCCTGAGGACTTCTATCTTTCCATTCATAAGAGTGCTTATTTCATAACAGCTGCCTTAAACTTTGTAAGTCCAACATCCGGATCATATTGGTGTTGACATCTGTCTTTTTTCTTGAGAATGTATTACATTTTCCTGGTTCTTTGTATGCCAGGTAATTTTAGATTAAATGCTGCACATTCTGAATATTATAATTTAGACTCTAGGTCTTGTTAAAATATTCTGGAGAATGCTGATTTTTGTTTAACAATAAACCCAGATAGGTTCATACTGAAAGTTTTCTGCCGTCTTCTGTGGCTGTGATTCCCAGTTGCTTTCAAAAAGGGTTATATTATATTGGATCAAGCTTATCATGTACTGCTCAGTAATCTGTGTCTTGGCCAGTGGTTTAAATTGTACTTTAGTTCCTAAAGCCTCTAGTGTGCTGCTTTGGGTCTGTCCTGAGTATGTAAGCTTAGAGCTTGTACTAATTAACACATAGAATAAAGGGATTCCTTCTGCTTTGTTCTCTCTGGTTCCCCCCATCATGCCCTAAGACAGCCCATTCCCCTGTCCTCTGGCCAGAAACAAGGGTTTTGCTTGGAATTTTAGTTCCACCACTATTACTATGCAGTTCCCACAACTCAGGCCACCCTCAGAACAGAGAGAGTAAATAGAGAAAAATGCAGATGACCTCCAGTCTTCAAGACTGCAAAGGCTCTTTTCCCATTTCCTCTGCCCAGAGAGAGTGCTTCCATCAATTTTAACTGTTGGCACCACTTGCTAGCACAGCTTACCTGAGGGCTTACCCAAGACAAGCCATGAGAGAAAACATAAATACCTGGGGATTTCCCCTGACATTCTCTAGCTTCCAGGAACTCCTTTTTCTCATCTTTTGGGTTTTTCCTCAAAGTTTATCTGCCAGAAGGGCCTCTGTGACAGCTCTTCTGGGTGCCCTCCCTTGGCTCAGGGTCAAGAAAGAGGGGAGAAATGAGAAGTTCACCCTTGTATGGGTCTTTTCTCCAGGTCTGACTCCGTCTTCAATCCTGCTGCTACCCCCCACCCCACCCCCACCCCCAGTGTTCTCAGTTGTCTTTTACATTTTGTACAGAATTTTTAGTCAGTGAGAGAGGCTTCAATGGGCTTATGCCATTTTGACTATACTGAAATCCAAAACTGCATTACTCTTAAGAGCTCCAAACTGGAAACACCACAACTGTCCTTGACATTAGAATGGACAAACTGTGATATATTTGTACAATGGCATGTAACAGCAGCAATGAAAATGAACAAATTAAAATTACAATGACATCAGCGACATGGGTGAATCTCACATTATTTCTGTTTAGTGACTAAGAGAAAATCATTTTCAGCTTTCAAAGAAAAAATTACCCTTCAAAGAAGAAAAAATACAAATTGTATGGTTCTACTTAAAGTTCAAAAGTAGGCAAAACTAAATTACAGTCATGTGTCGCTTGACACAGATACATTCTGAGAAATGCCTTGTTAGGTGAGTTCACCCTTGTGGGAACATCAGAGTGTACTTACACAAACCTAGATGACTGCCCACTACACACCCAGGCAATATGATATAGCCCTAGGCTACAAACCTGTACAGCATGTTGCTGCACTAAATATTGTAGGTGAGTGTAGCACAATGGTAAGTATTTGCATATCTAAACACAGAAAAGCTACAGTGAAAATACCGTATAAAAGATAAAAGATGAGATACCTGTAAAGGGCACTTAACATGTACAGAGCTTGCAGAACTGCAAGTTGCTTGAGGTGGGTCGGTGAGTGAATGTCAAGGCCTAGAACATTACTATACTTTTAAACACTGTACTTAGGCTACACTAGATTTATAAATTTTTTTCAATAATTAACCTTAGCTTACTGCAAGGTTTTTACCTTATTACTTACAGTTTTCACTTTTTGACTCTTTCACAATACTTAGCTTAAAATACATTGTACAGCTGCTCAAAATTATTTTCTTTATATCTCATTCTATAAACATTTTTCCTTAAAAAAATTTTTGTTGAAAACTAAGACATGAACACACACATTAGCTTAGGCCTGCACAGAGTCAAAATCATCAATATCACTGTCTTCCACTTCCACATGTGTCCCACTGGAAGGTCTTCAGGGGTAATAAAATGCATGGAGCAGTCATCTCCTATCATAACAATGTTTTCTAGAATATCTCATGAAGGATCTGCCTGATGCTGTTTTACAGTTCACTTAAAAATAAGTAGGAGTGCATTCTAAAATAACAATAAAGTATGGTAAATATGTAAACCAGTTTCAAAGTTGTTTATTATCAAGTATTATGCGCTATACTTCTATGACTAGCAGCGCAGCAGGCTTGTTTATATCAGCATCACCACAAACACGTGAGTAAATGCGTTGGGCTATGTCACTAGGCGATGGAAATATTTCAGTCTCATTATAATTTTACTGGAGTATTGACCTATAGGCAGACCATGTTGACTGAGATGTTATATAATGCACCGATGCTGTACAATGTTAGAAGTCAGAATAGCTGTTGTCTTTTTTCTGAGAGATGGGGTTCTCACTATGTTGCCCAGGATGGTCTCCAACTCCTGGGCTCATGCGATCCTCCCACCTCAGCCTCCCGTAAGTGCTGGAATTACAGGTGTGAGTCACCCCACCCAGTCAGTAACTGTTATCTTTGTAGAAGAGGAAGGAAGCAGATTGTCAGATGACACTAGGAGAGTTTTTGGGGTGCGGTGAACATTCTATTTCTTGTCTACATGGTGATTACACATGTAGTAATTTAGTGATAATTCTTTGAGCTGAACATTTGAGTTGTACAAACTTCTGTACATAATTTATCAATTTTTAAAACATTTGAAAAATCATCTCTTCCTGCTGTTTGCAAATGATAGAACCTTAGCTTAAACTGGCCTATGTACGAAGGGGAACTTTTAATAAGCATACCAAGATGCCTAGTGGAATCCATGGACAGGAGTAATACAGGGCCTCCTGTATTGAGCCAGGAGCTCAAATACTACCAGAAACTTCTCTTCTTACTACAAATGTTTCCTCCAGGTCAGTGACCACTGACATGGTATAATCATTTTATATAATATGCACTGAGACATTTGTGATGTGTACCTACTGTATTGTTTGCTCAAGACCTGGCCTACTTTCTTGGGACAGCATCACCTTCAGGGAAAATGGTCTTTCCCCATTCCATCCATATGGTTTTCACAGTAGAAAACCATAGCTAGTGTTCTACCTCAACGCCAATCCTCTAGTCACAGTCAATTAGTCCAGTAATGTGCACCTGACCTGTCCTGGGAACCCTACTCCTAGAATTTTTGGACTTGGAAATTCTCGGGAGTACAGTGCAGAAATCTGTTTTAATAGCCCTTCCGGTGATCAAGTTTAATAACTCTACTGAAGACTAGCCTATTTGGTTGTGCCTGTTATTTCTTTAAAGGTGGTTTAAAACTGGCATTGTACTCAATCAATACTGTCAATTCATGGTAGATGGGAGGCAGGGGTGGTGGTGGGGGGCATTCAAGTATCAACAAAGGATACGATACGAAGGACTACAATAATATAGTTTGGCAAAGTTTTAGAATATTTATAAACTCTTTCCAGAACTAAATGGCTTTTTTTTGTAGCAGCAGAATCCATCTACATCATGGTAGTCATGAATTCAGACTTCAGAAAAAGTTACTGTCAAGCATATGATTACAATTTTAGAAGGAAAAAGAAACAAAGACATTATCTTCAAATTTAAGTGGCTGACTACCTATTGAATTAGGTACTTTTTCTTCTTTATAATTTATTATATATTTCTCAAATTTCAATATGTATAGAGGCTAGGCGTGGTGGCTCATGTCTGTAATCCCAGCACTTTGGGAGGCTGAGGCGGGAGAATCGCATGAGCCCAGGAGTTCGAGACCATCCTGGGCAAAATAGTGAGACCCCATCTCATAAAAAAAAAAAGAAAGTTTTTCTCTTTAGGAAACTAAAAGTCAATAGTCTATGGTAGTACAACAGCAGGTAAAAAATACAACAGCAGGTACAACAGTGGGTGGATCACATGAAGTCAGGAGTTTGAGACCAGCCTGACAAACATGGTGAAACCCGGTCTCTACTAAAAATACAAAAATTAGCTGGGCATGGTGGCATGTGCCTGTAGTCCCAGCAACTTGGGAGGCTGAGACAGGGAAATTGCTTGAACCTGGGAGGCAGAGGTTGCAGTGAGCCGAGATCATGCCACTGCACTCCACCAGCTTGAGCAACAGAGCAAGACTGTTTAAAAAAAAAAAAAAAGTATAAATTGTAAAAAACCAATTAATGTTATAAACAATACAAACAATACATACGATAGTTTTATCAAGAAATATCTAAAATCAGGAATTAAGATATATGCCAAGCTTTCAATAGCAGTTAATGTATACTTCTGTGCAAAAGCAAACTCATGTCAACATTTTTACATAAGAAACATTTATTTAAAAGAAACATTTTCTCCTTAAAAAAAAAAAGACCTTCTACCCTTCCACTTAACATGTCATAACCATGTTACGGACAGTACTTCAATATTTCCGGATTATGGGATTGCAGACAACTATCATTTTTTACCTTTATACTTTTTAATATTTTTAGTTTATGTTCTACAGCAGAGTTTCTATTACTTTCGAAATCAGAAGAAACAGATTTTTTTATTTCTTTTAAAGAGAAAACATTAAGATGACTTAATGTAGATAATTTGTTTCAAACTAGCATTCAGTTAACATAGTTTTAACCAGTTTGTATTACAGTAAATAAGGCCGATGAGTATAATCGGTTTCATTTTCAGACTGGTAAGCAGAGGGCCATTTAGCCACCCAAGACTTATATTTAGGATCATTCAAAATACATCAGTGGTTGAACCTCCATATGGGTTTTTCTGTTGCACTGAGTATATAACAGGTTTAAACTTATGTATTGATTTATAATACAAGTATAGTGACATTTAATTTTAAATGGCTCTTCAAGTTTTTAGACTGGCTTGAGAGAAAAAAACAGAAGGGTGTCTTTTTTCCCTCTCATCACTATTAATCTAATTGTAACATGTAATATTATTTTAATTGTAATTATTCTAATTGTAACATGTAATTGCAAAGCAAATATCTCCTAAAGGAATATGGAGAACTCATTAAACAGTGTACAATTCTTGATTTTTCCATCCATACAAGAAAAGATGCACGTGATCACCTAAATATTCGCATTTGGTATGAAAATGCATTAATTGTCCCTCTTGGAAACTCATAATAGCTTTTTGCTTGTTTTTTTCTAACTAGATACCATACATAGTTATGATCTAGGCAAATGCTAGCTTTTTATAACTAGGTATCAATTCACAGCAGGTAAAAAAGTTCCAAGAACAAATCAATTTAGAGTAAACTGTAAATTTCCTTCAAGTAAAATCCATATATGAAATAACTCTGACAGAGAAAATATAAGACATAATCCAACCCCATGAAGACTAAATCTGAAAGGGCAATATGATTTGGGTTTCTGTGGTTAAAGAAAAACTCAACTGAGTAATTTATTAAAACCAAGTGTAGGCAACTGAGAGGAAAAAAGGAATCTTACCATATCCAGAGATTAATTAAACACTTAAAGAATATAAATTTAATAATAAACATTATGGTCAGGCTGTTTATTAAGGAGGCAACCACATATACAAGTTCGGCTATAGAAATGTTTGCAAATCAAACGTCATGTGACCTTAAAGGACCATGCTTAACGTCAAAAATGGACACCTGTACATTCAATAAAAAGTTAATTTAAACATACATAGTCTAGATCATTCTAGAGTTATACAAACATCTGGGGCCACATATGTATCTAATTTTCTTTCAAAAAAACTTTTTTTTTTTATAAAAGTGATGTATTGAGATAATTTTAAAAAGTATCTGACAATTATGAATGGTCCCCAGTTTTACAAAATGTGATTTCCAGGATACGAAACTGAAAAAAAGTCAACTCTTCAGAGAGTGTTTTATATTGTACAAACAAGTTTTGTAGAAAAATGATCCAGCAAATGCTTGAGTTAAGAATATTTATATTTTTTCCAATTCTTTACACTTTTATTAACACACTTACAAAAAATAACATTCAAACACTGAGAAAATTAAATAACTTTGGAAGCAGAGCTCATTGTTTTCTGCTTACATATAAGTGACAATTCTGGGCTGTTGGCACAAAATAATCAACATTCATAAAACCCTTACTACTATATATCAAACATAAGTTAAAATCATAGGCACTAGTTTATCAAATCCACATTTCTTCTGTAAGACTAACCACAGTAAATCCTTAGATTTTCCCAAACAGAAAAATTGCAATATACAAAGGCTTTCTAGTAAAAAGGCAATTTTTCTCTTTAAGAAACTAAAAGTCAACAGTCTGTGGTAGTACAACAGCAGGTAAAATAATACTTTACCAAACTCAGATCAAAAATATGTTTTAACAAGTGATGAAATATTTTAATAAAAAAAAATAGACATTTTTTTCTGATGCAGCCATTTAAAAACAAAGTTAAATAACCTGAATACTCCTTTTGAAACTGATTATCTAACTTAAAAAATGTAATATGTTTCATAATAGGTAAAATTCCTTTTAATTATTAGATTGCAGCATATATATTTTTTGAAATGTTGCACTGAAAACTGAGACTTGTTCTGTTTTGTACGTGGTTTTTAAAAGAGACAGTAGCTACTTCTTTCTTTTACTTACTTAGACATGAGATACCCCCCTCCCAAAAGAAGATGCTTTATCTTCCTCTGAAAAGCAACATTTTTTAGTTCATTATCATGTAGAATTCTGGCGCCATCCTTTCCTGACCCACCCCATCACCCTCAAATTCAAGGATAAAGTTTCTTCCTTGCATTATACACCAAATACATAGTACTGGCAGTTTAAATCTCCAGCTGCTTGTGCTAAATGAATGACTCTCCACTGGTCAAGCTGACAGACTACCATGGTGTCAGTCATGACAGAATGGAGGTCCTGGTTTTAAGTTTTTATCATCAACCTATCAACCTTAATGCTGTCCAGAATATCAAGCCTTCTATTTCTCTCTCCCAATTTCTTTTGCCAACTTACGGAATGTCTTTGATTAACAGGAAATGAACTTATGTTCAAATCTCTAAAAGCTTTTAGATGACCTAAGTGACAATATCTTAGAGCTGTTCAAATTAAGTATTTAAAAACAGACCTCATAATAAAAAATGAGAGGCCTGCTACAGAAGCAAGTTTTACTCTGGTAAAAGTCTGATAAAATTGAAATAGCCGATTTCAAGGATATATTAAGAGCCATTAGAGAGCAAGTATCAGGTTAGAGTCATACGTAGTAGGGTTTTTTTTTTACCAAAAATGCAAAAATTGATGTAAGGCAGAATCTAAGTCAAAAGGAAAAGAATTTTCAATAGATGTTTTATACAGTTACTCAGTTTAAAGTGGATCAACTTAAGTAGGATTTAGCAGGCTATATTTTCCTACCACATAATAGACCGTTATGCCATGTAATAGCAACAATACAACTGTCATCACCAGAGATTTTGTAGGTTAAGTGCATAGATTTTTTTCCCCCTCTCTCTCATGGTATGGTTTTGTTCCAGGTTGCAAGCACCGAGGTGGTGTTGTATCAAGAATAAAGACACACACTACTTGTTCTTTCCTATCATGAAAACCTGCTAATAGAAACAAGATCTCTTAGTTCTGTAAAGATAACAGCATGTGAAGAAGTTGGCTTCAATAGCAAAGGCCATCTTTCCTGAGCCAGGAACTATAAAGTTCAGAAAGATTGTACAACTGATATTAAGCCCTTTTGGCAATCAAAACAAACACACACAAGTTTGATGTGTCAATGCAACATGATGGATACATGCTGTAACACTATCTGGTGGTGGTGACATGTGAGCTACATCCAAAACTTAAGATTAAATGACAATTTTTCTTTTCTAATGAATCTGCAAAAATCATTTCTGAAATTCTGCTAAATTTAGGAATGTTTTAATCTCTAGCCCAGGTTTCTTTCCTCCCACCCCCTAATCTCAATCTGTAGTTTCCTGGTGTACTAGTGAAACACTTTAGATAATTAGTCAGAATATTAGTTCTCATTAACACAAATATTTATTGATACTATTTATACAGTAAATTAGGTTGAATGTGAAGTTTTGGATAGCCTGAATTCACCATTTTCTTGTGCACAAATGGGCATTTTTCTCATTTACAAATGGGCATTTCTCTTTGGCATCCATTAGGTATTTGCCCAGATATTGGCCTCTGTCAAATATTTTTTAAAAATCAACCTAGTTTCTATTAAACAAAACTAAAAGTGATTCTATGGAGAGTGATTGTATGATTACCAAACACATCTGATGTTAAATGTCATTAAAGTGCTGTTTGATGATCTCTGTCGGTTTGTGCTAATTAAGACAGAGAGGGCTGGGATTTTATAAATCCCAAGAGTCTTATCTGAACAGTCTGCATATAAAAGTTGTTTTTTAGCCTGGTGAAGGGTATCCATGAAGCCGTGGACTTCTGCATTCTTGTCTTTGCTGGTCAGTAACAGCCATCTTTCCAACTGTCATCTTTCATGCTACCATAGGTTTTAGGAGCTGGCAAGGATCTGTAATAAAGCAATTTTGTAATTAAAATTTGATAAATGTCTTTATGAAATAGTACCATACTATCTCACACATATATTAATTACTCTTCAGGTGGCATCACGATCCCATGAAGGCCGTACCAAGTCCTAAGCTCTAAACAGGTACTAGTACAACCTCCCCACACTCTGCATTTTCACAACTTCCAAGTTTTACTGGGCACCAGATGACTTCCCATTTTGTTAACATAGCTACTAGATAAAAGAAAGGAAAAGATGGTCTCACCTTTTCCAAGCACACAGATAACCAACCTTATCATTTACTTATTATTTTGAGAGGCAGAATGATGAATGTGATATTAGAAGCTCAGTGTCAGCATCACTAGAAAGGCAGTATGGGACAGTGATTAAAAGAGCTCCAAAGTCAGACATACTTGGAACTCATAGTTTTATTAGCTATGTGGCCTTAGGCAAATTACTTAATTCCATTAAATTTCAATATCCTCTTTTGAAAAATAGAAATAAGAATACCTACTCATTTAATATTATTATGAAGATTAAACAAAGCAAGCATTTACTTATTTAGCACAGTGATAAATATTTCCAGTTTAATTATATTTGACACCAAAGTTTACTGATGGTGGTAATCCCATTCTTGAAAGGTTACAGATGCATCATTCCCAACCTGTCTGATTCAGAATCATCTGAAGATTACGCAAACAAACAACAAACAAACAAAAAAACCAGCAACTGTAATCCCAGCATTCTGGGAGGCTGAGGCAAGCAGATCACTTGAACTCAGGAGCTCCAGACAAGCCTGGGCAACATGGTAAAACCCCATCTCTACAAAAATTAGCCAGGCATGGTGGTGTGCGCCTGTAGTCCCAGCTACAGGGGGTGCTGAGGTGACAGGATTGCTTGAGCCTGGGAGGTCAAGGCTGCAGTGAGCCAAGATTGCACCACCGCACTCCAGCCTGGGAGACAAAGCAAGACCCCATCTCAAAACAAAAACAAAACAAAAACAAAAACAAAACAAAAAACAACAACAAAATACCTAGCACACCCACAGATTCTGGGCCTCATAACAGATCTACTAAGTTAGACTCTCTGAAGGTAAAACTTACACCCTACATTTATATAAATCTCACAGATAATTCTGAATTATAGAATAAGGGTTTGAAAACCATGCTTATAGATTATACTCAGACTTGGTAGCTAGAAGTTTTATCTTAAATATCACTCTATATTCTAATATACCTTTATCATCTTTATTGAATATAATTATATTCGAAATGAATGAATATCACAATCAAATTGAGAGGCTCTAACAATTTTTTTTCTAGGGGTCCTCTGAGATGCTTAATCACGTTAGGCAACTGGACAAATTTAATCTGAACCAAACTGGTAAAAGTCCCAAATGAGGATTTCTTAAAAACAATGTAGTAAAGTTTTATTCAAATGGTACTAAAACTCTGGTGGGAATCCACCATGACTTTCTGTTTACTATCAAACATACGGATGAAGCTAATTCATTCCAGTCTATCCACTTTCAGGCACTCAAGAATGCTGAAACAGAACATCTGCCACTTACCTGCGAACAGGCTGTGCAAGTTTGCTGCGAGGCACTGGTATGCCCCCAGCAGAAGGGGCACTGGGTCTGGGCAAGCCACTTCTCATTGCAGTTGTCCCTGCAGGTCTGGTTAGAGTAGCGCTGTTGATATTGCTGGGAGGATTTGCTGAGACTGTGCTCTGAACCATAGGAGGCCCAGGTGAGGAGGTGGTTTGTGTGAGCTGTGTTATTTCTTGGCTACCAGGAGAACCAGAGCCATGGTTACTAAATGCTTTCACTGGTTGCCGAAGAGCCAAAGGAGATGGTGCTGCAGGGGAACGGAATTTGCCTGGAGAAGGTACTGTGGGATGGCAAAGAAAAACCAATTTTTGAGTGGAAATCTGTATATATGAAACCATTGCTTTAAATTACAACTGATGATTGGGCACTAGTACATGTGTATTCAGGAAACTTCACAGCAATGCAAACAATAAAAGCTATTCCTGGGCTACTAAAAGAAAAAAAGTAACTGTGAGTTCTAAATGACCAAGTACTTAGAGGATTACAACTGTCTTTGACAACAGTATTTTAAATAGGCCAGCTTGGAATCCATAATACCAGAAGAGAAAAGGCACTGCAGGATTCTGTCTCACAGTAGCAACTAATGTGGGCCACATATGAACAAACATTCTAGAGGTGAAAAACAGGTTGACTACCCAACTGTTGTCTAGAATTTGAAATGTATTTCCCCTGAAAAGAAACATTCACGTAAACATGTATCAAGTATCTGGAGGCTCTATGTCCAAATCCCATATTACTGACACTGTAACTAAAAATTTAGAAACTAAAAATCATTTTTAAAAAGTGCTTCCATTGCTGTGCTTCACAAAGCACAACATGATGAAAAAACAAACAAAAAGGCAGCTGGGCATGGTGACATGCACCCATAATCCCAACTACTCAAAACTGAAGCAGGAGAACTGCCTGAACCAGAGATGCAGAGGCTGCAGTGAGCCGAGATGATGCCACTGCACTCCGGCCTGGGTGACAGAGCAAGACTCTGCTTCAAAAAGAAAAAAGAAGATCAGGCGTGGTAACTCACACCTGTAATCCCAGCACTTTGGGAGTCCGAGGCGGGCGGATCACCTGAGGTCAGGAGTTCGGGACCTGCCTGGCCAACATGGTGAAAAACCCATCTCTACTAAAAATACAAAAATTAGTTGGGGGTGGTGGTGCATGCTTGTAGTCCCAGCTACTTGGGAGGCTGAGGCAGGAGAACTGCTTGAACCCAGGAGGCGGAGGTTGCAATAAGCGGGGATCGCGGTACTGCATTCCAGCCTGGGCAACAGAGCGAGACTCTGTCTCAAAAAAAAAAAGGAAAACAGAAAAAAGCTTATGTCCACACAAAGACTTGACTACAACTTTGTAACAGCCAAAGACTGAAAAAAGCTCAAATGTCCATCAACACATGAATGGATAAACAATTTGTAGCATATCCACGCAACAGAATACCGCTCAGCAGTAAAAAGGAGTAAACTACTGATGTATAGAACAAAGATGAATATCAAAAATTTTGCTGAATGAAATGAGTGCCAGACACAAAACAGTCCGTGTGTACATACACACACACACACTGTAGAATGTTGTGTTATAAAGAAATTTGAGGAAAGTCATATCTAATTTATGGTAACAAGCAGCAGAACAAATGTTTGTTGGAGGTTGGGAGCAACCTTGGGAAATTCCACCAAATGTTTAAGAATGAACACAAATTCAACATAATCTCCGTCACAAAATAGGAAAGAACATGTCCCAATTCATTTTATGAAGCCAGTATTACTGAGATACCAAAACTAGAAAAGGACAGTATCAAAAAAGAAAACTTCGGATCAATATTGTTTACAAATATAGATGTAAAAATCCTTAAAAAAATATTAGAAAATAGAATCCAGCAATATATAAATAGATTTATATGCCATGACTAAGGAGGATTTATTCCAAGATGCAAGGTTGGTTCAATATTTGAAAATCAATCAGTGTAATCCACAGTAACAGGATGAAGAAAAATCACAGAATTGTAACAGCGGACTCAAAAAAAGCATCTGACAAAATTCAACACAGTCATGAAAAAAGTTCTCCGAAAAACAGAAATAGGGAAAATTTCCTCAACCTCATAAAGAACATCTACAAAAACCCTACAGTTAACATTATACTTAATGAAGAAAGATTGAATGCATCTCCCCTAAGACCAGGAACAAGACAAGAACATACGCTCTTACCACTAATTCTAGCCAGTGCAATAAACAAGAAAAAAAAAAAAGAAGAAGAGGGAGAAGGAAGGAGAAAGAAGGAGGAAGGAGAAAGAAGGAGGAAGGAGGGAGGAAGAGGAGGAAGAGGAAGAAGAAGAAGAAGAAATAATAATAAAAGGCACAGAGGTTAGAAACTGTCCCCATGGTTGTCTACACAGAAAATCCCAATGAATCTACACACACACACACTTCTAGAAATAATAAGTGAATTCAGTAAGGTCACAGAACTGGATAAAAATACAAACACTGACTATGTTTCTATATGCCAGCAACGAACATTAGAAATCAAGATTAAAAATACCACACCATAGATAGCTCTTATTATTTTGAAATACATCCCATCAATACCTAATTTATTGAGAGTTTTTAGCATGAAGGGTTGTTGAATTTTGTCAAAGGCTTTTTCTGCATCTATTGAGATAATCATGTGGTTTTTGTCTTTGGCTCTGTTTATATGCTGGATTACATTTATTGATTTGCGTATATTGAACCAGCCTTGCATCCCAGGGATGAAGCCCACTTGATCATGGTGGGTAAGCTTTTTGATGTGCTGCTGGATTCGGTTTGCCAGTATTTTATTGAGGATTTTTGCATCAATGTTCATCAAGGATATTGGTCTAAAATTCTCTTTTTTGGTTGTGTCTCTGCCCGGCTTTGGTATCAGAATGATGCTGGCCTCATAAAATCAGTTAGGGAGGATTCCCTCTTTTTCTATTGATTGGAATAGTTTCAGAAGGAATGGTACCAGTTCCTCCTTGTACCTCTGGTAGAATTCGGCTGTGAATCCATCTGGTCCTGGACTCTTTTTGGTTGGTAAACTATTGATTATTGCCACAATTTCAGAGCCTGTTATTGGTCTATTCAGAGATTCAACTTCTTCCTGGTTTAGTCTTGGGAGAGTGTATGTGTCGAGGAATTTATCCATTTCTTCTAGATTTTCTAGTTTATTTGCGTAGAGGTGTTTGTAGTATTCTCTGATGGTAGTTTGTATTTCTGTGGGATCGGTGGTGATATCCCCTTTATCATTTTTTATTGTGTCTATTTGATTCTTCTCTCTTTTTTTATTAGTCTTGCTAGCGGTCTATCAATTTTGTTGATCCTTTCAAAAAACCAGCTCCTGGATTCATTGATTTTTTGAAGGGTTTTTTGTGTCTCTATTTCCTTCAGTTCTGCTCTGATTTTAGTTATTTCTTGCCTTCTGCTAGCTTTTGAATGTGTTTGCTCTTGCTTTTCTAGTTCTTTTAATTGTGATGTTAGGGTGTCAATTTTGGATCTTTCCTGCTTTCTCTTGTAGGCATTTAGTGCTATAAATTTCCCTCTACACACTGCTTTGAATGCGTCCCAGAGATTCTGGTATGTGGTGTCTTTGTTCTCGTTGGTTTCAAAGAACATCTTTATTTCTGCCTTCATTTCGTTATGTACCCAGTAGTCATTCAGGAGCAGGTTGTTCAGTTTCCATGTAGTTGAGCGGCTTTGAGTGAGATTTTTAATCCTGAGTTCTAGTTTGATTGCACTGTGGTCTGAGAGATAGTTTGAAAACTGGCACAAGACAGGGATGCCCTCTCTCACCGCTCCTATTCAACATAGTGTTGGAAGTTCTGGCCAGGGCAATCAGGCAGGAGAAGGAAATAAAGGGTATTCAATTAGGAAAAGAGGAAGTCAAATTGTCCCTGTTTGCAGACGACATGATTGTTTATCTAGAAAACCCCATCGTCTCAGCCCAAAATCTCCTTAAGCTGATAAGCAACTTCAGCAAAGTCTCAGGATACAAAATCAATGTACAAAAATCACAAGCATTCTTATACACCAACAACAGACAAACAGAGAGCCAAATCATGGGTGAACTCCCATTCACAATTGCTTCAAAGAGAATAAAATACCTAGGAATCCAACTTACAAGGGATGTGAAGGACCTCTTCAAGGAGAACTACAAACCACTGCTCAAGGAAATAAAAGAGGACACAAACAAATGGAAGAACATTCCATGCTCATGGGTAGGAAGAATCAATATCGTGAAAATGGCCATACTGCCCAAGGTAATTTACAGATTCAATGCCATCCCCATCAAGCTACCAATGACTTTCTTCACAGAATTGGAAAAAACTACCTTAAAGTTCATATGGAACCAAAAAAGAGCCCGCATCGCCAAGTCAATCCTAAGCCAAAAGAACAAAGCTGGAGGCATCACACTACCTGACTTCAAACTATACTACAAGGCTACAGTAACCAAAACAGCATGCTACTGGTACCAAAACAGAGATATAGATCAATGGAACAGAACAGAGCCCTCAGAAATAATGCCGCATATCTACAACTATCTGATCTTTGACAAACCTGAGAAAAACAAGCAATGGGGAAAGGATTCCCTATTTAATAAATGGTGCTGGGAAAACTGGCTAGCCATATGTAGAAAGCTGAAACTGGATCCCTTCCTTACACCTTATACAAAAATCAATTCAAGATGGATTAAAGATTTAAACGTTAGACCTAAAACCATAAAAACCCTAGAAGAAAACCTAGGCATTACCATTCAGGACACAGGCGTGGGCAAGGACTTCATGTCCAAAACACCAAAAGCAATGGCAACAAAAGCCAAAATTGACAAATGGGATCTAATGAAACTAAAGAGCTTCTGCACAGCAAAAGAAACTACCATCAGAGTGAACAGGCAACCTACAACATGGGAGAAAATTTTCGCAACCTACTCATCTGACAAAGGGCTAATATCCAGAATCTACAATGAACTCAAACAAATTTACAAGAAAAAAACAAACAACCCCATCAAAAAGTGGGTGAAGGATATGAACAGACACTTCTCAAAAGAAGACATTTATGCAGCCAAAAAACACATGAAGAAATGCTCATCATCACTGGCCATCAGAGAAATGCAAATCAAAACCACTATGAGATATCATCTCACACCAGTTAGAATGGCTATCATTAAAAAGTCAGGAAACAACAGGTGCTGGAGAGGATGTGGAGAAATAGGAACACTTTTACACTGTTGGTGGGACTGTAAACTAGTTCAACCATTGTGGAAGTCAGTGTGGCGATTCCTCAGGGATCTAGAACTAGAAATACCATTTGACCCAGCCATCCCATTACTGGGTATATACCCAAAGGACTATAAATCATGCTGCTATAAAGACACATGCACACGTATGTTTATTGCGGCACTATTCACAATAGCAAAGACTTGGAACCAACCCAAATGTCCAACAATGATAGACTGGATTAAGAAAATGTGGCACATATACACCATGGAATACTATGCAGCCATAAAAAATGATGAGTTCATATCCTTTGTAGGGACATGGATGAAATTGGAAACCATCATTCTCAGTAAACTATCGCAAGAACAAAAAACCAAACACCGCATATTCTCACTCATAGGTGGGAATTGAACAATGAGATCACATGGACACAGGAAGGGGAATATCACACTCTGGGGACTGTGGTGGGGTCGGGGGAGGGGGGAGGGATAGCATTGGGAGATATACCTAATGCTAGATGACACATTAGTGGGTGCAGCGCACCAGCATGGCACATGTATACATATGTAACTAACCTGCACAATGTGCACATGTACCCTAAAACTTAGAGTATAATAAAAAAAAAAAAAAAAAAAATACCACACCAATTGCATTGCTTGAAAAGAAAACCACTTACATATAAATCTAATAAATCTGAGCCAATATAAGTTTGCTGTGAAGAGCAAACGAGTAATAAATGTGTAAATTGTTAGTAAAATGTAAAATATTAAACAAATTGTAAGGCATTCTTATCTGTGGCTTTCTTATCTAAAGAACAGGCCTCCTTTAGTCTGCTACACATGAATTTCCTAGATGGATATTCAACAATGCCACTCAGAACAGTCTCCTAGGCTTTCCCTATAAATTAACTCAAATGTAAATATTAAGTTATTACCCAAAATGTATTACCCAAATTGATATTGACAAGTTATAATTTCTCTTTACTCTTTTTGAATACCAAGAATTACACTCGAGTCAGGCATAATGTGAAGGAGATCTATCTGCTCTGAGCAAAAATTAGAACTCTATTTATAAAAATGACATGACTAAGAATCCTAACCTTGGTGTCTAAGTTATCTCCAAATTAGGATGATGGGTAATAGAGAATTCGTATCTTAAAATATTTTTTCTTTTAATAAGTATTTAATAATTGTGCTAAGTTTGTTTTCTACTTAAGGTTTCTATAATTCAGGCATGCACTTAACCCTAAAATGAAAAAACTGAATAAATTATACATATCTTTTTAACTTGATATTCACTGAAAATAAAATGTTTTATAAAAATATATCCAACATGTACCTAGCAATACAAAAGTTAGATATTCCAAGTTGTCTTCACAGAGCAGTCTTCCTTCAAACTACAACTTCCCTTAGCTGCATAATTTATAAAAACTATAAATGCCCAGTAAGTATATAGTAATAAAAATAAACACATTGCCAAACACTGGTCATCATGACCAACAGGAAACATCATTTATTAAAACACATATGAATTCCATTATTAACAAATGAAGGACAAAAATATCTCCTTGTCAACGATCCCTTACTATACTGTCATATCATTTCAATTATTCAATGGTATCTACCCTATCAATGATAATCACAATTTACTGACACAAGTATTTAAAAATAAGTTCTGGCTGCTAAAGAACAAAAAGATGAATTAAATATGATTCTCTCACTACAGAATTAAAGAATCCTTGTAAAAAAAGTTATTACTGACCATGTACTCTAACCCTCTCACTTCATGGATAAGGGAAATTACCACAACCACAGAAGTCAACTGAGCAAATAGGAAAGTCAGGATGTCGTGTTATAACTGAACTGAACCCAGGTCTCCAGATTCCCAGATCAGTATTCTTTACCAGGAACCAAAAGAGAAACATCTCTACTGTCATTATCAACATTTTTTTTTTTTTTTGAGGCAGAGTCTCGCTCTATCACCCAGGATGGAGAACAGTGGCACAAACTTGGTTCACTGCAACGTCTGCCTCACAGGTTCAAGCGACTCTCGTGCCTCAGCCTCCCAAGTAGCTGGGACTACAGATGCAGGTCACCGGGTCTGGATAATTTGTTTTTTTTTGGTAGAGACGGAGTTTTGCCATGATGGTCTGGCTGGTCTCAACCTCCTGGCCTCTTAAGTGATCTGCCCATCTCAGTCTTCCAAAATGCTGCGATTATAGGTGAGCCACCGTGTCTGGCCAAAGTGTCATTATCAACACTTTAATTTTCAACCAGACTCAGAAAGTTTATTTGTGGGGTTACTATCCTAGGCAGGTTTTATAAGGTATGACTCCAAAGCATATAAAAATGGCAATTGCTGACAAGTAACCATAAAAGAGAAAGACACAGAAACCTTTGATTTCTTCTTCCATTAACGTACACGACTATTATTTTGTAAGCATACAAAAATTGTTAGTTATTAGAAAAATTTATTAAATGTAAGATGCAGAAAATGCCCCGAAAATAGGGCTTCAATACCTTTTCTTCCATAAATACAAAAAGATATATATGAATGCATAAGCTACCAGCAAACATTTACAGCTTAATCTTCCAATTTACTCTAAATAGAAAATAACTTTGGAACTGATCCTCTTCAAGATAATTGCCCCAACCTCAATAATGACTTTTAGAAATAAACTTTTTAGAAAGAAATATGTTTATTCAACTGAAAACCTTAGCCACCCTTTGGGTGCCAAAGCTGAGACACAGAGAGAGAGAGAGAGAGGGAATGTGTGTGTGTGTGTGTGTGTGTGTGTGTGTGTGTGTGTGTGTGTGTGTGTACATATACAAACATACATTACAGGAACTATTAAGATTCATTAGATATCTCCACCCTGGTAGGGGAAGTTTTTAACAAAATAGCCACATTTCCAAAATTAGGGAATTGATTAGGTATCAAAATACATGATATCAAGATTTGAGAGACACGTTAGTTTTAGTACACAGTATATATAAACAGCTGTACATCTATACCTATATAACTTATTGTATTTTAGTTTAATAAATTAACATATAACTAACCTTAGAGTGTCTAGTGAGGAAAGCGGAAAAAATGTCAATGTCAAGATTAAGAAACATAATTATGAGGATTCTTGAAAGATGGTACCGGCATTGGTGTAATTTACGAATTTCCTCAACTCTCTCCATAAAAACATACAGAGCAACTAGGAAGGTCAAACCAAAACCCATTTACAATAGCTACAATAAAACCAGGTGATGGAGTATCTCCATGAGGCCCAAAATACAAGTGGGTAGGAAGAAGTCACTGACAACTACAAGACCATATGAATTATCAGTATCTGTGCAGAAGGAAGCAGAGGAATATCTCAATGTCCTGAAAATTCCAAAATAACCAACAAGTACTCATACAAAAAAATGCTGAACAGAAGCTGAACTGGGAAGGATCTGCATACTCCAATAGTGAGTGAGTACAAGAGGTCTACTGTAAGGTCTAAGAAGAACATGAGTGGCTATGAATTCTTAAAATTAACCAGCCAAATCCCTCTTCCAGGTAAAACTTCATGCTAAGGAAAAAAAAAAAACTCAGAAGATAATCCAAATAGAGCAGAACAGGGACATTCCAGATAAAGGAAAATGAAGTCCAGATAAAAGCAGGGAAGAGTTCAAAATGCTGCTAGGACAACTGGATATTCACGTACAAAAGAATGAAGTTGGACCCCTACACTTCACACTATTAAAAAAATTAACTCAAAATGGATCACAGACCTAAGTGTAAGAGCTAACCCATAAAGTTCTTAGAAAAAAACATAGGAGTGTTTGTTTGTTTGTTTTTTGCATCGTGAATTTTATTCCTGATGTGGTACAGATTTCTTCCATCCCCAAAACGAATCACATGCTGCCCTGGAAAGACCTAGGAAACTCTCCCACCATCTCTAGGGAAGTAGTGAGAAAGATAGATGCTGAGGACTAGGAAGGCTTTGAAATTTCCCAGCCTACTTATCCTCCCCTTCTCAACAGGGAGAGCTGTTCCCTATTATCCCTCTCATCCAGTCATCCCTTAAACACACACACACATACACACACACTCACTAGTTAAAACAACAACGACGAAAAAACACCAACGAAACACAATTGCTTCAAGTATTCACGGTCAGGGGTCCTAAGCTGGGACTTGGGGTTATGGGTCAGCAATGGAAGAGGGAAGGGAAGAGGAGGAGGAAGAGGAGGAGCCATCACTGTTTCTGCTATAGGGCTTCCTTCCTTGCTGCATTCTGCAGCAACTTTGTCGACCCTGTCTGCTGGCAACTGCACATTTTGGACCACTAAGCCCCGAATGAAGATGTGAGGGTATTTCTCAGGGTCTGTAACGCTGATGTTAGTTAATCTGATGTTGAGATACTGATCCACAGCATGCAGGGGTCCACAGATAAGCAGGTCATTCTTGAGTTCCAGGTTTACATCCTTGCCCACAGGGATTGAAAAAGGAATAGAAGAGCATGGTCCTGGTGCTGGTGCTGCAGGCCAGATGGGGAGGAGGGCAGGATACTGCAAGCGGAGCCGGACTTGGGGAAGGGAAGGGCTGCAGAAAGCTCCAAGTACCGAAGGGGAAAGCGCAGCGGATTCGTGTCTGGCAAGAGCAGGTGGGGTAGAGCAGAAGGAACAGGAGTAATGACTAGGGTTAGGCACTGATTTCTTATGACACTATGAGCATGACCCATAAGATCAAAAATTGATAAATGATACTTCATCAAAATTAAGAACTTTTGTGCTTCAAAGGATACCATAAAGAAAGTGAAGAATAAATCCACTGAGTAGGAGAAAATATTTACAAATCATGGATCTGATATGGGACTTGAATCCAGAATATATAAAGGAATGTGACTACTCAATTAAAAAAAAAAAAAACTAAAAAAACAGAGACAAAGAATTTGAATAGACATTTCTCCAAAGAAGATATACAAATGGCCAATAAGCACATGAAAAGATGCTCAACATTACTCATGCAAAATAAAAACCACAATGAGATTCCACTTTACAACACTTCACCAGGATCGCTAAAATAAAAGACAACAAGTGTTACTGAGGAGATGGAGAAACTGGAACCCTCATACAGTGCTGGTGACACTGTAAAATGTTGTAGCCACTCTGGAAAACAGTTTAGCAGATCCTTAATATGTTAAACATAAAGCTACCATATGATCCAGTAATTACACTAAGCATATAATCAAGAGAACTAAAACATGTCTGTCCATGTAAACACTTGTACATGAATGTTCACAGCATTATTATTATTATTATTTTGAGATGGAGTCTTGCTCTGTCGTCTAGGCTGGAGTGCAATGGCACGATCTCAGCTCACTGCAACCTCTGCCTCCCAGGTTCAAGCAGTTCTCCTACCTCAGCCTTCCGGGTAGCTGAGGTTACAGGCGCCCACCACCACACCCAGCTAATTTTTGTACTTTTAGTAGAGACGAGGATTCACCATGTTGACCAGGCTGGTCTCAAACTCCTGACCTCAGGTGATCTGCCCACCTCGGCCTCCCAAAGTGCTGGGATTACAGGCGTGAGCCACCGGGTCTGACCACAGGATTATTCACAATAGGCAAAAAGTGGAAACAACTCAAGTATCCACCAAGTGATGAATGGATAAACAAAATGTGGTGCATCCACGCAATGGAATATTTGGCAATAAAAAGGAACAAAGTACAGTTATGTGTCACTTAACGATGGGGATATGTTCTGAGAAATGAATCATTAGGCAAGTTTGTCCGTGTAGGAACATCTGAGTGTACTTATGCAAACCTAAGTGATTTAAGCTACTACACACCTAGGCTATATGGAATAGCTGATGGCAGGGTCGGGGGAGGTGGAGATGGTTAATGGATACCAAAAAAAAATAGAGAAAGACCTACTATGTGATAGCACAACCAGGTGACTATAGTCAACAATAACTTAATTGTATATTCTAAAATACCTTAAAGAGTGTAATTGGATTGTCTGTAACACAAAGGATGAATGCTTGAGGGGATGGGGACCTGATTCTCTGTGATGTTATTATTTCACATTGCTTGCCTGTATCAAAATATCTCATGTGCTCCATAAATACACACACCTACTATGTACACACAAAAAATTTTTAAAAATAGTCTATGGCTCCTAGGCTACAAACCAATACAGCATGCTACTGTACTGAATACTGTAGGCAATTGTAACACAACGGCATTTGCATATCCAAACATATCTAAACATAGAGAAAGTACAGTAAAAATGTTATAAAAGACAAAATATGGTACATCTGTATAGGGCACTTTCCATGAATGGAGCTTATAGAACTGAAATTGAGTGAGTGGTAAGTGAATGTGAAAGTCTGCAGTAGGGTACACCCTACTGCAAACCTTATAAATACTACACACTTAAGCTACACTAAATTTATTTTTCTTCAATAATAAATTAACCTTAGCTTACTGTTAACTATTTTAGTTTATAAGCTTTAACTTAAAAACGTGACTCTTTTGTAATAACACATAGCTTGT